>NC_000001.11:41978077-42281107 GCF_000001405.40 Homo sapiens
ACCCAAGTCTATGTCTTTACTTTCTGGTCTAAATTATAGAATGTATTAGTTTACAACCAAAGTGAGCACTTCCCTTACTTGGCTGGTGCCTCAGCCTCTCAGGAAGGTCCTAAGGAATCCACTAGGTTGGAGGTTCTCAACCCTTGTGGATCTCCAAGCTGAGAAATACAACCCCCTCCAGTCAGCAGCTGTGGGCAACAGCTGAACTGTGTCCCCCACCCCCCAAATTCATATGTTGAAGCCCTAAGCCCCGATATGACTGTCTTTGTAGATAGGGGCTTTAAAGAGGTAATTAAGGTTACATGAGGACATAAGGGTGGGTCCAGTACACTGGTGTCCTTATAAGAAGAGGAGGAGACACCAGGGTGCAGGTGCACAGAGAAAAGACCACAGGAGGACACAGGAGGCGGCTGTCTGCAAGCCAAAGAGAGCAGCCACAGGAGAAACCAACTTGTAACACCTTGATCTTGGACTTCCAGCTTCCAGAACTTCGAGAAAATGGATTTCCGTTGTTTAAGCCACCCAGTCTGTGGTATTTTATTACAGCATCGCTAGCAAATGAATACCAATGGTAATTTTCAACCTTCATTCATTCACTCAGCAAAGGAGCAGCCACTCAGTGCCAGGCACTCTTCTGGGTACTAAGAATACAGCAATAAACAAAAGAGACAGAGCCATGGAGGAGGAGAAGCATGGGAGCCTTCCTAAAATGCAATATTAGAATCTTCTGCTGGGGACAAGTAGAGTTTGAAAAGGTATGCATGCAGGATCTAGTTTAGACTTCAGGAGCCACCTTCCCAGTCCTTGCCCCTCACCCCTGCCCCAACGATCACTGCACCAGACTGACGTGTTGAGGACAGGAACTGCATTGTCATCTTTTTAAACAGAGTCTGGGATGCAGGCAATGTCAAGAAGGCATCCTCTCTTCCCTGTGCCAGGGACCCGATTCCCCAGCACCCCTGCTTTCACCTGAGGTTCTCAGCACAGGGCACCTGCACCAGCAACATCAGCAGCCCCCAGGAACTTGTTAGAAACACAAATTCTCAGGCCCCACCTCTACCCTCTTGGATCACAAATTCTAGGGACCCAGCCCAAGCCTCCAAATGATTCTTAGGCAGATGAAAGTTTGAGAACCACTGTTATCCACCCTCTGGCATTCACCCTGACCCACAACTTGGTTCTCGCTGCTCTCCTCCTCCTCCTTCTCATAACAGCAGCAATCTGTTTCTTCTGCCTTCTGTATGCCTGGCCCGGTGTGAGACATTCCACATGCTGGCTCGAAGACCATCAGTACTCACAAGGTTGAGAAAATCATCCCCATTTACTGAGGAGGAAACTGAGGTTCAAAGAGGCTTAGTCACTTGTCCACAAGCTCTCAGCTAAGTAATGGGATCTGGACTCAAAAAGGCCAAAGTGCACACTTTTTCTTCAGGCCTTTCCTATTTCACTGTCCTGTTCTCTCTCCCTATTACTGTCACTCACTCTATTTTCTTTTCTTTTTTTGACATATCATTGCACCACACAATAATCAGCTCCTACCTGGTCTAATGGGAATCAGCTCACCTGAGCCTTTTGTGATCTCATATCCAGGGCTTAGCAAGAGCCACATTCTGAAAGTAACACTGGTTGATTTCTGTGTACTCAGAAGGCCCATTTACACTTTAACATGAGCCCTCCTTCCTTGCTGCATGGTGCATTACTAAATTCCCTATAGATATTTGGGAAAATTTGATATTCTTCCCTTCTTTATAGGAGAAAAAGTATCTACTATAAAGAAAGAAACTAAAAACAGTCTGCTACTAGTTATGGGAGCAGGAATATGAATACTATAAAATCATATTTTCTATTGCCATTTTAGACTTGCATTTGGGGAGCAGAAAGGTCTGAGTGAATGAATCTGCAGTCTGGTGAAGGTGCAATGCCTAGCAAAGAAGCAAGGCAGGGCTTTGTGTCTGCTCTAAGCCAATCTTTAAGAAACAATGGTATGTATTGGAAGGATGTGGAGAAACAGGAAGACTCTGACATTGTTGACAGTAAGGTAAAATGGTGCAACCACTTGGGAAAACAATTTGGCAGTTTCTTAAAACGTTAAACATAAAACTTACCCTGGGACCCAGGAATTCCCTAGTAAGTATCTAAGAGAAACGAAAAAATATGTCCACGTAAAGACTTGTAATTGACTGTTTATGGTAGTATTATTCATAATAGCCAAAAGGTATAAACAGCCCAAATGTCTATCTACTGGTGAATGGATAAACAAAACAAGGGATATTCATCCAATAGAATACAGTAGGTAGTATAATGAAACATACTGATACATGCTACAATGCGATGAATGTCAAAGGCATTCTACTAAGTGGAAAAAAAGAGACACAAAGACTACCTATTATATGACTCTATATGAAATGCCCAAATAAGGCAGATCTATAGCGACAGAAAGTAGACTAGTGATTGCCTGGGTCTGGGGATGGGGTGAAGATTGCCTACAATTGGGCACAACAGATCTTTTGGGGATGACGGAAATATTCTAAAACTGCAATGTGTGTTGGTTGCACGACTCTGAAATCATTATATTACACAATTAAAATTGGTTAATTTTATGGTGTCAAATTATACTTCAATAAAGTTGTTATTAAAATGGGGAAAGGGTGTGAATGGAACCGTCTGAGGGCCATGGGCTCGAGCTGTTTGATTCAGTATAACCAAGGCTTATTAACCCTAAACCACATGTCAGCGACAAGAAGTAGCAAGCTGTTTTCTTCTTTGATAAATCCCTTGACAGACAATTCAGAGGAACAGTCTCCTTGGAGCAGAGGTTCTGCTGCCAAGCAAATACTCCATGAGGAATGTTAGGAGGATGGGCCTGCTGGTGTCTGGGCCAGCAGGAGAGAAAGCAAGGCAAGACCAGTGCAAACCGTGCCCAGCAGGGCTAAAGTGGGTATCGTTGCACAGCTGGGCAAGCTTGAGAGAGGCCTGGCTCAGAAGCACACATCAGGATTCGCTTCTGCAAGGTGTGGGTGAGCTCTGGCAAGCTGGGCCCAGAGGCAAGGAGAGAAGCAAAGTCCTCCCCTTGTGAGAACAGTGAGGGTGGAAAGCAAACAACAAGAGGAAGAAGGTACGTGTCTCCAAAGGGAGCAAGCTCTTACAGGGAGCTTGGCAACATTTGCATCAGCCTGGTAAAACATCGAAATAACAACACCTAAAATAGCCCTATAGGAACCTTGTCAGAAAATAAAGGCAAGATTCCTGAAGGACTCTGCCTTCATCCCCACGGAGCTGGGAAGCAAACGGGGAAATGCAAACCCCATTTATAGGGTCACATTTGGAGGAGCCGGCTCCGTCGGGGGCAGGAGGGAGGAAGTGGTGGGGAGGCTCAGGGTGTGTCAGATCCAGCCTCCCCACCTCTGCTGAGCTGGCGGCTGGACTCAAGGCCTGCCACGTCTTCCTGCTCTGCAGTGCACTAGCTGTGTGACCTTCTGCAAACTGGGTAACCACACTGCCTCCCCACCCCATCTCCTCCAAGGTAAAGTGGAGATTTTACCTGCTGCAAAAAGTTGGGTGAGGACTGATGAGAGAATGAGGGTTGATAAGAGAAGGTAAGGCATTAAAGGTAAAGGAAATTGCGTTTTGTTATATATATAAACAGCTTCTCACTGCTTTCGCTGGATTCATCATTCTGGGACTTTCTGTCTTCTACATACTTTTAAAGGTGAAGGAAGAGAAGGGAAAATGTGAAAGACAATATTCCAGTCTCCACTGAATGTGTGGGCACTTCAGTCTCGTGGCAAGTTCAGGCCAAGGGGACAGCTGCTGAAATGTGGGGGTCCAGGGGCTGCAGAGGGGTTCTGCTGCCTAGCATTTAAAAGAAGAGGGAAGTAAATATTTCTGAGGTGAGTCAGTAAAAGTAAAGAAATGCTTACTTCTTGTAAATGAGAAGGTGGCAGATGAACACATGAGGGAATGGGCATATATTCATCCCACTTGTAAAACATACTTCAAAGGAGGTAGTTCCAACATCAATTTCTTTATCGTGGTACTTTATAAGATTTCCTTGTTTGCTTGGTTTTAATTAACAGCAACCATACAGCATTGAAAGCGAAGCCTTATCCATCATCCACGTCAAAGGGGCTGGAAAGGTCCGAATCCACCTGAATGACAACTAAAGTTTCGAGAATGGGAATGCAAAAGGGGATTCAAAGGTAACAAAATCCTTGTCCTTCCATTTTCTTCTTCCGCACAAACAAAAGCAGTTTAATGGCATTGATGGAACTGCGTCCCTCTCATCTTCCCCTTGCCTGCTGTTGTACTCAAAGGTTCCAGAATACATGAGCGCAGCCCTACCTTATTTTGATGAACAGCTACAGCCACAGCAGAAATCAACAGGGTTTGGAGAATAAATCTGATAAATCGTGTCCTTCAAAAAGAGGAATTTATGTAATGCTTTCAGTTTTATCTTGTATGACCTACCCATCATGAAACTGGGAAACTGTAATTTATTTATCCAGTGAAGACAAAATTGATTAACAGGTCAGTGTAAATGTCAGCCTGGGGGAATTAACAAATGTAGTTCCACCGGGTCAGTTCTTGCCCAGTACTATTTAACATTTCCATTAATTACTTGCCGACAGAATTGGTGATAGAATAGGAGGTGTATTATTAAATCTGCCAATTTTTAAAAAGTTTAAATATGAATAGGTCTTGGCCAATTGAAAGACAGGGAGGGACTATTTGGTATCCTCAAGGCTCTGCCTGGTACAGAGTAGGTGCCTAATAAATGTTAGTTGAATGAAACAAATGCCAACAATACAAAGTCTAGTGTGAGGGAGTCCCTAGAGCAGCGGTCCCCAATCTTTTTGGCACCAGGGACAACTTTTCCATAGACCGGTAGCAGGGGAACGGTTTCAGGATGAAACTGTTCCACCACAGATGATCAGGCTTTAGTTTGATTCTCAAAAGGAGTGTGCAACCTAGATCCCTTGCATGCGCAGTTCACAATAGGGTTCACACCCCTACGAGAATCTAATGCCCTGCTCATCTGACAGGAGGCGGAGCTCAGGAGGTAATGCTCGCCCACCTCACAGGCTGTGCAGCCCAGTTCCTAACAGGCCACAGACCAATAGCAGACCCCTGCCCTAGAGGAAGAAAAGGAGAATCATTAACAACAGTTTTTATTAATATCTACTATAAATTTAAAGCCCTATCAAAAATTACTTACAGCAATGAAACCATGACCGATCCAAATCAAGAAGATCTAGACATCAGTAATGCACAAAAATCAAATTTAACAAGCGCAAACATAAAGTAAGGAACATACTCATAGTTCAAAACATGATCACACTTTTTGTTATCCTTTTCCTTATGTGCAGGCAGACACACACATACACATACACATGCATAAATATATATTATTTCTGGAATATAAATGAGAAGAAAAGGTATGGAGGAACAACCACCAAAGATTAACTGTCTGTCTTAGCAGAAAATAGCAACAGCTAATAAAGGTGCAGCTGGGTGGAGAAAAAAGAAAAACAGTCATACCTAAGCCAAACCCCTGAAGCCACAAGTCACGCACTCCTAAGTGGCCGACTCACCAGCAAGCAGGATGGGATGGGATGTCAGAGCTCAAAAGCCATCAGGATACCAGATCCACCTCTTTCTCAGCTGAGGGGCTCCTGGAGTTTTGTTTGGTTTGTTTTTAATTAAAAAGACAGAACAAAAAGAAAAAAAAATGTCCTGATGATAAGTAACCTACTGGAAGGCTCCGTCTGCTACCCACCGTCCATAGGCAACAGCAGGATGTAACAAACATACAGCCTCTCATGTACAAAAGGGAGAATTCAAGTGATGCTCAGATAAAGAAGTAGAACAATGAAGAAAAAAAATCCATACTCATATTTTTTTTGAGAGAGAGAGAGACAGCATTTCGCTCTGTTGCCTAGGCTGGAGTGCAATGGCACAATCTTGGCTCACTGTAGCCTTGAACTCCTGGACTCTAAGCGATCCTCCCTCCTCAGCCTCCTGAGTAACTGGGGCAATGAAATTATGCACTTAGCTAATTTTAAAACAAGTTTGTTTTGTAGATACAGGGTCTTGCTATATTGCCCAGGCTGGTCTTGAATTCCTGGCCTTAAGTGATTCTCCCACTCAGTCTCCCAAAGTGCTGGGATTATGGACATGAGCCACTGCACTGGGCCCATACTATGTATTTTTTGGCCAAATAATAAACCTGGATAGAACTTTTCTTGAGAAAAAAATGAGCAAGCAGACAATACAGAAGGGCTATTCAATAACAACATTTTGTTATCTGGAGAATATGACCTGAATGGGGGAAAAAAGAGATTGAAACTGTCATATCAAAGTTGACATGATAGCCCTAAGGGAGAAGTGAGGAAAAAAGCAACCAACTCAGAACTCAAAGGTGCACAACAAATATCCAGACGTGGAATGCACATTTCAGAAAGCAAAGTCTGAAGGAGCACTGACTTGAGAGAAGGGAAAAGCAATCACCCAGAAGCCAGAGAGAAGGGATCGAACGTTTAAAACACAACCCCCATGGAGGACACATGGCAGAGAAGTTTAGTTTATTGTAAGAAAGCACACTGACCACTACTAGAAAGATCTGATTTTGCTAATGGACAGATAACAGGGGGAAGGGCTACTGCTGGCCACAGGATGGAGAGTTTAGAGGTAACTCTGAGACATCATTTCATTATATATCCCACAGACCACTTTCACATGCCAGGCACCCAGCTGGGCCCACAGAACAAAACAAATGAGGCTCCTGCCCTCTAGGGGCATATAATCTTATAAAGTAGCAGAAAATAAACAAATAAATACAATGATTATAAATTTTCACAGGTGCTATGTAAGAAATAAACAAGGCACTAAGTCAGAGGACTAAAAAAAAAAAAGGACCTGCTTTAGACAGAATGGCAGCGAAGGCCCTTCCCAGGGGATGACTGATTGATTGACTGGTTGGTTGATTGATTGATTTTTCCAAGGAGACAACTTTCAAGTTGAGATATGAAGGGTGGGAAGGAGCTAGCCATGGGAAGAATGGAAAACTAGTTCCAGGTTACGGGCACGTGAACTATGCTAAGCATGGTGAGTTTGAGAAGAGGATGGATTGTAGTGAGCAAGATGACAGTACCACAAAATGAGGCCTAAGAAGGAGGCAGGAGCCAGGACATGTAGAATTTTCCAGGCCATAGTACAGAACATGAAGAGTCTACTCTTAGTTCAGGCTGCTATAACAAATTGCCAGAGACTGGGTGGCTTATAAACAATAGAAATTATTTCTCAGAGTTGTGGAGGCTGGAAGTCCAAGATCAAGGTGCTGGCAGATCCAGCATCTGGTGAGGGCATACCTCCTGGTTTGCAGATGGCCACCTTCTTGCTGTGTCTTCACATGCCAGAGAGAGAGGAAGCAAACTCTCTTCTTATAGGTGTCTCTTCTTATAAGGGCACTAACCCCATCATGAGGGCGGATTAATTAATTCCCAAAGGTCTTACTTCCTAATACCATCCCATTGAGTTTAGGGTTTCAACATACGAATTTGCAGGGACACGAAGATGAGTTCTGCTAAATATTTCTTGTAAGTCCATGAAAAGCTGAGTTCCTCCTGTTTGTCAGATCTGGGGGCGAGGAACAGCAATAGCTAGAAGGAGGAAATGCCCAGTACTATCCCAGTTAGCTACAAAGGAGAGTGGCTCAAAGGAGGCCCTTGTCAGATGCTTGTCCATGTCTAGTTGGCTATGGAGTAGATTTGACTCCTAATACTGAAATTTCTAAAAGTTTTGCCTGGAAAACTTTCAGTGCAAGGCTAAACATTAAGTCTCTTCTGTGAATATGAAAGTCAGTTTTAAAAAAAAAGATCCACCCATGTTAAACCTGTCACAGATTTAGTCAATCTATTTCAAAGTTAAGATCTTTATAGACTAGGAGGCAGCCATCTGGAAAGTTTGTGGAGCCAAGATCTAGATCCCTTATCCAATTACATGATGTGGCTCAAGTCATGCTATCTGTACCTTAGTTTCCTCATCTTTAAAATCAAGGGAAGAGAATGTCCTGCTCTCTAAGGCCCTTTCAGAATCTAATATGTAGAAAATGTCTAAAAGATGAGAGCCTGCTTATATAACTATCTAGCTGAATGTTCAGAAGTGGAAGGAAATTTTGGTGCCAAACTAAAATAAACTGCTCAGGTTTTTCTTGCACAAGATGTAAAATATTATTTTACCAAAACATTATCATATTCATTTTCATAATTACAAGGCTTCCATGCATAACACTGAAGTTCTATAAGTATTTGTTGAACAAGTGGTACAGCTTTACTGACATTACACTTTTGTGTTGAATAGGACTTTTTTTTTTTTTTTTTTTTGAGACGCAGTCTTGCTCTTTCGCCCAGGCCAGACTGCAGTGGCGCTATGTCGGCTCACTGCAAGCTCCGCTTCCCGAGTTCCCACCACTCTCCTGCCTCAGCCTCCCAAGTAGCTGGAAATACAGGCGCCCGCCACCACGCCCGGCTAATTTTTTGTATTTTTAGTAGAGACAGGGTTTCACCGTGTTAGCCAGGATGGTCTCGATCTCCTGACCTCGTGATCCACCCACCTTGGCCTCCCAAAGTGCTGGGATTACAGGCGTGAGCCACCGCGCCCTGCCGAATAGGACATTTTTAACACAAATGTATTTATTAATTGCTGCCCATTTCATAAACTATTAAGATACTGTCCTTCCAGCAGAGTATTAAATGAATACTATTTATCAAATATATTTAAACACGATTTTTAAAAATATGAGTTAGTATTGGAGACAGAAGTTTGTATTCTTTAATTAAGAGGATCTCTAAGGGTAATCAATTATTCTAGATACTGCTTTGTATTGCTCATATCCCTGATCGACAAATATCTGTATACTGTACTATACTGAATTGTGTCTAAAGGATTCTGAGTATCTGAGATAATACACATTCATTTATACATTCTGCTAAATATTTATTTAGTGCCTACAATGTGCCAGACATCATTGTAGGTACCAGGAATGAGCAATGAATGAAACAATGTTTCTGCCCTCTTGAAGCTTACAAGATAGTGATAAATCTATAAACATAGAAGAATTAATATCGCTAAAATGACCTTACTACCCAAAGTAATCCACAAATTCAATTCCTACCACAAGTCCCATGACATTTTTCATAGAAATAGAAAAATCCCAGCAAACCACCATGGCATATGTATACCTGTGTAACAAACCTGCACATTCTGCACATGTATCTAAGAACTTCAAGTAAAATTTTAAAAAATAAAAATAAATAAATAAAAAAGAAATAGAAAAATCAATCTTAAAATTCATATGGAATCACAAAAGACTCCAAATGGACAAAGGAATCTTGAGCAAACAGAACAAAGCTGGAAGCATCACATTATCTGATCTCAAAATCTGCTACAAAGCTAGAGTAATCAAAACAGCCTGGTACTAGCACAAAAACAGACATAGAGACCAATGGAACAGAATGGAGAGCCTAGAAATAAATGCATGCATTTACAGTCAGCTGATCTTTGACAAAAACGCCAAGAACCCACATTGGGGAAGTGGTGTTGGGAAAATTAGATAGACAATTGAAATTAGACCCTGTATTAGTCCATTTTCACACTGCTATAAAGATATAAAGATTGGGTAATTTATAAAAGAAAGAGGCTTAATTGACTCAGTTCTGCATGGCTGGGGAAGTCTCAGGAAACTTACAATTATGGCGGAAGGGGAAGCAGGCACCTTCTTCACTAAGCAGCAGGAGAAGTGCACAAGGGGAAAGAGCCTCACACTTATCAAACAACCAGATCTCATGAGAATTCACTCACTATCATGAGAACAGTATGGGGGAACCACCCCCATGATCCAATCACCTCCCTCACTCAACACATAGGAATTATAGGTCGAGATGAGATTTGGGTGGGGACACGGAGCCAAACCATATCAGACCCTTATCTCATCCCATATATAAAAATCAAGTCAAAATGGATTAAAGACTTAAACATAATAAACTATAAAACTACCAGAAAAAGACAAAGGAGAAAAGCTTCTTGACACTGGATTTGGTAAAGATTTCTTGGATATGACCCCAAAAGCACAGGCAACAAAAGCAAAAATAGACATGTGAGATTGCATCACACTATAAAGCTTATGCACAGCAAAGGAAATAATCAGCAGAATGAAAAAATAACCTGAACAGGAGAAAATATTTGCAAACCAATCATCTGATATGGGTTAATACCCAAAATATATAAGAAACTCAAACCACTCAATATTAAGAAAATAAATAACATGGGCAAAGGATCTGAAAAGGCATTTCTCAAAAGAAGACATACATATGGCCACAGGTTTGTGAAAAATACTCATCACTAATCATCATGGAAATGTAAATTAAAATCGCAATTAGATATTACTTCACAACAGTTAGGATAGCTGTTATCAAAAAGATGAGAAATAACAAGTGTTAGTGAGGATGTGGTGAAAAGGGAGTCTTTCTACACTACTGATGGGAATGTAAGATAGTACAGCCATTATGAAAACCAGTAGGGAAGTTCCTCAAAAAATTACAACTAGAACTACCATATGGTCCAACAACTCCACTTGCAGGTATATATTCAAGGGAAATAAAATCAGTATGTTGAAGAGATATATGCAACTCCCATGTTCACTGCAGCATTATTTATAATAGCCAAGATATGGAATCAACCAAAGTGTCCATCAACAAATGAATGGATTAAAAGATGTAATATATATTGGATGAATGGAATATTATTTGGCTTTTAAAAATAAGGAAATCCTATCATTTGTGAAAACACAGATGAACCTAAAGAATATTATGTTAAGCTAAATAAGCCAGGCACAGAAGGGCAAATACTGCATGATCTCACTTGTATGTGGAATCTAAAAGTCAAACTCATAGAAGCAGAGAATAAAAATGGTGGTCCCTAGAGGATAGTGGGGGATGGGTTGGAGAGATGCTGGTGAAAAGACATAAAATTTCAGTTAGATGGGAAGAATGAGTTCAAGATATCTACTGTACAATATGGTGGTTATAGTTAATAACAACGTATTATACACTTAAGCATTGCTAAGAGAGTAGATGTTAAATGCTCTCACCACAAAACAAATGATAATTATATGTGTTAATGGGTATGTTAATTAGCTTGATTTAGTTATTGCACAGTATGTGTACATATATATATACATCACAAAATATCATACTGTACATCATAAATATGTACAATTTGTATTTGTCAATTTAAAAAATTAAAATCTACAAAAAATAAACAAGGAATCATAGAGCAATCTATATGGTAAAAAATGTTATGAACAAAATAATGTGGGATAGGAAGACTGCACTACACAAGAATAATATTTTATAGCAAGTGGTCATGGAAGGCTTCATTGATAAGGAGATATTTGAACAGAGTTCTGAAGAGAGTTAAGAAGTTAATCAGGAGGATAACTAAGGAAAGGGAAAAAGGCAGCCCTAGCTGCCATTTCTGTCCAAATTTACCTTATCTGTGTAGGCAAAACAACAACAAAAAAAGCCATAGTTTATTTTAAAATTGTATTAGACCAGAAGTGACCTGAAGTACTCAGCAAAAGAAAAAAAAATCAGAGACTAGGATTGCAACCCCTGCCTTTTTTTGTTTTCCATTTGCTTGGTAGATCTTCCTCCATCCTTTTATTTTGAGCCTATGTGTGTCTCTGCACGTGAGATGGGTTTCCTGAATACAGCACACTGATGGGTCTTGACTCTTTATCCAATTTGCCAGTCTGTGTCTTTTAATTGGAGCATTTAGTCCATTTACATTTAAAGTTAATATTGTTATGTGTGAATTTGATCCTGTCATGATGATGTTAGCTGGTGATTTTGCTCCTTAGTTGATGCAGTTTCTCCTAGTCTCGATGGTCTTTACATTTTGGCATGATTTTGCAGCGGCTGGTACCGGTTGTTCCTTTCCATGTTTAGCACTTCCTTCAGGAGCTCTTTTAGGGCAGGCCTGGTGGTGACAAAATCTCTCAGCATTTGCTTGTCTGTAAAGTATTTTATTTCTCCTTCACTTATGAAGCTTAGTTTGGCTGGATATGAAATTCTGGGTTGAAAATTCTTTTCTTTAAGAATGTTGAATATTGGCCCCCACTCTCTTCTGGCTTGTAGGGTTTCTGCTGAGAGATCTGCTGTTAGTCTGATGGGCTTCCCTTTGAGGGTAACCCTACCTTTCTCTCTGGCTGCCCTTAACATTTTTTCCTTCACAGACTTTAAACCAACAAAGATCAAAAGAGACAAAGAAGGCCATTACATAATGGTAAAGGGATCAATTCAACAAGAAGAGCTAACTATCCTAAATATATATGCACCCAATACAGGAGCACCCAGATTCATAAAGCAAGTCCTGAGTGACCTACAAAGAGACTTAGACTCCCACACATTAATAATGGGAGACTTTAACACCCCACTGTCAACATTAGACAGATCAACGAGACAGAAAGTCAACAAGGATACCCAGGAATTGAACTCAGCTCTGCACCAAGCGGACCTAATAGACATCTACAGAACTCTCCACCACAAATCAACAGAATATATATTTTTTTCAGCACCACACCACACCTATTCCAAAATTGACCACATACTTGGAAGTAAAGCTCTCCTCAGCAAATGTAAAAGAACAGAAATTATAACAAACTATCTCTCAGACCACAGTGCAATCAAACTAGAACTCAGGATTAAGAATCTCACTCAAAACCGCTCAACTACATGGAAACTGAACAACCTGCTCCTGAATGACTACTGGGTACATAACGAAATGAAGGCAGAAATAAAGATGTTCTTTGAAACCAACGAGAACAAAGACACAACATACCAGAATCTCTGGGATGCATTCAAAGCAGTGTGTAGAGGGAAATTTATAGCACTAAATGCCCACAAGAGAAAGCAGGAAAGATCCAAAATTGACACCCTAACATCACAATTAAAAGAACTAGAAAAGCAAGAACAAACACATTCAAAAGCTAGCAGAAGGCAAGAAATAACTAAAATCAGAGCAGAACTGAAGGAAACAGAGACACAAAAAACCCTTCAAAAAATTAATGAATCCAGGAGCTGGTTTTTTGAAAGGATCAACAAAATAGACCGCTAGCAAGACTAATAAAGAAAAAAAGAGAGAAGAATCAAATAGATGCAATAAAAAATGATAAAGGGGATATCACCACTGATCCCACAGAAATACAAACTACCATCAGAGAATACTACAAACACCTCTACGCAAATAAACTAGAAAATCTAGAAGAAATGGATAAATTCCTCGACACATACACTCTCCCAAGACTAAACCAGCAAGAAGTTGAATCTCTGAATAGACCAATAACAGGATCTGAAATTGTGGCAATAATCAATAGCTTACCAACCAAAAAGAGTCCAGGACCAGATGGATTCACAGCCGAATTCTACCAGAGGTACAAGGAGGAACTGGTACCATTCCTTCTGAAACTATTCCAATCAATAGAAAAAGAGGGAATCCTCCCTAACTCATTTTATGAGGTCAGCATCATTCTGATACCAAAGCCTGGCGGAGACACAACCAAAAAAGAGAATTTTAGACCAATATCCTTGATGAACATTGATGCAAAAATCCTCAATAAAATACTGGCAAAACGAATCCAGCAGCACATCAAAAAGCTTATCCACCATGATCAAGTGGGCTTCATCCCTGGGATGCAAGGCTGGTTCAATATACGCAAATCAATAAATGTAATCCAGCATATAAACAGAGCCAAAGACAAAAACCACATGATTATCTCAATAGATGCAGAAAAAGCCTTTGACAAAATTCAACAACCCTTCATGCTAAAAACTCTCAATAAATTACGTATTGATGGGACATATTTCAAAATAATAAGAGCTATCTATGACAAACCCACAGCCAATATCATACTGAATGGGCAAAACCTGGAAGCATTCCCTTTGAAAACTGGCACAAGACAGGGATGCCCTCTCTCACCACTCCTATTCAACATAGTGTTGGAAGTTCTGGCCAGGGCAATTAGGCAGGAGAAGGAAATAAAGGGTATTCAATTAGGAAAAGAGGAAGTCAAATTGTCCCTCTTTGCAGATGACATGATTGTATATCTAGAAAACCCCATTGACTCAGCCCAAAATCTCCTTAAGCGATAAGCAACTTCAGCAAAGTCTCAGGATACAAAATAAATGTACAAAAATCACAAGCATTCTTATACACCAACAACAGACAAACAGAGAGCCAAATCATGAGTGAACTCCCATTCACAATTGCTTCAAAGAGAATAAAATACCTAGGAATCCAACTTACAAGGGATGTGAAGGACCTCTTCAAGGAGAACTACAAACCACTGCTCAAGGAAATAAAAGAGGATACAAACAAATGGAAGAACATTCCATGCTCATGGGTAGGAAGAATCAATATCATGAAAATGACCATACTGCCCAAGGTAATTTACAGATTCAATGCCATCCCCATCAAGCTACCAATGCCTTTCTTCACAGAATTGGAAAAAACTACTTTAAAGTTCATATGGAACCAAAAAAGAGCCCGCATCGCCAAGTCAATCCTAAGCCAAAAGAACAAAGCTGGAGGCATCACACTACCTGACTTCAAACTATACTACAAGGCTACAGTAACCAAAACAGTATGGTACTGGTACCAAAACAGAGATATAGATCAATGGAACAGAACAGAGCCCTCAGAAATAACGCCGCATATCTACAACTATCTGATCTTTGACAAACCTGAGAAAAACAAGCAATGGGGAAAGGATTCCCTATTTAATAAATGGTGCTGGGAAAACTGGCTAGCCATATGTAGAAAGCTGAAACTGGATCCCTTCCTTACACCTTATACAAAAATTAATTCAAGATGGATTAAAGACTTAAACGTTAGACCTAAAACCATAAAAACCCTAGAAGAAAACCTAGGCAATACCATTCAGGACATAGGCATGGGCAAGGACTTCATGTCTAAAACACCAAAAGCAATGGTAACAAAAGACAAAATTGACAAATGGGATCTAATTAAACTAAAGAGCTTCTGTACAGCAAAAGAAACTACCATCAGAGTGAACAGGCAACCTACAAAATGGGAGAAAATTTTCGCAACCGACTCATCTGACAAAGGGCTAATATCCAGAATCTACAATGAACTCAAACAAATTTACAAGAAAAAAACAAACAACCCCATCAAAAAGTGGGCAAAGGACATGAACAGACACTTCTCAAAAGAAGACATTTATGCAGCCAAAAAACACATGAAAAAATGCTCATCATCACTGGCCATCAGAGAAATGCAAATCAAAACCACAATGAGATACCATCTCACACCAGTTAGAATGGCAATCATTAAAAAGTCAGGAAACAACAGGTGCTGGAGAGGAAGTGGAGAAATAGGAACACTTATACACTGTTGGTGGGACTGTAAACTAGTTCAACCATTGTGGAATTCAGTGCGGCGATTCCTCAGGAATCTAGAACCAGAAATACCATTTGACCCAGCCATCCCATTACTGGGTATATACCCAAAGGACTATAAATCATGCTGCTATAAAGACACATGCACACATATGTTTATTGCGGCACTATTCACAATAGCAAAGACTTGGAACCAACCCAAATGTCCAACAATGATAGACTGGATTAAGAAAATGTGGCACATATACACCATGGAATACTATGCAGCCATAAAAAATGATGAGTTCATTTCCTTTGTAGGGACATGGATGAAATTGGAAATCATCATTCTCAATAAACTATTGCAAGAACAAAAAACCAAACACCGCATATTCTCACTCATAGGTGGGAACTGAACAATGAGATCACATGGACACAGGAAGGGGAACATCACACTCTGGGGACTGTTGTGGGGTGGGGGGAGGGGGGAGGGATAGCATTGGGAGATATACATAATGCTAGATGACGAGTTAGTGGGTGCAGTGCACCAGCATGGCACATGTATACATATGTAACTAACCTGCACAATGTGCACATGTACCCTAAAACTTAAAGTATAATAATAAAAGAAAAAAATAAAAATAAAGAAAAAAAATCCTCTCTGGAGAGAAGCATGTTATCTTAGGCCTCAAATAATTCCCACAAATTATTTTTTAAGGACAGTGATAGACTTAGCAAAAAAAAAAAAAAATACCCGAGCAGCCTAGGAAACAATGTATTATAAGCAGAAGCAACATCAGCAGAAACAGATAAGCCAATGCTAGCAATATTGGAATTATGAAATTGATGCGATTTGGCGCTATGTCCCCACCCAAATCTCATGTTGAATTGTAATTCCCAATGTTGGGAAAGGGACCTGATGGTAGGTAATTGGATCATGGGAACAGGTTTCCCCCATGCTGTTCTCATGATAGTGAATGAGTTCTTGCGAGATGTGATGGTTTAAAATTGTGTGGCATTTCCCCCATCACTCTCTCTATCTCTCTTGCTGCCATGTGAAGAAGGTGCTTGCTTCTCTTTCACCTTCCACCATGACTGTAAGTTTCCTGAGGCCTCCCAGCCATGCTTCCTGTTAAGCCTGCTGAACTGTGAGTCACTTAAACCTCTTTTCTTCATAAATTACCCAGTCTCAAGTAGTTATTTATAGCAGTGTGAAAACAGACTAACACAGAAATGCAAACTATAAAACAACTATGCTTATCATGTTACTATGTTCAAATATATAAAGTATAAGCCTATCTGCACAGAACAAGGATCTGAAAATGACATCAAAGATTTGAAAAATAACCCGAGAGGCTCCAGAAACTAAAAGAAAAAAAAGGATCAATGACTGGGTTTAACAAGAGATTACACATTATTAGAGAGAGAATTAGAAATTACCTAAAATATTTCAAAGACAGACAGTAACAAAAAATATAAAAGAAAGTCTAAGATACAGAGAGGAAAAAGTCCAACATACGTTTTATTCAGAGTATAAGAAGGGTGAGAGAATGGGCAGAAGAAATATTTTAAAAGATAATCACCGAGAATTTTCCAGAACAAATGAAAGATGTTGATCACGAGTACCCAGTGAAAGGCCCAGTGAAACCCAATCGCACTAAGTGGAAGAAACCCACTCCTAGACACATCACAGTGAAACTTCACAGAATTATGACAAAAGTAACAGAAGTGAGGGGGAAAAGAAAACCAGAGAAAATTAAGATTACCTTCAAAGAGTGTAGTTGTCTTCCCAGCAGAAACAGTGGAGGCTATAGACAATAAAATGATATCTTCAATGAATTCAAAGAAAACAATTGCCAATCTAGAATTGTATTATCAGTGAAAGCATCTTTCAAAAATGAGAGCAAATAAAGCCATTTTCAGACAAAAACTGAATTTGCTACCAGCAGACACTCTCTAAAAGAAATTCTGAAGAATTTTCTTCATGAAGAAGAAGAAAGGTGATCCCAGATGAAAGATCTGAGATACAATAAGAAAAGCAGAAAAAGTAACAAAGATGTGGATAAATCTAAATTAACACTATTTGCATAAAACATCAAAAATGCCTTGTCAGTTAAAAAAATGATAGGAATAAAATGCATGACAACAATAATTTATGATCAGGAGGGAGGTAAGTGGAGTTAATGTGTCCTGGGATCATTGTATCATTCAGGAGGAAAATAAAGGTATTTTGAAGTAATTTTAGACTTTGATGAGTGAGATATGCCTATTGTCTCTTTTTGGGTTCATCTCTTTTTCCTTCAGCTCCATCACAGCATCAGTCCAAATCAGCTTGTAACATTAACCTCCAGCAGAGGCCAAACCACACTTGCCTCTAGGCAGTGAGATGTTTTGCCTTGGTTCACGTATCCTCACCTCCTCCTCTGCCTCAACAAATCACCCCAAATTTACTGGTTTAAAATAGCCATTTTATTAAGCTCCTGGAATCTGAGGGTCAGAAATTTTGGCAGAGAACAGCAGAAATAGTTTCTCTCTGTGCCACTATGTCTGTGGTCTCAGCTTGGAAGATTCAAAGAGCTGGGGTCCAGAGGCAGTGGCTCACACCTGTAATCCCAGCAATCAGGAGGCTGAGGTGAGAGGATCAATTGAGGCCAGGAGTTCAAGACCAGCCTGGCCAACATATCAAGACGTTATTTCTATTAAAAAAAAAATAGCTGAGCGTGGTGGTGTATGCTGTAGTCCTAGCTACTGGAAAGGCTATAAGGTTAGAGGACTGCTTGAGCACAAGAGTTTGAGCTTGCAGTGAGCTATGATCATGTCACTGCACTCCAGCCTGGGTGACAGAGCAAGAACCTATCTCAAAAAAAAAAAAAGAGAGAGAGAGACAGAGCTGGCAGTAACTCTAATGGCTAAGGGCTGGACTCATAGAGTCCCATAGAGATAACTGATATATCTGACACCTGGGCTGGGGTGGCTCAAAGGTGGGGCTCCTTTGAGCAGCTGACCAGAGCACCCATGCACAGTTTGGGTATCTCATAGTATGGTAGCTGGATTCCAAGAGGTAGCATCCTGAGAGGAAGGATGGGAGGATCCAGGGAATGAACATTCCAGGAGAACCAGGCTTTTCCTGACTTAGCCCTGTGTATTAATTTCCCATTCTTGCTATAATGAATTATCACAAACTTAGTGCCTTAAAACAATACAAATTTACTATCGTACAGTTTGGGAGGTCAGAAGTCTCACATGGATTTCACTGGAATAAAATCAAAGTGTGAGCAGAGCTGCATTCCTTCTGAAGACTCAGGGGAAAATTTGTTCCCTTGTCTTTTCCAGCCACCTGCATTCCTCGGCCCATGGCCCCTTCTACCATCTTTGAAGGCAGCAGCATAGCACATCTTCGAATCTCTCTCTGGCCCTGAAACTCTTGTCTGTGTCTTATGAGGACCCTTGTGACTACATTGAGCCCACCCAGATAATCCAGGATAATCTTCCAGCCTCAAGATCCTTAACTCAATCACATCTGCCAAGTCCCTTTTGCCATATAAGGTAACACACATTCACAGGTTCTGCAGATTAGGATGTGAACATCTATGGCAGGGGGAGGGAACATTATTCTATCAACTACACCTTGGGAATCACATAGCATAGCATCATGTCCACAGTAAAGACTGGTCAAAATTGTCACAGCCAGCTCAGATTCTAGAGTAGGGGTCATAGACCCAACCTCTCAATGGAAGGAGTGCCAATAAATGTGTGGCCATGTGGCCTTGGTTTGAAACTACCACGCCTTTCCTGTTGTGGCTGCTCCACATTGGCTAACGGGGGAGGAGCTTCACCCCCATTTTTGACTCAGCAACACGAACATGAAAAGAGATGGACAGTCCAGCAGACATTGAAAGGGGGCAAAAGATACGCCATGCAGTTGCACTTCGTGTAAATTTTAAATAGTATCACATACAAAATTAATAAACCTTCTCTTTATGCACAGTTGAAGCCAAGAAAATCTTACTTTATATTTATTCCTAACTGAAAACTAGACTCGAATTGTGCAAGTTTTAAATTATGTGAGTTTTTTAGGAATGCATCCTCTGCATAAAATGTGAATATGCTGTACTTGTTCTAATTCTCTAAGGACCAAAACACCATATAACATGAAGAAAGAAAACAGAGAAGATGTGAAAATTACATCCAACTTTGAGCATAAGGATTAAAGAATCACCAAATGATTAACTTCCCTCAAAATACAAGTTTCCCATGCTGTTTGAATTGAAGGAATTTTTTTCTGTTGAAATCAAGCATTATTAGTAAACAGCAGTTGTGAGAACTCGAAGGGGCTAAATTGTAGGCTTTGTTGGAAACAGGCCTGAATAGAACATATTAGCATAAATTGTATTTTTATGGTTAAGCTGCAGTGTTAAATATCAAACTGTGCTAAACGATTGATTCCATACAGCTGCTAAATTGAACTACCTGTTATATCAGTTTAGTAAATTGTCAAACTTAGAGAACTCAGCAATTTAATGGATGTGTTTGTAAAATATCCTTAGGTACCCTGGCTTAACATCAAGAAACAAACCACCCTCTTAGAGTGTTAAAAGTCTGTCTGTTAAAAAAAAAGATTAACAAGGGGATAAATATAAGATTAATTTTTAAAAGGAAAGCCAATATACTATAAAATGAACATAATATGTTCAGTTCATAGTTCATGTCAAAAAAGTTCACATTCTATCTTAATTTTCTCTACATTAAGTATTAAATAATTTTTGCCTTATCACTATATTATCATTCAGGACACTGGATACTGAATTTTGCCCAGTTAAACTCACAATCACTATGTCTCCTTCCACTTTTGACTCTGGATATTTGGCATATTTAATCAAATGAGGGGTGAAAATTAAGCAAAATGATGTCATGTCATGATGTCATACTTTTTGCTAAATTTTATATATTCTTTAGGAATACTGAGCATTTCAGATAGGTCTCTGCCTTCTATCTTATAATGGATGTTTGTAAACCACACAGCAGATATTTAATATCCTGAGAATAAATACCTTGTGTATGGCTTAGTTCTGTCAAATGTAAAATTAAGCATAAATATTAGTATTGAATGCCAAAGCCAATTGTTGAAAATCAGATCATAAAAACCCTTATTTGAGGTCTATTAACAACTGACCATTTGAAATAATCAGGGATTAATTAATAAATGGTTTGCTTATGTCTTTTATATAACAAGAAGATTGTTAGAAAATAAAATAAGCTATCATTATCACTTCCTTCATGTGATTTTGCCACTCTTATTTTGATAGCATCTACATAATAGAGAATCATTTTTGCTGGTTTTTAATACTTTTCTCTCTCTCTTTTTTTTTTTTTTTTTTTTTTTTTGAGACGGAGTCTTGCTCTGTCATCAGACTGGAGCGCAATGGTGCGATCTCAGCTCACTGCAACCTCCACCTCCCAGGTTCAAGTGATTCTCCTGCCTCAGCCTCCCAAGAAGCTGGGACTACAGGTGCATGCCACTACACTGAACTAATTTTTGTATTTTTAGTAGAGAAGGGGTTTCACCATGTTGGCCAGGATGGTCTTGATCTCTTGACCTCATGATCCACCTGCCTCAGCCTCCCAAAGTGCTGAGATTACAGGTGTGAGCCACCACGCCCAGCCATAATACTTTTTTCTAAGTATAAAAGCAACGCATGCCCCGTACAGAAAGTGTAGAAAATATAAACCAACTAAACAAAAAAGTTAAAATCCTCCATAATAATTTATTTTAAACACCCTGAATCAGATTCTCATTCTTGATCATTAAAGGCAATTAGAATTGGAGAAAAGAAGTGAGTATAAAAATTAACTCATAAAAGTGCTAGAGGGAGATACAGGTGATTTTAATGGGCACCTCTCTACAGTCCCACCCCCAAAACCCTAATTAGGAGAAGACCAAGTTCGCAGCTCACATCAATGGGCATTCAAGTCAGTGCCATTAGAATCTCAAAGCCAGGATGATTCCAGAGGACACATGGGTCACTTGGACAATTGAGTATAACACACTACAAATTGAGATAAATAGAGAAAAATTAAAGTGCTATGGGAACCCAGAAAGGAAGGGAAAGGATCTGAGCAGCAAGATCAAAGATGATTGCAGAAGAAAAACATTTGAATGGAACTTTGAATGGTGAACAAGCCAGCAAGAACCTAAGAAGTCAAAGGGAACAGCATTTCAAAGAGAGGGAACATAAAGGAAGGCACAGAGTGGTGAAGTCCAATATGAATGGTTCCATCATCAGGTCACAGAAGTACCTTGCTGGCCCATTCTTAAAGCAGCAAAAGAGTCAAGCCACGCAGCAAATTGATCCATTCTTTTTTTTTTTTCAAACTTTTATTATGAGGCCATATTAGGGAATTCTAGAAAATCTAGTGTTATTAAATATGTCCAGACTCTACTAGTGAGGAATCTTTTAATCACAGTTGACAGAAACCCAATTTAAACTAGCAAAACAAGTGGGAATTCATTAATTCATAATTGAAAACTTAGTGTGTAGACTGGTTCAGCTAAAGCTGGACCTAGGTACTCAAATGATCTGGTTGTGTTTCTGTTTCCACTTCTCTTTCTCTGCTCTGCTTGTATCCACTTCTCTTTGCATGTTAGTGTTACTCTTTCCTACCATAGATACTCTTTCCATATCCCAGGAAAGGTAGCTTCTGGTGGGCCTAGGCCAACATCCTTACAACTTGCTAACATAAATGAAGAGAATAGTCTTCCCTCAGTAGATCCAGGAGAAGAACCCCCAGGGGGCACCTTTGTAGCCCAGATTGGACAAATTGCCCTTCCCTAAACCAGCCACTGTAAATGGAGGAATGTAATACTACAGCTGGCCCACTGCAGGTCACTGCCCATGTGCAAGGGCAGGAGGAGGCACAAGTCACCTTCATGGACAGCCCCACCAAGATCACATGAAGTAGAGGAGCAGGTTCCCAAAGGAGAAAGAGGAGGATGGGAGAGTATGCTCAGTACATGACAGCTATAACTAGCACAGTTGATCTGCCAGGTATCTGAGGACTCCCTTCCATCTCAGCAGTGGGGATACATCACCATAAGCCCCAGACAGTTACTTGGGAAGCACTGCAGATGGATGACAGTTCTCCTGCAATATACAATGATGAGAAATATACTAAAGACACTTTCAAATCAGCACCCAAAAACCCTCCTGACAAAGATTTTTCTCCCAATACTCAAAATGGAAGACTCTATTGAATTTTAAAATAGAGAAGCAGAGCAACCAATCGCTCCCCAGCTCCTCCCCTAGTAATAAGAGTCACCTGTTTTAGCTCTTGTGTCTTACATTAGCATATTTGAAATCTGGTCATTTAAAATTAGATCATAAATGGAACAAGCATCCATATGGCACTGAGGATGTGCCAGGCACTATTCTAAGTGCGTTACATATAGTAATACTTGCAACAACCCCATGAAGCATGACCTACTATTATTTCCATTTATGGCTGAAGACGCCAGAGCACAGAGAGGTCACACCACATTTAAGATTTGAATCCAGGTGGTCTGATCCAGAGTCTGTGCTCTTTACCCCAAGGTTAGACACAGAACCTCTACTCCAGATAGGTCATAATGTAAAAATGGTGAGCAAGGGAACAGGAAAAAAGGGACACACTGAAAAAGAAGAGTCTGCAACAGAATAAATAAGCAGATATAATATTAGTAACATAACCTAGACACTGAACTGTCAGCTCAGAAGCATAAGTCTGTCCGCGTAGCCCCAACATTGTCTATGGAGGGTGTGAGCAGTCTGGTTTAACAAATCCAGGTTAAAGACTCATCACACTCTACTGGCATGAAAATATCCTCTCCTTTTCCACAGATGCTGTGCCCATAAAGGCAGCCTGGTGTCTGGAGATAACCTCACTACACAGTGCCTGATACAGTGTCTGCTACATTGTCATGCTCAATAGTGTTCCTTTAATTTTCCTTAGGAGAGCCATAAGAGCTGAAAGACTAGATTCAAGGATCAAGTATTTATTGATTACCTACTATGTACCAGACCCTGGGCTGGGCCCCGAAGACACAGCAATGATGAGACAGGCACAGCTATGCACCCACAGTATCTTCCACCAAGCCTGGCTCATCACACACTTAAGCTGAGGTTAATCAGAATTTTTGGCATCTTTTACAAGCAGCCCTGGTATCTAGATGGTATACACCTGTACAGACATACTGCTTGGTAAAATATTGAAATATTTTGTACTACTTGATAAACAGTCACTGCCTAAGTCTCCGGGGTATCTCACCACTACCCCCACCCTGCCCTGACCCCACTCTCAGGAACCCCAAACATTCCCCATGATCCATCAACTGGGGGGTAGCCCGGGCCTGGCAGGGGACACCCAAGCCCCCATTCCAGCATATGTCCTGCACTTGTTCTGATTGGTGGGCACCAATGCCCCTGCCTGTAATCACTAAAAGTAGCCCCAAATCCCCCTTTCCACAAGCTTTTAACTCACACTTTTCTGATTGACTGCCAGTTCTCTTTAGAAACGGTAGGTCTTTATTTTTAAAAAATAAAATAATAAAATAAAATAAAGGAGAATCATCAGACACACAATGTGACAATTAGCAACTGTCTGACAATGACTCGCTGACGCAGAGGACATCATACCAAGATGGGACCAAATTACCTCCTCCTCCTCTGCCACCCACTGCAGCTTCTATCAGCAGATACCTTCAGAACAGAGGCCCCAGTGACAGGGACCCAGATGGCCCAGCAACCAAGGGAACGGGCAGGACCTTCTCACCTTCCCTGGCCTCTCACAGACACAGACTCCTGCTGGCTGTGTCAGTCGCGAAAGAGTGCAAACAACACCACTCAGGGAGTTTCACCCATCTGCCCACATGACACCTCGGTTGCTGGGAAATCCCTGTACCTGTCCAGGTGCCAGGAAAGATCAGGACTGGCTCTGACAGAGATCTTCAAAAACCAGACTCAAAGGTAGTAGGGTTCCCCATGAACACTTTGTTCTCAACCTTGGCTGCCCCTTAGAATCACTCAGGGGTGCTTTTAAGATATAGATGCCAGGCCCCAGCCAATTCCATCAGCAGATCCAGTGGGGCCTGCCATGGCTTAGGGGACTCCAGATATGGGAACTGCCTCCAAGGGCCAGTCAGATGGACCCCTGGGGTTCCACTCTCCTGTACAAGTCAGTAGCCCAAAAGGGAAACATCCAGACATCATTCTGGCTCCAGGTTCCCCCTCCCACCCTGCCCACATGCTCATACAGCAGATGGAGCTTTGAGAGGTGTCCCCTTTCCACTGGGGGAAAGGTCCTGAGAATAAAGGGTTCTGGCATTTTACCCGCACATGGTAGCTGGACAGTAAGGACAAGAAATACATTTATTCAAATCCTAATATGAGACTGTGAGTTTATTAGCATCATTCAGTATTATCTTTTAGAGATTTCTGGGTTTTTTTTGTTCTAACTGCTAACTAATATTTTTAAATATCTAGAAATTAATATTTAAAGCTGACTTCTCTTTTTTCTTTTTTTTTAATTTTTGAGATGAAGTCTTGCTCTGTTGCCCAGGCTGGAGTACAGTGGCACAATCTCGGCTCACTGTAACCTCCACCTCCCAGGTTCAAGCGATTCTTCTTGTCTCAGCCTCCTGAGTAGCTGGGAATGCAGGTGTGCACCACCACGCTCAGCTAATTTTTGTATTTTTAGTAGAGATGAGGTTTCATCATGTTGGCCAGGCTGGTCTCGAACTCCTGACCTCAGGTGATCCACCCTCCTCTGCCTCCCAAAGTGCTGGGATTACAGGCGTGAGCCAACGTGCCCCACCTAAAAAGCTGACTTCTCAAAAACAATATCATACAAAAGAATAAAACATAATATAAATGAGCCCCTGTTGTTTCTGAGCTGTTTTCCAAAGCACCCTGTCCTTTACTCAGCAAAGAGGTCCTTGTCCGTGCACATCGAAGTCGACTGACAGAGCCAGAAGGGAGAACAGTGGCGACAGAAGACAAACCACCTTGGGAGCAAGTCCCCCAGGCACTCCTTCCTGGCACAGATCCTGAAATCATGCCCCTCCCATGAGGCTGCCCAGATTGGCAGCAAACCAGGCCATTGAGTTCAAGAACCTCCAGAGGTCTCCTTTCTAAAGAAGGATCACATTTCCTGTGCTGCTGACAAGGATTATAAGGTGCAGGGAGGTAAAGGGGCCAAGTCAATAGGCAAATGTCTTTTTAGGGCAAAAAAAAAAAAAAGGCACTCTCGTCACCTCAAGAGTACAGTAAAGAGAAAAAACCTCGGACATGCCTCTGGGGGAGACATAAGCTTGAGATTTTTAGTTAAATTAAGCTGCTGTTAAATGTGTCGTTTTTCTGTCTCACAAATTTTGCCACCAAAAAAAGGAACAAATCAATGCAAATGTCTCAGGTTAGGTACTAAATCCGGGCAGAGTGACAAGGCATCTCATGTTGTAGGTCACCCCTCCACACTGCAACTGCCAAGTAAGGAAAGGAGGACACAACCTCACTGCCACCTCTCCCAGCAAGTCCGCCTTTGCAAAGTGGACACCAACCAGGTGGTGGAGCAGGCCCCAGGCATGACCCAGGAGGAAAGAGGAGAGGAAAACAAATCAAGGAAGCAAATCAGAGAGCTCAGGAAGAAATCAGAAGCACACATGTTCAAAACAGGTAGAGCCCACATCCATCCACTGTAGGCATTCTAAGCCTTAATATGTGGCAAAGACAGCAGGGGCTCATGACTTCTGATTTTCTCAGTCAAGGGCAAAATGTATCCTCCCTATTTTAATAAAAAAGCAAGATTTAATTATGTTTGCACATCCAGTGGTTCTAGAAATAAGGAAGAAAGGGGAGCTTTTTTTCATTACTTTTGTATATCACCGTCTTTCCAAAAACCTAACAACTAGGTGACGTGGGCAGCTGCAACCTCTCTGAGTTACTATTGCATCATGGGGCCAGAATGGTTGCTTGGAAGGCAAAGGGTCAGAACTGCCGACCGCTTGAGCTCCATACTGTATGATCACATGAACTCTTCAGGAATGTAAGTTACTTATATAAAGATATGTTCCCAAGCAAGTTGTCAATACATTATACCTAAAAATACACCATGGAACTATTAGGAAAATCCTATCACCTATTGAGCAGTGGTTCTCAAAGTATGGTAACCAAAGCAGCAGCAGCAGCATCACCTGTGAACCCATTAGAGCTGCAAATCCTCAAGCTCCACCCTGGACCTACTGACTTAGAAACTCTGGGGGTGAAGCCTGGCAGTCTGTGTTTCAAGTCACCATTGTGATCTTGATGACTGCTACAGCAACTCATTTAGTAAGCAAAATAGCTCCTAACAGATGTGTTTCAAATATTAGAGTTTGCTGTAAATATGTCTGTCGCCTAGTTCTAAATCCTTTGCTTCGAACGGTCAATATCTGTTTCAGAGGGGACAGGAAATCCCCACGCTGGCCTCCTTGCTGTCCTGGACACTCCACCTTAGGGACTTTGCCCTGGCCATTCCCGCTGATGGGAGCACTGCCCCCTCCACCCTACCCCATACAGGGCTTGGCTTAAATGTCATCATCTCAGCAAGGCTACCCTGTATCCCTGATTCCCCTTACCTTGCTCACTGTTCCCAAAGTATTTTGCCCTTCTAAAGATCTATATAATTCACTTACTAATGTACAGGGCTTTCTGTATGTCTCTCAAGTGGAAAGCAAGTTGCTGTCATGGCAGTCTGTAATGCCCAGCACATAGTAGGTGTACACACACAGACACACGCACGCACACATACATATATATGTATACATGCACATATACATATATATGACACACACATGTGTATATATATACACACATATGTGTATATATATATGTCTATGTGTATATATATCTACACAGATATATATAATGAATAAATGAGTCAGGCAAATTCCAGGATAAACCTTTGGGTGCACAGCCTTCATTTATTTTGTAAAGGCTCAAACGATGGGGGGCTACCTTTATAAACTGGAGAGAAGTTTCCATCGCCCATGGAGGACCCCAGTGTTGGTTCCCATGCTGCATCTTTCTGAAGATATCTGAATGGTTGATAACCTTGTTTTGCAACCAACATTCAGGAAAGAGTAAGTTGCTGGAATTGCACTATGAATCACTAGTGAAGATGCTGCTTGTAGAAATCTTTGCTATCAGTTGAATGCACTACTCATCTGACAATACTTTCTTTCAAATAAAGCCTTCAACCATGTTTAAAAATTGCACAACTATTAGAGGTAACTAAAATTTAATACTTTTGCTTCTAGCTTAAAGTGAGAAATGTAGAATTGTGCCAAAAGCTGATAATCTCTTCTTGGCTGGTTCAGTGAGAGTGGTTTAGAAGTAAGGTCTCCAGTCTTTCATAACTAGTTTCTTTTTTATGATTTTCCTGGGAATTTCCAGTTCCAGATATTTTTCTATAAAACAGTTCTACACAGATAGCTTTAAGGTCACGACAAGTTAAAAATGAATGCTGACCATTAGAAAAGATCGTTGGATCATTGCTAGATGTTTTCATGCAATCTTCCCCATTTCCTCCAGATGATAAAACCATATGAAGCAAAACTTGGAAACCAAGATATGACAGAAGACCAAGCTAAAAACTACAGGTGTGTCTTTCAGTGTGCATGTGTTGCATGTGTTGGTGTGAGGGGTGGAGGGTGGGGGGAGGCTGAAAGAGACAAGGAAAGAGACAGGGACGAGAGGAACCAATGAAATAAGGTGTGGGAAAGTACCCTGCTAACTGCAAAGCACCAGAGCAGCGGTTCTGAAACTCTCTGGTCTCAGGACCTCCTTACATTCTTAAAAATTACTGCAGACCCCAAAGAGCCTTTGTTTATGGGGTAATATCTATATTATTTGCCATATCAGAAAGTAAAACAAAAATTACTAAAATATTTATTAGTTCATTGTCAATAACCTCATTACATGTTAACATAAGTAACATATTTTATGAAAAATAACTATACTTTCCAAAGCCAAAAAAAAAAAAAAAAAACTGTGAAAAGAGTGGTGCTGTTTCACACTTTAGTGAGTCTCTTTAATGTCTGGCTTAATAGAAGACAACTGGATCCTAAAATCTGCCCCTGCATTAAGTTTGTTGCAATGTCATAGGTCCTGTGACCTCTGTAAAGCTTCACTGTACACCCGTGAGAATGAAAATGGAAAAGGCAAATTGCATCTTAGTATTATTATAAAAGTATTTTTGACCTCATGGATCCCTGAATGGGTTTCTCAGAGACCCCCAGGGACCCCTAGATCACAATTTGAGAATGACCGTACTAGCCAAATGTTATCGACTTATTTCCTATTTAGAGAAAGATAAACTGAGACTGAGAGAGAGGAAGTTCTATGATTTACCAAAGGTCACAGCAGGGAGTGGGAAGGAAGGCAGCATAACTTAGGCTAACTTCTGATGAGTACTCTCAGCATTGGACTATATGTGTTTCCACGTGTACAGAAGCTTCTGCCTAATCTGAGTTTTTCTGAGTAATAAGCACAATTATGAAATACAATAGAGCTGAGTCAGTCAAGTATTCAACTTACATGGACTTGGGTCTATGCCCTCTGCTTACCCCCATCTCCACCACAGCAGAGAGAGAGCCTGATCAATTGCATGTACCATTTCATTGCAAAAGCACATGCCCTCGAGTGACCGTGAGGTAGGGATGTGAATACCCCAGTCCTTCATGAGGCTCACTGCAGTTCTCTTCAAGTGTGAGCATTTTGACATCTTGAGTGGGATTCTAGAGATTAAGACATTTTTGTTCGGTTGGTTCAGTTTGGTTTGGTAGCATGTGGCTTGTGAATGCAAGAAACAACAATTGAATGGGGGAACACCAGCTTTACCAAGCTTATTGAAGGCAGCACAGTCTCTAGTGCTGCAGGTAGAGTATTTGATGGGCAATTTAAGGATTTTCAAGGGTAACTGGCTTTTTGCCATCTCTGAAACTTCACCCTCACTTAGGGGCAAGTCTTCTGACAAAGCTGAGTTCCAGTGTGATAGCAACATGTGAGTGATGGGGAGGCTTGTGATGACAGCAGAGGCGTCTGGGTGATGGGAGAAGACACTGACACAGGTGCAAGTGCACACTGTTCACCAGAAATACATGGCACTTCCACTGGGGCTTCTCAGCTTTGTCGGTGCCAATGCTTACTACTCAGTATTCTACTCCATAATATGCCAATATTTGTACTAAAATGGTTATCGCAAAAGTAATACATTCATTTGCTTAAAAAAATGAGTACGGAAGAGTAGAGATGTCTTACTCTGACTCCACCCCCATGACAGTCCATGCTCTAGAGGTAACATATCTGTTTCTCCCTTTAGTTCTTCTGATGGATTCCTTCATAACTCGAATGCACTTACATCTTTATTTCTTGCTGTATCCCTTTTAAAACCTCCCACGAAGACTCACCTATATTCCTTCCACTTCATCTCCTAGACTCCAAATGTGATTGATAAATTTACATCATATTCTGTTATTGTATTTTCCATGCTTTGTTTTTAAATTGACTCTAAAACATAAAAACTAGTAAACAGCACTGAAAATATGATGGAATGTACAGAACCAAGAAGTCTGACTGAACCCAAAAGAACAAAATGTGATCCTGTCACATGAAATCTGTGCCACTTGAAGAATAATGTTTCAAGTGTGAAGATCAAGTGGACTCTCTGTTCCTTCTCTCCACCAACTGCTGAGAACCAAGACACATTTTTGTTTCCTTTGTATGTGGATTATGACTTTGTATTTTTCCCAGAGTTCCCAAGAAGAAAAAAAGAAAAGGAAAGGCATATGCAGCATCATACGATAAAGCCATTATTAGTTCTCAGCTACACAGTTTCTGTAATGGAATCACTTTCTCTTTGAAGACACTGTGGCTTCTTCTGATTGTTGGCAGCTGCTTTCTAAATCGGCTCCACAATTGTTATACTGGGATTTCTTTTCATTGCCCTACTGGGTTATCATAGTTTGTTGGATCCAACATTTTAACCATTTCTTGATCATTTGTTGTTTGGCTGGAGATATCCTTTAATAGTTGTTCTTTTTTTGGAAAGGCTATATGGGAAGTAAACTTCCTGAATTCTTACATGTCTGAAAATGTTGATTTTACTCACACACTTAATTGTTCACATGGCTGGTACAGCAGACACTACTGGCTGTCACAACATTCATCTACTCCCACCCCAATACTTTTCATAATAACATCTTCCTTTGTACAGGTATTCTCCTTGTCCGTGTGTCCACAGGCAGTGGTCTACCTATTACCCTTACAGTGATTGGTTTAGGAATAGACACGTTAAAATTTGGTAAATAAGTCTTCCAGGAGTTCTGAATAAAAGGCATTCCCATTTTCCTCTGCAGACTGTTATTTCTGACTGTGGTTCCTAGAACTACCGTGGATATCTTGTCACCATAGAGGAGCTAGCCTGAGCACAAAGCCAACAAGCTAAGGAGACGCTGCAAAATAACAGAAGAATCAGGAATCCTGTTATTATTTGTCATTATTAAGCTGATAAATTTACCAACGCTGGTGATGCCCGACCTCTGAATTTCAGAAAACGTGAGTATAGAATTATTAGTTTACTTTCCCTTAAAACTTTGAAAGCATTATGCCATTGTCTACTGGTATCTATTGTATCGATTACTGAAGTAATATGTGAATCTACTTCCTATTTCTTTGTGAATAATGTCGTTTCCCCTGTTGCTGAGAGCTTTTATTCTTCTCTTTGGTACACACAGGTAGGGAGCAGGCAGGTACATCTGGAACTCCACCACCTTCAAAGGAAACTAAGGCATTTAAATGTATTTCCTTCCTAGTGGGAGATGACTTTCCTTTTTACCCTCTGGCTCTACCCACAGGATTTCCTTTTTGTCTGCTGGGTCTACATCAGATATTATTCTGCATTGCTTCCTTGCCCCAATTTCATACTTTTGGATGTCCCTTAGCAAATCATTCATAAGTTTGGAAAACCATTCTTAGAATTCAAATTGCTCTATACACATCTTAGAAAGGAAAGAGCTACTTAGCCAGTGTGTAACTTCATTCCCAGAGTATTGAAATTCATCATAATGTGTCTTGATCTGGATCTGTTCTCATTTATCCTGCTTGGCACTCAGTGGGTTCCTTTTGATTGAAGAATTTGATTCTTCCTTTAGCTCAGAGAAAAATTATTCCATTATTTCTTCATTTCTTTTGTATATACTATGCAGATATTGGACCTTCTCAAACTATTATATTGTCTTTTTACATATTTCTTAAATTTGCCACCTTTTCTAGTTTCTGAAAGATTTTCTCAATTTTGTCTCATTTACTTATTTGGAATATATCATGTCCTTTTAAAAACAAACAAACAAACAAAACAGGGTCTTACCTGTTGCCCAGGCTGGAGTGCCATGGTGCCATCATAGCTCACTGCCTCAGCCTCCTGAGTAGCTGGGATTACAGGCACATACCACCATGCCTGGCTAATTTTTTTTCTTTTGGTACAGACAGGATCTCACTATGTTGCCCAGGCTGGTCTCAAACTCCTGGCCTCAAGCAGTCCTCCTACATTGGTCTCCCAAAGTGCTGAGATTACAGGTGTGAGCCACTGTGCCCAGCCATAATAACATGTTTTTCATAGCAGTGAGTCATTGTTTTATTTATGTAAAAATCTCTGAATTGCTTTTAATATCTCCATATCCTCTCAAGTGACTTCTTGTTTGTTTATCTTGGTCTTTGTCTCTTATGTTGTTGATCTCCCTCAGATGTCTGGTGGTCCTTAGGAGATCCTTTATATTTGTTGCTGAAGGACTGTAGATTAGTATAGGTAGTTCATGTGTGTTTCCTTTGTAGTTAGGCAGGTCTATTTGCTCTGAATGTGAGGGCTGACTCTAGCCTTTGTGTGCAGAGATTCTTCTCTTTGGTACATGCAGGTAGGGAGCAAGCAAGTACATCTGGAACTCCACCACCTTCAAAGGAAAGTAGGGCACTTAAAAGTATTTCCCTCCTAGCTGGAGATGACTTTCCTTTCTACCCTCTGGCTCTACCCTCAGGATTTCCTTTTTATCTGCTGGGTCTACATCAGATATTACTTTGCAGTGCTTTCTTGCCCCAACTTCATACCTTTGGCTGTCCCTTAGAAAATCATTCATAAGTTCAGAAAACCATTCTTAGAATTCAAATTGCTCTATACACATCTTAGAAAGGAAAGAGCTACTTAACCAAAATGTCCCAAGGACATCTTTCCAGTTAACCACCAAGAGGAGGGATGTCCCTGCTCTTTAATTCATCCCACCCCACCTCCAAGGCTCAGCCCAGACCACTGTTTCAAAGCTCACTCTTGTCCTCCATATGTGCTAATTCCTAGCTTGGATCCTGTCTGAACAAGGTCTCCCTCCTCTGACACAATTCTTCATTTAGTTCTAGGACACGGTTTCCCACTGAAATAACAAACTGCAAGCCCATCTAGCTTGTCTTGATGAAATATCTTTTCTACCCACAGCACTGCCTGCTGTTTTCAGAGTTGTCACAAATTTTTTTTTTCTAGATGCCTTTAGCCACCATTTCAGAAGATTCCAAGAAGGCAGGGGAGGCAAACGAATGTACTTAGTCTGTCATCTTGAAAAAGAATCCTGTGTACATTTCTATTAACACAAGTCAACTTTCTTTCAATTCTTTTGACAATGTAGAGTTTCAGAGTATCTGGAAAACCAATATAATGTGGAGGGCAAGGGATTAGAAGTGAAAATTGATACACTGAGTGAAATATTTTAAAATCTAGACTCACGTGTATAAAGTCAAATATATTTTCTCTTTATAAAAAGAATTAGTTTCTGTATTGACCTCCTATTCCCTTCAAAGTTAGAAGTTAAATCTAGGTTATTTCCAGGTAAACTCAGTTACTTCTGGGTAAAATTAATCATTTCAAGCTTAACTTGATCAATTCAAGATATCACACCACCATCACCCTTCTTGTTAGGGTTCTAGCTAAGGTTTCTCAGGCATTTGGGGACATGGTGCCTGCCCTGGCCTCCATCAACTGCCTTCTTTCCACCTGGTCATTGCCCATTGGCCTCTATCCCTATCAAATCCTCCACCGATTCTGTGGTCCTCATGTTGGCCTCAAAGCCTCAAGGCAGAGGGGTCGCCCACATCCTTCTAATCTCAACTACGAGCTCCTTTCGGTTCACTGACTCCCTTATTCACAATTTCTTCCTCCATCTGCCTCTTTGCTATTTCCAAATAAATTATCTATAGACCAGGAGTTTTGGACACTGTCCTGTGCTACTCTCTAGTCTCTAATGAAGACATGCTACCCTGCCCTTTTGCACTTTCGCTGGTGCTGTACCATGTGGACACAAGGAACTTCTCTACAGGGCCTCATCCTGGGAAACAACAAGAATGGGAAGTGACATAGGGATGTCCCTGCTCCTCTCACCCCACCTCCAAGGCTCAGTCCACTGCAAAAAAAGACAGGAAACTAGGTATCTTTCCATGAACCCACTGGAATATAAACCCTGGAACATTTCCTCTGGTTCCTCCCTGTCCCTGACTTAGGCCATGTTTAGCTAGTTTACAGAACAGGGTACTTTTATTCTTCATCTACACTGCCATGTTTTATTGATTCTAAGATGTAGTACATTTCTTTAGACATAGATGTCTCTTAAAATTGGGAGGTACCTTATAATTGGTGACCTCTCACATGTTATGAATGGAGTGTTTGCGTACCCCCCAAATTCATATGTTGAAGCCCTAACCTCCAATGTGATGTTATTAGGAGGAGTGGCCTTTAAGAAGTAAGTAGGTTTAGATGCGTCATGATGGTGTGGTCCCCATGATGGGGCTGGAGCCCTTATAAGAGGAAGAGCATTTTGTGGGGGCCTAGGTGGGCGGATCATTTGAGGTCAAGAGTTCAAGACCAGCCTCACCAACGTGGTGAAACCTCATTTCTACTGAAATACAAAAATTAGCCAGGTGTGGTGGCAGGCACCTGTAATCTCAGCTACTTGGAAGGCTGAGACAAGAGAATTGCTTGAACCCAGGAGGTGGAGGTTGCAGTGAGCCAAGATTGTGCCGCTGCACTCCAGCCTGGGAGACAGGGCGAGACTCCCTCTCAATAAAAATAAAAATAAAAATAAAGAGAAGAGGAAGAGACTAGAGTTCTCCCTCTCTTTGCCATACTGTAAAAGGCAGCTGTCTACAAGCCAGGAAGAGGGCCCTCACCAGAACCCAACCATGCTGGCATCTGATCTTGGACTTCCAGCTTCCAAACTATGAGAAAGAAATATCTGTTGTTTAACCCACCCAGTCTATGCTACTTTGTTATAGCAGCCTGAACAGACCAAGACATTAGATGTGATGAAACACATTTCCAATCTGTTGTTCATGGCAAAACTTTATGCCTTGTGTATTAGTTTGATAGGGCTGCCATAAACTGAGTGGCTTAAACAACAAAAATTTATTGTCTACAGTTCTGGAGGCTAAAGTCCAAGATCAAGGTGTTGACCACATTTGCTCCTCCCGAGGGCTGAAGGAAGGATGTGTTCTAGGCCTCTCTCCTTGGCTTGTAGGTGGCTGTCTTCTCCCTATGTCTCTTCATACTATCTTCTCTGTATGCATGGCTCTGTGTCCAAATTTCTACTTTTTATAAGCATATCAGTCATATTGGATTAGAGCCCACACTAATGACCTCATTTTAGTTTGATTACCACTGTAATAGACCTTCTCTCCTTAATACAGTCACATTCTGAGATACTAGAAGTTAAGATTTCAACATCTGATTTTTGGGGAGACACAATTCAACCCATAACACCTCAGTTTCTTCAAAGATTTGCTTTTGATGTTCAAGCCCAAACTCTTCCATATGAAAAGTCTTGCTTTGTCTCTGCTATGAATTTGAAAATACAGATATTTAAAATCTCAACAGGAGCCCTACCTGTTTATTTATCTTTACATTCCTATTATAACAGTCCAAATGCTTCCAGCAATGAATTAATAACAGAATAAGGGGAGGGCCATGGGGAAATTTTAAGGGCTGGGGAAGGAAGACATCTCTATTAATATTTCAAAATTTTGTACAACTTCATTAAATCAGCCCAAGCTGCCAAATGTGCTGGGTCAAACCCATAGCAGTCTTCCACTTACAAGGAATACTTTAGGTGCTGCTCAGAAGTCTCCATTTTAGTCCTTCCCAACAGCAGAGAAGCAGAAAGACACCCCAGGAATTTTGAAGACATAACCCAAAGCAGCTTACCAGAAACAAGAAATTTTTACATCTCCTGTTTAATCCTTAAATGCCACATGAATTTTACATTGCCCTCCATAATATTCCTCTACCCATGTATGGCAACAGCTTTTACGAGGAAGAAAAAGTCAAAACTATTTCCCCCCAAAGTTTCAAGCAGCATCCGGGAAGATGCACCCAGTCTGTCCTATGATTTCATGTGCCCCTGGCATAATGCCCCATGTTGGAGAAGCACGGCTTTCAGTGGAGGAAACAGGAAGTTTCACAGATAAAGGGGTTTTGTTTTGTTTTCAGCAGAGAAAGATCTTCATTTTGGCACTGCCAGGAAGCCAGTCCTTTTCCACCCAAAGGACAGCATTTCCTGAAGAGCAGATACATGTCCCTTCCCAGCTGGTGGAGAGTCTGCCAGGTGGAAAGGAAATGGCATGCCACAAAATGAACAATACAGCTGCATTTAAGCAAGGATGTTCACATCACAGAGAAAGAAGGGACCAAAGGCAAGCAGGGTGAGAGTTCGGGGAAAGGAGAAAGTCACGCGGCTCCAGCACACAGCAAGGAAGGAGGGGGTGCAAAGCACAAGCAGGAGGTGGGGAAAAGGCAGAGAAAGGTGAGAAAATGGATGAGCTGATTCGGACTTGTGGCAAAGATCAGCAAATCTGAAATGATGGCGGGACAACAGAGCACAAATAAAGCTGCGCCAACAATATCCACATCCTGAGCTTCACAGAGTACCTAGAATGGCCACAAAGAAATAACCTCCTCTATTGTAGGTCCAGTGATGCCGATCTGTCCTCTCATTTCCATCAGCTTATTGTGTTGTGACATCTGCTCAGGTGAACTTTCTAGGCACCAATGAAGCTGAAGTTACTGAGTGATATCCAAAATTCACTCTAAATGCTATGATCAATAACAAATTTAGGTCTGAAAATTACTTAACCAACCCTTGAATGAATGCAAGTCAATGACAAGAATTTTCCCTCAAATTTAATACGTTAAAGAAGGGTTCCTTGTTGGTTTTTATTTGCATCTCTTAGTTTATTCAGCATCAACTCTGAGTGCATTCCAGGCTGGGCTCCTGTACAGTCATGTCCAGAAAGGTCTCATTCTGTGGCTTTCATCTTTCCTTACTCCACTCACATAAAGATGAGATGGCAAACACATCTGTGACTGTCAGGCCTGTTTTGGCCTCCAGAGGTCCGTGCTGCTGGTGGTCAGCAGCCCTGTGGAGAGGCAAAGCCAGGGAGAAAGTGAGACAGCTTCCGAGGATCATGCTTAAGGAAATCCCCGGGGCTCATGGCCAACATCAAAATCCAACCAGCACCACCACCAAAGCAAAGAAATAAAATCAGAATTCTTCTATTTGTTATGAGGACAATTCTCAGTTTTCAAGCTCAGGTATGTAAAGAATGCAACTTACCTGTTCTCTAATCATCTTAATTTATAATGCAACCCTCTGTTAGAGACTAATTCCATGCAATTCAAGGTCTCTCCTCCAACCCCATCTCCCCAGAATTAAGTCTACATTCCAGGGCCTTACTCAGTGAGTGCCAAAGCCTCTGAGCCTTGCCTAAATACAGGGGCATGGGTTTCCTCTGCTCTCTGGCATGCCAGACCTGTGAGGGGTTTGCATGGTCACTGCCCTTCAGAATTCAGCGTAGACACAGAGCAAGACCTGCCTCCTAAGGAACCACGGACATCTGCCTTTCCTCCTTCCCTCCAGCTCTCCTCCTCTCTTCTCACCAAGGACAATATCACCCCATTAGGAAGGGGCTTTAAAGGTACTAAAGAAGCCTTTTCTTACTCATGGGCATCTTTCTAAATGTTTTGTCTATGCATTGAGTCCTTTGGTGCCACACAAGAACCAGACTGTAGCAAATCAAAAGCTAAGCATCGATTTCTGAAATCCACTATGTCACTTGTCCCCTGAGGCAATGAGTAGGGAACACCCTAGCTGCCTAGGCAGGGGATGTGCCATCACTAAGAGAAACCAGAGGGATAAAAATCTCAGTGAATAACTGGAAACAGTATCCTGCCAATTCTCCATCATCCTTCAGCTGCCTACATGGCAATGGCTACGTCTGCTTTCCTTTCATGCTTTGTGCCTTTTGAACCTCTTGCATCAAAAGTCTTTAGGAAAAACATCAAATAATTAGACACTGTAATTGCTGGTTGCACAGGGACAGGAAGAAAGGGTAAAAGGGGCCTTTGGCTAGTTACGTGGGGCTGAAACAGCATGAATGGTTCAAGGAACAGCAAGTAATGGAATGTGGTTAAGATGGAGGAGGCAAGCATCCCATTTATGCTTTTAAAAAGACTATATTTGTATATACACATACATATGTGAGCAAACGTACAGAAAAAGGTCGAGTTTCCACGTTTTATTCTCTATGTGCTCCTCATTGTTTAAATTATTTCCAATAAGAAAGTATCTGTGTTCTGTATACAAACGAAATGCAGGGTGCATATGGAAGGTCAGTGCCAGATAAAGGTGGACAGACAGGCAGTAAGGACAGGAAAGAAATGCTTTCATTAGGAGTTTGATCTTTATCATGAAACTGGTAATATACAGACAAAATTTAATAATCCTATTTAGCATCTTCTGGTTATTAAATCAACATACACTCATTGTAGGGAATTTGGAATACAAAGGTATACAAAAATAAATTTAAATGCCTCAGTAATCCCCCGAGAGAGCCAGTGTTGACATTTTGGTATAGTTCCTACTGATTTTAATACATGCACATAAATATTTTTGACTATATGTGATCATTTTATGTAAATAGTTTGGTGTATATTTTCCCAGAATTTTCCAATGAAATATATATTTCTTTAAATGAGATCACACTACAGAAATGTTCATCAACTTACTCTTTTCATTTAGCAATCAGTATCTCCTGGCCATATGACTTCATCCACTGATACAGATCAACCTCATTCTTTCTACCAGACATAGTATACTTTATTAAACAGGGTGTACCTTATATAACCAGTACTCTATTCATAGACATTTAAAGTATTTCCAGTTTCGATATTATAAAAATGCTTTAATTACTATCCTGATATATTTATGTAGGCAAATATTTCCTAAGATAAAATTCCTAGAAATGTACTGTTAGGTCAAATAGTATGCACATTTTAAAGTCCTCCAAAAATGCTGTAGAAACAAATTATTCTAATAATCAAACATGAGAGTACCCTTTCACCAAACCTTAGCAACACTGAGTATTTTGTATCTTTTAATGTCTGATGGTCTGACTGGCAACACATAATACATTATTATTTTATAAATATTTTCCTCATGTTGATATTTATTTATTACCATTTTAATTTTCTTTTCAAAGAAATTTTTTCCAATTCATGTTTCTGAGATTATAAAAAAAAAGTTCATCCATGTTTAATTGTGGACCTTTCATTTTATATTTAAATATGTAATCTAGCTGTAACTTACTTTGGTTTAAGAATTGAAGTAAGGATCCAGGTTTTTTTAAATAAAAAATTTAATGAAGTATAAGATACATACAGAAAAGAGCACAAGGCATCATTGTACAGCTTGATGAATTTTCACAAAATAACCCCATCCCATACCATACACCCAGACCAAGAAACCAAATATGACTCACACCCTAAAAGTCCCCTTAATTCCCGCTTCTAGTCATTACCACCCCCAGGTAACCACTATCCTGATTTCTATTACCAGAGATTAGTGCTGCCTGTTTGAGTGTTTGGCTTCTTTTTCTCAGCATTATGTTTGTGACATACGCCCATGTTTTTGCATGTGATTATAGATTACATATTCTCATTTCTGTATATATTCCATATATTGATTTATTTATCTATTCTACTGTCTTTGGATATCTGGGTTGCTTCCAGTTTGAGGCTATTATGAATATTATGAATGCTATGTACCTTCTTATATATGTCTTCTGGCAAATATATATACTACATTTGTTTGTCATATACCTAGGAGTGGGGAATTGCGGGTACAGAGTGTATGTTCAGCTTTAGTAGATACTGCCCAGTAGATACTGCCCAACGGTCTTCCATAATAGCTGTATCAGTTTACATTCCCACCAATAATATATGAGAGTCTAGTTGTTCCATGTTCTTGTCAACATTTGGTATTGTCCGACTTTTTAAATTTAGCCATTCTGAAGCATATGTAGACATACCTTTTTGTAGATTTAATTTGCATTTCTCTGACAATGAATGCAATTGATATAACTTTTAACATATTTGTAAGCCATTTGAACATTCTCTGTGTAAAGTGTTTTTTCAAGCTTTTTGTCCACTTTTCTTTTGGGTTACTTGCCTTTCTCATATTGATTTGTAGTTATTTATAGTATCTTCTCCTACTCTGGGCTTGCTCTTTCATTCCCTTAATAGTATCTTTTGATGATCAGAATTTCTTGAGTTTAGTTTAATCTAGTTTATCAATATTTTCCTTTATAGTTAGTCCTTCTGTGTAATGTTTAAGAAATGTTTGGCTATTCTAAGGATATACAGATATTCTCTTATGTTTTCTTTTAAGAGCTTTATTGTCTTACCTAATATATATAGACCTACAATGCAGCTAGAATTGATATTTGTGAATGGCTTGAGGAAGATTCTTTTTTTCCCGTATGGATACTAAATTGAGTCAGCACTATTTATTGAAAAGACATCCTTTCTCTACTGTATTTTAGTGTCAACTTTGTCATAAATCAAGTGATCATATAAAGATCTCTTTCTAAATTCTCTAATCTGTTCCATTGGGCTTAAGGAAACAGGAATATGTCACCCCAAAATATGCCTCTGACATAAAAATTACTTTTTAGCAAAAGGCAATTAAGAAGCAGTAAACAGAGAAAAAGCTCACCCTATCCTACCTTCTGCCTACAGGCAGGATATAAGTTCTCCTTGACTAGAGAAAACTCTAGACTCTTTATCAGCCCATAGACAGCATCAGAGGAACCTGAAAATAAACCTCACTCCATTAGTTTCCTCCCATATATTTACCTTCCCATCATTTCCCACCCTTGGAAACCTAAAATCTTTTCATTTGTCCTTTCATTTGTCTACAAATGTATTGCTGTTTGTTGAAGATGCTATATAAGCCTGAGTTCTAAGCCATTGCTTTGAGATACTTTTCATTAAAGTTTGTCCCTCATGATGTGTGCTACACATGTTAATTAGCTTGTCTGTTTTTATCTTGTTAATCTTGTCTTTTGTTACAGGAATCTGTCTCAACTAAGAACTCATAGAGGTTGAGGAAAAATTATATTTCCTCCCCAATAGGGCCATTTGTCTATTTTAGCACAGATGCCACATTGACTTAATTACAATAGCTTTATAATAATTCTAAATATTTGGTGCCATAAGTTATCTCAGCCTCCTTCATATTCTTAATTATTGTGATGGCTTAACTCGGCCCTTTTCTTTTCCATGCAGATTTTATATTCAGTTTGTTGATATCCATTTAAAAAGCCTGCTAGAATTTTGAATGGCTTGTATAATATACAAATTAATTTAAGGAAAGTTGACATCTTCACAATATTGAGTCATCCATTCTATGAACATGGTATATCTTTCCATCTACTTAAGTTTTCTTCAATTTCTCTCAGTATGTCTTCTTGTTTTCAATGTAGAAATCTTACATCTCTGTCACATTTATTCCTATGAATTCGGTGTTTTCTGAGGCTATTGTAAATGGTATTGTTTTTTAAATTTCATTTTCTATTTTTATTGCTAGTATATGTAAGTATAATTGGTTTTTATATATTGACCTGGTATCCAGTACCCCTGCTTAAATTTACTTATTAATTCTAATAGTTTATCTATAGATTCTTTTGGGTTTTCTATATATACAGTCATGTTGCCTATTGATAATGACAGTTTTATTTCTTACTTTCCAAACCATATACTTTCTATTTCTTTCTCTTGCCTTGCTACAATGGCTAGGATCTCTAATGCAATGCTAAATTAAAGTGATGCTAGCAGATATCTCAAGGAGAAGACTTTCAACATTTCACCATCAAGAATGATGTTTAAGATATTTTTAGGCACTCATTATCAGATTAACAAATTTCCTTTGCTTAGGCTTTTTAAAAATCATAAATCAACACTGAATTTTATCAAATCCTTTTCTACATCTATGTAGATTGTATGTATATTTTTACTCCTTTATTCTGTTACTACAAGGTATTATCTTGATTTATTTTCAAATGTTAAACTACTCTTGAATTCCTAAAGTTTATCCCACTTGGTTATAATGTATTATCTTTTTTATGTATCACTAAATTCATTTTGATTATATTTTGCTTAGTATTTCTGTATCTATGTCCAGGAGAGTTTGGTCTTTAATTTTCTTTTCTTGTAATGTCTGTGTCAGCTTTTGATATAATGTTTTTTCTTGAGAATGAGCTGGGAAATGTTACTTTTTTTTCTATTCTCTGAAAGAGTATGTAAGATTGATGTTATTATTTATTTTAAGTGTTTGGAAGACTTTACCGGAAAAGCCATCTGCCCCAGAAAATTTATTTGTTTGTCTGCTGTTTGATGCGAAGGTCTTTAATAATGAATTAAACTCTTTACTAGATATAGCTCTATTCAGGTTTTCTATTTTTACTTGTGTTAGCTTTGGTATATCAGGTTTTTTGGAATTTGTTTATTTCATCTAAATTGTCAAGTATGTTGGCAAAAACTGTTCATTATATCCTCTTATTAAGCATACATCTTCTCCTAAAATGTCTAACTAGTTTTCTCAAAACCAGTCATTGGATAATAAATCTCTTACAAAATGATATGCTGTGCTACCTCTATCATATAAAAATTTCATTTAATAAGTCATTCAAAAATATGTATTGGCTCAAACTATACACCAGGCATTATTCCAATGTTAGGAATATACTATTAAAGAGGACAACATTCCTGCTTCATGGAGTTTTCATTTAATGAGAAGAACAGACAATAAACAAAATAGTAATAAGTGTTCTAAAGAACCAAGAAAGGTTAGGGTCTGGGGAGGTGGAAAGGAAAGGCCACTTTGAGGAGAACCTGAATAAGGTGAGGGAATGAGACATCAAAAGATCCAAAGCAAGAAGTGTAAAGGCCCTAAGGTAGACATGTATTTGGCATGTTGTAGGAAGAATGAAGAAGCCAGTGTGACTGTAGCAGAGTGAGTGAGAGAGAAGCAGAGATGATTGAGAAATCTAGGCAGAAGTCAGATTTTGCAGGGTCCTGGAGACCATGGTAATGATTTGGGATATTAAAAATGTCATGGGAAAACACTGGCTTTGAACAAGCAAGTAACATGATCTGACTTGTGTTTGAAAAGACTGTTCTAACGAATGTGTGTAGAATAGACCATAAGGGGGAAAAAAGGAAGTTGAGAAGCCACTTAGAAGCTATTACAATAATCCAAGCAAGAGATGGTGCTGGCTTGGACTATGTTGGGAACCTACATATCTACTTACCTCCTATAAGGAGATAAGAAGTGCTCAGATCCAGGCTGTGTTTTGAAGGTAGAATCAACAAGACTTGCTGATGGCCTAAATGTGAGAGTTATAGGAAAGAAAAGACTCAAGGGTAACTTCTAGGTTTTTGGCCTGGGAAACTGAGTGGACAATGCTGCCATTTTATGAGCCTGAGATTCTTAGGAAAGGAGCAGATTTAGGGTAAGGGGGGGTTGGGAGTCAGGAGTTTGGTATAGGACATGTTACACTTCAGATCCGTTTATACACTCAAGTGGAGAATCTTGGTGGACAAGTGAATATATGGGTCTGAATCTCAGAAGAATAACAAAAACTGGAAATATAAACTTAGGAGTCATGTGCAAACAGATACATCATACCACAAGACTGAATTCATTCATCTAAGAATAGATAAGAAGTCTAGGGCCTGAGACCTGGGATACTACAGAAGTGGGGAAGAGATTCAGAGCAAAGACTGAGGAATGTCCAGTGAGGGGAAATTCTCACGTGTATATCAGTCTGTTTCTGAATTCTTTACTCTGCTCTCCTGATCTTTCTGTCTGTCTATTCTTCTGTCAGTTTTCATTCTTCATTTCAAATGACAAAACCAATTCAAACTGGCATATGTACTAAAGAAAAACCAGGTAACCAGGTTTAGTACAAATGGGGTCACCTGGATGCAGTTTCTCTCCATCTGTCCGCTATGCTCTCTTCCATGGTGGCTTCATCTTTGAACCATCATCTTAACCTTTAGTTCCAGGTAATAGCAACAGGGCTGGGGCCCCACAACCAGGAGAAGAGCGAATGCTGCTGGGTAGCAAAATCCACAGATGTCTGGCACAATTCCTCTGCCAACCCCAAACTGGCTTAATTACTTTACTTACGGATACATTTATCATAACTAGTTAGGCTTTTATGTTCACATCACTACTATTCTTTCTCAGAAAATTTCCAGCTACTCATTCATATTTATTCTTAAAGAATCTATGCTTCTAATCTGTCTCCTTCCACTCTGATGAGATTGCCCTTTCCCCAAAGCACCTTAAATTTTTATTTCCTACAAAGCATCCCTCCCGTGGGATGCTTGCTTCCATGCTCTCTTCCTGCCCATAAACTTACCCTCCTTCAATACATAGATCAAATCTTTCCTCCTGCATGATATATTTCCCAATTACCACATCTGGAAGTGTTATCTCTGTCCTATGTATGGCTATAGCATAAATAGCATTATTTAAATGGTCCAGATTTGTCAAGTATTTTTTCATATTTGTCACAATCTCCCAAGTAGGCTGTAAACTCCTTTGGGAAGAGACTCTTGTTTTATATTTCTATATATTCTTCTCAGCAACCTGCACAATCCTGAACACATAGTTTCTACACTAAATGCATATTTTTAAACAATTGTCTGGTTAAGTCACCACTTTTATATATCTCTTCTTTTTTCTCTAAGGAATGAACAGCAACAGAAGAAAGCAATAGAATAATGTTTGTGGTTTATGATGTGGAGTCTTCTCTGTAGGTAAGTATCCATCATTTGGGAATGGTTGTAAGTACTTAAAGTATCTTGGGTGCTGCAGCTTTGATTTTAGGCACTACAGAACATGGTGAGATATAATGATGAATAAAATGGACACAGTCCCTGTCCTCACAAAGCTCACAAATTTCTTTTCCAGTGTTGTAACTTCTTATTCCATTATTTTCATAGTAGTTTTTCTTTTAAAATTTTTCTATTTTAGTGTAATAAATTTTCTCAGCTTTGATTTATTTTTATTTATTTATTTTGACATAGAGTCTCACTCTGTCGTCCAGGCTGGAGTGCAACCTCCACCTCCCGGGTTCAAGTGATTCTCATGCCTCAGCCTCCCAAGTAGCTGGAATTACAGGCATGTGGCACCACACCTGGCTAATTTTTTTATTTTTAGTAGAGACAGGGTTTCACCATGCTGACCAGGCTGGTCTCAAACTGCTGACTTCAAGTGATCTGCCTGCCTCTTCTTCCCAAAGTGCTGGGATTACAGGCATAAGCCACCACACCCGGCCATCAACCTTTTTTTAAGTTAATGTTTTTGGAATTTTATTTAAGCCCTTCCCTACGCAGAGATCATGAAGATATTCTCTTATATTACCATTCAAAATCTTCCATTTTTTTGCTTTCATATTTAACTTTTAAAAGCCCATTGATATGGTTTGGATCTGTGTCCCTGCCCAAATCTCACATCTAATCATAATCCCCAGTGTTGGAGGTGGAGCCTGGTGGGAGGTGATTGGATCATGGAGGTGGATCCTTCATGAATGAATTATCACCATCCACTTGGTGCTGTTCTCCTGATAGTGAGTGAGTTCTCATGAGATCTGGTTGTTTAAAAGTGTGTAGCACCTCCCGCCATTCTCTCTCTCTTGCTCCTACTTGGGCTCTGTGACATGCCTGCTCCTCCTTCACCTTCCGCCATGATTGTAAGTTTCCTGAGACCACTGCAGAAACTGAGCCGATGCCAGCATCATGTTTCCAGAACCATGAACCAATGAAACCTCTTTCCTTTGTAAATTACCCAGTCTAAGGACATCCATTGCAATTGATTTTTATGCATTGTGTAAAGTGATAGTCGAATTACATATTTTTCATGTCATATCCATGAATCCCAGTACCATTTATTGGAAAGTTTACCCTTTATCTGTAGTGTCTCCTTCGTAATAAATCCAGAGTCTGTAAATGTAAAGTAGTGTTTTTGGGCTTTCTACTTCGTTCTGTTGGACTCTTTGTTTATCCTTGAATCAATACCATGCCATTGTTATTACAATAGCTTTATAATAAGACATGATATCCATACAGCAAGTCCTCTGACTTAGTTCTCCTTTAAAATGTCTTAGGTATTCTAATTTGAAATAACTATGATCATGGATATTTCTCTTCCTCTTTGTGGTTCTGTCATTTTCTTCTCTATATATTATTTAGTTGTTAGGTACATATACATTTCAAACATATTTTCCTTGTGAACATAATTTTTTATCCCTAATAATGTTTTTAATCACAATCTCTACTTTATTTGATACATTGCTTATTATTTGACAGTATATAGTTTTCCATTCCTTTATTTTCACTCTTTCTGTGGTCTTATGTTTCCAATGAGTCTTCCTCAACTAGCTGGGATATTAAATACCCTGCTTCTATTCCTTTTGTGCTTATTTTAGAAATGGCAGCATACATTGTTAATTTATCAGCCTGAAGATAGTCATTATCTTTACTCTCCTTCCAGGTAATATAAGGACCTTAGAATGCTCTTGATTCTTTTTACCCCCTTTCTTAACTTATATGCTATTGTTGTCTTTCATTTCTAAATATTTTAGCCTGTAAGATATTAAAATTTTGTTTATGCTTCATTGTTCATCTATATTTACATTCACCCACATGGTGATCTCTTTATAAAATCCTTAATTCCTTATAGCATCTCAGCTTTTTCCATCTGCAATTGCTTTCCTTCTGCATAAAGTACATCAATTAAGATTGCCTTCAGTGAGGCAAAGTCACTAAAGTGGTGGCAAACTCCACATTGTTCTTTATATGAAAATGTTTTCATTTTGCCATTATTCTTGAAAGGTACTTTGTGCATATAATCCTAAGTTTTCAGCTATTTCAGTTACAGATTTATTCTACTGTCTTCTAGATTCCATTGATGTTGAGAAGTATGTAAAATGCTCTTTCCAAAGTCATATGTCTTTTTGTTGTTGTTGTTCCTGCTAGAATTTTCTCTTTGCCTTCAGTGCTCTGCTTATGAATTTTTGGCTTAATAAATTTGATCAATTCTGGAAAAAGCTCAAGCATCGTCTCCTTGAATAGTTGTTTCTGCCCCATTCTCTTTCCTCTCCTTTCCAATTAAATGCGTGTTAGATCTTCTCACTCCAGCTTCCATGTCTTTTAGCCTCTCTGTCACATTTTTTGTCTTTTTGTCTCCCTGTGCAGCATCTGAATAATTTCTTATGCCTCATCATTCAGTTATTCACTAATTTCTTTTTGATTTTGTCATATGTGCTGTCTAATGGGAAACCACTACATTTTAAAATTTCAGTTTTATATTTTTATTTCTAGTTCTGTTTAACCTTCTTAAAATCTGCCAAGCCACTTTTAATTGTTACCCATTCCATGAAGGTATTTATAAGGGTACTTTTATTTCTATGAACACAATAAGCATAGGTTTTTATTTGTCTCTGTACTCATAATACATAAAGAATTTGTGAGTCTGGTTTTCTTTTATTCTATTCATTGCTTCTGTTGTTTCTCGCATCACATTTTGTTTCCCTGTACGCTTTGTTATTTCTGACTGTACTGCTCATTGACCCTTGAAAATTAGGAAGAAGGTGCCCTCCTCCGGAGATTCATCTTTGATTCTGCCAGGTATCTGGGAGTGGGGTTAGGAACCTGGAACTGGTTCTACCTTAAACTTGGAACTACCTTAAACGAAGTTCATAGCTTGAGGTTCTCAGAAATTGAGGTGACATAAAACCATCCTCAAATCTGTAAAAAGGGGCCAGGCATGGTAGCTCACACCTGTAATCACAGGACTTTGGGAGGCTGAGCAGAACAGATCGCTTGAACCCAGCAGTTCAAGACCAGCCTGGGCAACATGGCAAAACCCTGTCTCTACAAAAAATATAAAAAATTAGCCGGGCGTGGTGGTGTGTGCCTATAGTCCCAGCTACCCAGAGGATGAGGTGAGAGGATCACTTGAACCCAGGAGGTTGAAGCTGCAGTGAGCCGTGATCGTGGCATTGTCTGCAGCCTGGGCGACAGAGCAAGACCCTGTCTCAAAAGAGAAAAAAAAAAAAATCTGCGAAAAGGCTTGTCGGTCACGATAACTTACTTTTCCTTTTTTTCTCTTACCCTGCTCAGTACCAGGGCAACCTCCCTGCTGTCCCAGAAGGGTAGAGAGAACTAGTTTTATTTCTGGTTCACCTTTCCCCTGAATAAATCCAGCTTTATATGGAGATGGTCTCCTATGAGACTCTCCACCTTGAGCAAGGCACGTACTTTGACAAAAACCTCCTTGTCCTGCAAGGCCGCCAAAACTAAAGTCTATATTTATTAGGATCGACAAATGTTCTCAGGGCAAAAAGAACTTAGGTGTTCTAGTGTTTTAGTCTCTCCTCATCTCTTTAGTGCTTTTAAGAAAATCTAAAATTTTTTCAATTTAAAAAATATATCCAACATTTTAATATTTTCAGTGGAATTTTGGTCCAAATAACCTATCCTACCATTATCAGAAACCAAAGCCTACAATTTCCTCTCTCCATTATCACTGAGCTGAGTTTTCCTGGACAAGCTACAGTATTTGCATGAGATTCCTCTTGGCAGGGGAGGAAGGCATGCCTAGGATACTCTTTCAGATGAGCTGTTTTTACAACCCAAAGACTCTCTTCTTCCCTGCTACCACAGAGACAGAGTACTTCCTACAAATATGGCAGCCTGCCTATATGATTCTTTACATAACCACTCTTCTTTTGCTCTCTGAAGCGAACTACATCTAGGAGGGTTTCTTCCACCAGCTGTACACTCAGTTCCCAAAACTATTGCAAGCAACAGATACAGCTTTTTCATGTCAGGGTGGACTTTTCATCTTAAAGAGCATGACTTTTCCAGTACTTTCCAAGATCTACTATCTCTGGGCTCTCTCACCATTTCTATGCTGCTTCCCTTCATTTCCTCAATGGCTTCTGCCTGATCTCATCTACTTGGGACAGTCTTTACATGTATTTTGAAGTTTATGGACTAAATTTCTCTCCTACTTTTGCTGTGAATAGAGTTTTCAAGGTTCTGTTGTTGTTGTTGTTGACCTTGCTTTTGAATGTTTCTAGGAAGACAAGTTGAAATGCCACCAAATGAAGCTATGTTTTTACACAAAGTTTCAAATAATCTTGACTCCTCTCTCTCTCACACACATAACCAACATCTAATACATTGGCAAATTCTGTCAATGCTACCTTCAAAATATATTCAAAACTTGTCCACTTCTTACCATCTCCAATTCTCTTTTAGTCCAAGCCACAACTGTATTTTATCAGGACTATTGCATAGCCTCATAATTAGTTTTCCTGCTTCACCTTAGCTGCCCTACAATCTGTTCTCCATATAGAATTTATTTCTAAGACAGAAGCTAGATCATGTCACCTGTGCTCAAAATCTTCTAATAGCTTCTCACGTCACTCAGAATAAAATCCAAAGTCTTTAATATAACTGTGAGGCCCTGCATTCCCTCCACCTCTCCTCTCCCATTATTTGTTGCATTCCAGCCACAATGTCCTCCTTGCTGTTCTTCACACAGGTCAAGCATACAATTACCTCAGGGCTTTTGCACTTGCTGAACCCTCTGTAGGTGTATTAGTTCATTTTCATGCTGCCGATAAAGACATACCCGAAACTGGGAACAAAAAGAGGTTTAACTGGACTTACAGTTCCGCATGGCTGGGGAGGCCTCAAAATCATGGCGGGAGGTAAAAGGCACTTCTTACATGGCGGTGGCAAGAGAAAAATGAGGAAGAAGCAAAAGCAGAAACCCCTGATAAACCCATCAGATCTCATGAGACTCACTATCACGAGAATAGCACAGGAAAGACTGGCCCCCATGATTCGATTACCTCCCCCTGGGCCCCTCCCACAACATGTGGGAATTCTGGGAGATACAATTCAAGTTGAGATTTGGGTGGGGACACAGCCAAACCATATCAGTAGGGAATGCTCCACCTCTAGATTTCTTCATGGCTTACTTTTTCACTTAATTTACATCTCTGCTCAGATATCACTTTATTAAGAGGCCTTCCTTGAACAATCTCTCTAACATAATGTTCTCTCCTATATCCACTCCTGTCTCCTGACCAAGTTTTATTTTTCTTCTTGGTATTTATTATTATCTAATATATTTTATTTTTTGTTGTTGTTGTTGTTTAGCGTTATCTTTTCTTCCATCAAAATCTAAGCTTTAGAAGAATAGGAACTTTGTCTTGTTTTGTTCACTGATATATCACAAACATCTAGAATAGTGCCTGGCATTATAGTAAGTGCTCAGTAAATATCACAGAATGTGTGCTGTGGACACAGAGGAACCCAATTGCAGGACATACAGTAGAAGGAGAGACCAGGAAGCACTTTTCTTTCTGCTGCCCATGATCTTCCACCTCCTTGACACACAGCTTCTTTACTCACTACTCCATTCCACCTTTCCAAGGTCACCACTTCCAGCTTGAGTCTATAAATCCTCCCTGCCTGAGGCTCCTCAGCTTACTGACTCGGTGTCCAAATCCCAAATCTGATTGGTCTTTCTTAGTCCAAAAACCTATCTAGAGTCCAATTAGCCATTGCTGGGGGTCAAAGGGAGGGGAATGTGAGTGTGTCTGTTTATATGCCAAGTATAGTTACCCTCCCCAGGCTTCTACAAAGAGGAAATAAATGCTGGGGATCTTTAATTAAAAACAAAACAAGCCTTCTCTAATACATCCCTGACACTGAAGAGAGAATATATATAACTTCTACTAGGTGCCTCTAACTCAAATGCCTTCAGAATCCTGACAGGTAAGATAAATGGGTGAAGAGGCCAGGGTGGGGAATATGGCAAACTCAGGAGCCTATGCTGCATCCAAAGAGGGCAGCCACTGTAACTAACTACTGCCAAGGGGAACATGGGGCCAATGTCACCAGATATTCTGATGGTTCAAGAGAAGGCAGAAATCTATATTTTAGTGTGAAATCTCCCACTTGTTAAATGACAACTAATCTAATTTTTTACAAGAAAAAACACTATGCAGACTGAAGAATATACATCCATTGAGCAAATCTGGCTAAGGAATACCAGGGTACAACTTCTGTTTTGTAAAGTCAGCTCAAAAACAGGACATCAGTAATTTATCACACTCAAAAGCAATGTTTCTCAGGGGGGTTCAGTGTGAAGATTTCATTAGTTGGAGTAACCGGTACTCTCAGTCCCCTTTCACAGCACCTGCCCCCATCTTCTCTACCAATCCTGGTACAAACTTCCACCAACTTTTAACCATGAGAGACAGAAGGCTTATTGAAAAGCATTTGGGCTTTGAAATCAAGTGGGTCTGGACAAAAAAACAAAACCTCAGTATTACCTCCTACCATTATTCTTAACCTCTCCAAACCTCAGTCTACTCATCTGCAAAATGGGGATGCTAATTCCTACCTAGAAGGGTTCTTGGGAATAATGATTATTATTAACAGACTAGGAGAGGCCCCTTCCTAGAGAAAGGCATGATACTTGAAAATCCGCAACTGTGATACAGAATGTTCATAATAAGCTAATGCCATCTACACCTCTTTGTGGAATAAGTAGAGGGTAAAAATGCATTTAATAAATAACACAAGGATGGAAAATACAGCTCTCTGAAGACCCAGGTCTTCACACCAATGTTGTTGCTTGTGAACCTAGTCCAGAATGTCTAACTTTGTAGAAACTAGCACTAATTAGAATTCATAGACATCAATTATGTGATTATTCAAGAACTCTCTCAACTCTTAAATCCATTTTTGTATGCATATTACAACACAACACTGAGTCAAGTAAAGGCATGCCAATTCTCCAATGACCAAAAAAAAATTAATCCTGTAGTTCCGGGAGACACAATTGGGAAAAGAAAGCCCTGTTTCCAAAGTGTCAGCTACAACGCTGTTTCCACCAGTGGCTGGAATGCAAGAGTCTTCCATACACTGATGAATGCAGAAAGCAATTGCTGCAAAAGGTCATTTCATAACCACTGGAAATACTGCCTTTCTCCCACCCGACCCTGCCCTGTGCTTTCTGGGGAAAAGTCACCCTGTGAAGAAGCCATCAGGTCAGAGGCAGAGGCTACAAGGAACCCTTGGCTTTATACCACACAGCACACCCTAGAGCAAGTTTGTCCAACCTAGAGCCCAGGAGAGCCTTGAATGCAGCCCAACAGAATTCGTAAACTTTCTTAAAACATTATGAGATTATTTTGCGATTTTTCTTTTTAGCTCATCAGCTATCATTAATGTTAGCATATTTTATGTGTGGCCCAAGACAATTCTTCTTCTAATGTGGCCCAGAGAAGCCAAAAGATTGGATAACCCTGCCCTAGAGGGTCATGCAACAGGAAAGGGGGCATCCCAAAAGGAAACATGAAAACTATGCTCCCTCCAGGAACTGAAAGAACTCTCCACAACTGATACCAAAAATACATTTCTCCTAGCAAAGAACTCTAAGTAGACTTCTTCTCTACCAAGGAGGTTTAAAAAGAAAGAAGTGTGTCTCTAATCACTGTACTTTCCCACCAAGAAGAGCTGAGCTCCCCCATTCCAGATTTGCCTGGGCCTATTCTTATTTCTCAGGCCCTCGTGGCTCTTATAATCACACATGTCGATTATCGGTTTTCCTCCGGGGAGGCCCAAGCATCAGAAAATCACTTACATCCTTCACTGCCAAGCCTCTCCTATTAGGCAGGCAATCTGTAATTATTTATGCTATTTTCTAGATTTTAAAAAAGGAGGGGTGTCTAAGATATAGGTAAATATCAGCCAGCAGTTGACAATCATTGAAGACAGGCATTGCGTAAACAGGGGTTCAGTATTCTATTTTCTCCATTTTTGTACATGTTTAAAATTTTACATAATGAAAAAGTTTTAAAAGGGAGGGTCGAAGGAGGACACAGATATAACCTGAAAACAAAACCAAGTGTTCTTCACCATTTACTCATGTCTAGATGCAGAAAAACCTGGGAAGTGCTCAGACTCTCTCATCAACAGCCTAGAGGGTTCATGCGCCCTCAAAGTGGAGACTGTATCTTCTAAGCACTACTCAATATCCTTAACAAAATAGCCTTTGAAAAATTCCCTAGAACTTTTCAAAAGTATTCTGGAAGAACCCAGTTTCCCTTCTTGACCTTCCCTTCTAGACCTGCCTCTACCAATTACCCCTACAGCCTCTTCCTCCTACAACGTCCTCTACTTCCTGTTCCAGACTGCTCTGCTGAACAACCCAGTTATTGAAATACCTCCTGGGTGGCAGGCAAACACCTGTGTTCCAGCAGGTTGTCTAGCTGTTTCTTCCTTCTGGATGTCAGATGGGATCAGTTTGTAGGAATATTTTGTATTTTCTTCTTCTTCCCTTTAAACTCAATTTGCTCCTAGTAAGGTTTTTTTTTTAATTGCCTACAGTGGAGTTTTCCAACTTCAACACTGTTAAGATTTGGGGCTGAATAATTCTTTGTTGTGGGGGCTGTCCCATGCATTACAGGATGTTCAGCCACACCCATGGTTTCTACCCATTTGATGCCAGTGGCACAAACACCACCGCAACTTTTGACAACCAAACTATCTCTAGGTATTGTCAAGTGTTTCCTGAGGGACAGAATCACCTCTGGTAAAGAACTACTAGTCTAAAAAATATTGAAAATACAAGAACAATATTGTCCTGGCCCCACCCCCCAAAAAATGAGATTATACAGTTTTTTTCCCACATACACAATATCTTCCAACTTATAAATTTGTAAATATAAATACTTTGTAAATGTTGTATCCTAAGCCAGAAGTATATAAAGTAACAAGAGTAAAATTAATTTAAAACCCTCACAACTATATTTTCTCTGTCTTCATGGTTTCCTGTGTGAATCTTATTTGTTTCTTCCAAATTATCCTGTTTTCCAGTCAATGTGGTAATCAAAATATTGTGCTCCAAGCCCTCTTTGAACGCCACATAATCTGTGTTTGAATTGGAAAGAAAAACTTCCAGTGACTTTCTCAGTACTCCCCATGACATGCACTGGCTCTCCAGCACCTATTTAACAGGTGTCACTGGACAACAGAATCCCCTAAAAGGACATCTCCCTACAAAATCAGAAAAAAGCGCAGCCAATGCGCCCCCGGCCCAACTCCAAACAGTCACACCCCAACCCCATCTCTGTGTAACCACAGGAAGGCAGCATCCTCTCACACACAAAATGCTCCAGCCCTACAGCTCCCAGTTCCAATTCTGTATTTAAGACTCGGAGTCAGAAAGACTCACTGGTGCAGGCGCCATCTCACTGCCACCTCCTTCACCTCTGAGTGAAGGAAGAATACCCGATTCCCAACCTGACCAAGAAGTGCAACGGGACGTTAAATGAGCCAGTGTCACAAGCTGCAACACCCGTTGGGAAATACTGCAATTTTTCTTCATTAGGCAGAGGGTTTCCCACCATATTTAAATGGTACACTCTCTTCTTAAGAAATCTGTTTTTGGTCTGCACAGGTCTTGCATTAGCCACGGTCTACGATACAGCTTTGGGGGCTATGCGTTCAAAACTGTCTCTCCTCTCCACCCCACTGGATTTCCCAGCTCCAATCAGGGGCTCTCCCAAGCCTCCATCCTCTTATTGCCCCCCTCCCCCACCATTCCCCTGGGAATGTCATCTTGTTCCTCCTCTCTCTTGCTTACGGACAGGCAGTTGCTGGGTGCAGGGATTTTGCCTTCCAGGGTCCATTCCTTCCTGGACCCATTTCATGCCACTGCTGGTCTCAGCCTGGATCCCCTCATCCCAGATTCTGGCCACGGCCTCCTAACTGGTCTCCCGGATTTGGCCTTTCTCCTCTAATATAGCTTTCACTCTGACAATTGATAGTCTTTCAAGAGCACAAGCTAGAACAGCCAGAAGCCTTCCGTGGTTTCCCATTCCCTAGCACCAGATACAATCCTGTCTTCTTTGGTGCACAGTTTGTGAAGCACACCAAATGTTTGACCCTGGAGGTGTCCAAGCAGGAGCAGAACGAGCACTGAGTGGGACAGGTGCCCGCATGCAGAGGGATTTATCCACTGGATACATGGTGGAGGGAGATGGGAGGAGGGAGTTAAACTAAATGACTTTTAAAGTTTCCTTTCAAGCCTGACTTCCCATGATTCTGGGAACTCTTTGGTCTGCCATGCAGGTCCTACCACCATCTGACCCCTGAAAAGTGATGCCTCCTGCAAAGTGATGCCAGACAGTCCCCTATAATGCTCCTCACATGGTCCTGCACATGGTTACCCCACCTCTATAGGATGACTTCTTTTAATTGTCTTTTTTTTTAATTACAAAAGTAACACTCCTTGGTGCAACAAAATAAAACAACACTGAAGTATTAACATGAAGTCCTCAACCACTGCACTCCCATGGGTAGCCACTGGTTTCAGCAGAATGTATGCCCTCCTAGTCCTTTCCTATGACACACACTCCATTCACTTGACACCTGGTCTTATGCTGTGCCTTAGGAAGAAGGATATTTAATTCTTATCTGCATTGACTTATCTCTCCAGTTCCCTAAGGTAGTAAGGCTAATTAGTTCATCTGCTTCAAATGCTGTTATTCCACCAATGAGGAATTGAAAGGGAAGGAGATAAGGTTTCTTGCTCAAAATCACAGATTAGCTGGTGGCAGAGTTAAGACCAGACCAAGAACTCCTAACTCAATGTTGGTTATTACACTGTAAAGTGCTCTTCTCCTCCCCACCGTGCAGAATATCATATTGTACAGACAGCAGGTAGAAATAATTGCCTCTTGAAAGCATAGGGGCAGGATAGTCCAGTGGTTAAGAACTTGGACTTTGAACTCAGGCTGCCTAGGTTAGAATCTGGCTGTCATTTACTTAACTATGTGACCTGAGTCAAGCAACTGGGCCTCAATTTCATCATCCCTTCCTTATAGGACTGTTGTAAAATTAGTAGCTTAATATCTGTAAACCCCTCAAAACAGTATATATGTTAATAAAACATGCTATCCTACCTCTAATGTAACACCCAAAATACAATAAATATCTTCCTTATTAAAACATAGGCTGGCAAATCAAAACCAAATCTTGTTAGCTCTGAATTTTGTCTAAAAATAAATTAGCATGGGTGAAAACTCACACAATATTAGTCCAAAACAGATTTAAGTGACACAAGAACTGTAATCATTACTACAGGAAGGAATGACCTCATAAAGACCTCATACATCAGAAGCATTGTAACATTTACTGCACCAAATAATAAATTTTTAAAAAAATCTTAACAGCCTCTATCAGTAATTATCTAAGTAAAGTGGGCTGCAAATCTGTTAGAGAACTGTTTTTGCCATGATAATATTTCTAGTAAATTGCTGCTTCTATACCAAAACTACTGGTGTTGCAGAACCGGCAGGCTAATAGAAAGATTATTATAGAAACACTATTAAAATGAATCAGGTATTATTAAAGATTCAACACTACAACGGCGCCTGATTACAAGAGATTTCAAGCTGTATTGCTTAACGAGCAGATAAAAGTGCTAATTAAGTCCACTCTTAGAGGTTATCCCTAGGCAGGACTGTACACTTATGTAGCAAGAGGTCTTCAGACTAAATGAGGAACCAGTAATGCCAACCCGGCTGGATACAGCCCTACTGGGAAGATAGGGAGAGAATGAGAAGAGCCAAGATTTTCTGCGCACGAAGGTAACCTGGTAAAGCAGACAAGTATCCAAACTTATTTAAACCTCAGTGTTTTTCTTAACTGAGGAACACTCAGTTAATCAGCAACACTTCTGATTCCTCCTTTCTTGAATGAAGAAAACCAAATAACCCACCATAAACTGAAGACCCTCAATAAACGGCACAATCAGCGGGAGGCAGAGAAAGCCGTGCCATTATTACCAAAGCCTCCTCGAGCAACCAGAAGACATGGAATCGCTCTCTCACCTTGGCCAAAAGCATCTCTCCATGCAACCAGAGCCTAGAGCTCTCAGAGGTTTTTAAAGAGTTGCCAGACTGAAGGCATTTCGTTCCAGGATCTATTTAGCTTTCCCACCTTGTTAATTAACTAATTAGGGATGGGAAAGCAACTCACCAATACAAAGTGTCAGGAAAATGCTAAGTAAATTTGTCCAACTGGTCTAAATGTCAATGCTAACTTAAGAAAGGGGGCAAGCGCGAGAGACTGAGCCGTCCCCAGACTGCTGCAATCCAGAGCTCGCTAACGTAGAGACGGAGAGACCCGGGCGCCCTGCAGCAGCAGCCTCCCGGCCCAGAGCCGGGATGCCGGCAGGACTTCTGGAAGGGAAACCTGGACCAGGGCCACCCCGGGCACAGGGAACGCGGCTGGCAAGGCGCATCCTCGCCGCTCAGTCTCCGTCTCCCCGCATCTCTCAGACGTCAACAAACCCCTGACCACAAAGTGAAACTTTCCCGGCCCCCGCTGTCGCGCCAGGTCTCTGCCCTCTGCCTGGGAGCGCGTTGCGGGGACAGGTGTGGGGCCCGGGCTGAGGAGGGGCCCCCGCCCCAGGACCGGAGGTTGTGTAATCGGCCCGGGAAGGGGGGCTCGGGACAGCTCCCTGCGCCGGAGCTGCGGAGGCCAGACGGGGGACCCCAGCTGAGGGGGCCGGCGCCCGGAGGCGTTGGGGGGATGGGGAGGGCTCTCGTCCCGCCCCCCGGGACCGCCCCCGGGCGCAGTCGGGAGCTGCGGCGCTGACACGGCCCGGAGAGGGCGCCCGCGCGTCAGACCGAGCCCGAGGAGGGGGGCGCGATGGCTCGGCAGCCGCGGCCAGCCTTACCTGCGCGCCGGGCCGGGGCGGCGGGAGGCGGCTTGGGATGCCGGGGTGGCGGGCGGCGGGCGGCAGCGCTGGCAGCCACCCGGGCCACGGCATGCGAGGAGCCGTGGCGCGGCGGCGGGCGCGGGACTGACAGCCCCAGGCCCCGCCTCCAGACCCCGGGCCCCGCCCCCTTCCTGGCCGCGCGGCTTGCCCCGCCTCCTCCGCCCACCGCCGGGGTCAAACTGGGTCCATCGGCCCGGAGGGCGGGGATGCTCGCTTTCGATTGGCCTCAAAGGTGCCCGCCCCGCCTACTCCCCGCCCCTTCCTTGGCAGGGAAGAGGCGCGTGCGCCGTGGCTGGGGAGGGTAGCGGTTACGCTGAGCGCCGGCGTTGCTGGTCCCCGACCCCTGGTACCCGGGCATCGTTTTTTCATCCCGGGCAGCTGGGACCCCGGGATGACCTAAGGAACAAGGATTCAGACGCAGACTCCACGGTGAATTGGCCTTATTCACGTGTGAACGAACGTCCAGGAGAAAACCAAACCCGAATGGGCCAGGCTCTAACCAGAGGAGACCCCAAAACTGTGATCTGCATCAGAAAACGAACCAGCCAGCCGGTTCCCGGCTCTGCCAGGTCTAGGGGTGCTTTATTCAAGCCCTGGGTTCGCTCCCTGGTCAGCAAGTATGAGGTATTTGCAGAGGGTCTAGAAGATGTGAAGGGAGATTAGCCCGCATTTAGGACTGTGCCAAACAGAGAGTGAGTGATGCTGAAGAAAGTGGCCTCCTCTGCTCCAGCCCTCCCTCCTCCTCCCCAACCCCTGGCTCTACCACCTCTCCCTCAGCACCGGCGCCCTACCCTCAGCCTGTAAACAGTATCAGGTCTCGCCCAACAAAAATCAATGGAGACCCAGCAATTCCACTCAAGAGAACTAGAAACATGTCTGTACTAAAACTTGTACACAAATGTTCATAGCGGTGTATTCAGAAGGCCAAAAAAGGAAACAACTGAATGTCCACTGATTGACAAATGGATGAGCAAATTATGGTCTATCCATACAATGGAATAGTATTCTGCCATAAAAAATAATAAGGCCGGGCATGGTGGCTCACGCCTGTAATCCCAGCACTTTGGGAGGCCGAGGCGGGCGGATCACGAAGTCAGGAGATCGAGACCATACTGGCTAACACAGTGAAACCCCGTCTCTACTAAAAAAAAATACAAAAAATTAGCCGGGCGTGTTGGCGAGTGCCTGTAGTCCCAGCTAAGTGGGAGGCTGAGGCAGGAGAATGGCGTGAACCCGGGAGTCAGAGCTTGCAGTGAGCCGAGATCGCACCACTACACTCCAGCCTGGGCAACAGAGCAAGACTCCGTCTCAAAAAAAAAAAAAAAAGAAAGAAAGAAATTCTGTTACATGCTACAACATGGATGAACCTTGAAAACACTATAGTGCTCAATGAAAGAAACCAGTCACAAAAACCCACATAGTGTATGATTCTATTTATATGAAATGTCCAAAACAGGCAAATCCATAGAGACAGTAGACTAATGGTTGCCAGGGACTGGGAGGAGGGGGGACTGAGGAGTGACTGCTTAATGAGTACAAAGCCTCTTTGGGGGGTGATTAAAATGTTAAGGAATTAGACGGTGGTGATGACTGTACAACTTTGTGAATATAATAAAAAACCACATAACTGTATAAAAGGGTGAATTTTATGGTATGTGAATGATATTTTAATTTAAACCAAAAATCCAAATGACCAAAAAATTTAAAAAATTAAAAAAAAAAAACCTCTCTTGACTCTGTATGCCCTCCAAGTTACCATGCAGTTAACCAGCCCTTCTCATCCAAGATTCTTGCAAGGGTAGCCCACACGTTTTTACTCCCACTTATACATTAGCTCCCTAGAATGTGGCTTCTACCTGCACCAGAGCTCAAATCTGCTCTCTCCTTGAAATTTTATCCTGTGGCTTTCTATGACCCTGCACATTCCTGGTTCTCCTCCTCCTTCCGTTCTTTGTCATTTGATCTTATTTTCTTGGCAAATCTATTTTAATCTCTTCAAAGATCAAAACTTATTTTGATCTCTTCTGTGGCTTCTTCCAGAATCCTTCCTAGGTTATGTCGTCCATGCCTATGAGTTCAGTTCAGTTACTATGCTTCAAATTCTAGCCTCCACCTGATGTCCCACAGAGTTCTTAAACTTGGCATGTCATAAGCTATTTGTCATCTCCCCTTCCCCATCCTCTATCTTCTCTCCAGTAATAATATCTACTACCACATTCTAGGACCTGGGAATCATCCTTGATTCTGTCGTCTTCCTTCTCCTAAAGTCAATCACCGATTTTTATCTCATAAATATTCATAAATCCCACAATACTACCACAGCCCTAGTCCATATCTCCACTGTCTTTTGACTTTTAATTCCCTTCGTCTTTAGTGCCCTTCAGATCTAGTTTCCACACAGCTGTTGAAGTGGACACCCATTACTTCAGCAAGCGTTAGCTCTTTCTTAGGGTCACATCACACTGATTTTCCTTCAGGAACTCACTCCAAGAGATATGGGCTTGGGGAGACTGCCAGTGAAGATGATGACTTTACCTGGCCCAGGCCTGGTGTGCCCCCAAGCTGGAGCACTATGACATCTTTCATTTGGAATTTGAATCCTAGGTGGAATAACGCTGGAGGCAGTTGGCCCTGATACTTCCTGACCAAGGGGACTTGCAGTTGATTCCTGCTATGTAGTCCCTGGGAAATTCCTTCAGAGCCTGGGTTCTTCAAATTTTTATTGGGTTTTCTGAAGGATCCCATATCTCTCCAATGCGCTCCCCTGTAGGAACTTAATTAGAATTATCTTCAACCAAAGAATCTGATATCGAAATGTGTCTGAGAAGCAAACCAGGTCTTTACTGAAAACTCATTAGAGGCATTCCATCACCTACGGGAAAGACACCAAGCTCCGTAATACAAGCCCCAAGACCCTCCATTACTCTGTTCCAGGCTGCCTATCTGCACCTTCTCGCCCTACTCCTTACCTTGCCCTTACATCTCTGCCCTTCTGAATTATTTGAGGTTTCACATAACCTATGAGGTTTCATGCCTCAATACTCATGAGTCCCCTCTGTAGAAGCCCTCCCTGCTCCCATCCAGCCCACTTGAGAAAGCCTTCCCTGGCTCTTCCCTGATCCCAACATTCTGCCTTCCTCTGTGTTCTCAAGGCACCTGAGTTTCCCACCCACTCACTGTCATGGTATTTCACCTACCTGCTTTGTTATCTGCCTCTCCCACCAAACATGGAGTTCCTGGAGGGCTATGCCTTCTTTTCTGTTTCTCTGCCTCCATAATTCGTGAGTAAGAGAAAGGATCCCAATACAGGACATTAACAAATCTTTTGACCAGAGAGATGAAAATCCAGGCTGGAGGCATCTCATATAGGCTATCAAAAAAATTTATTCCTGTTCTGAAATACATTCCAGAACACTGCCAAGACCCTGGTAAGACTGGCGGACACTTATTTAAATGATAGCTCTCATTCTCTAAAATCTGAATTTCTCCTGAAAGCCTTCATGCTTTAATGAGATTCAAAATTAATTAACTCAGACAATTGTCTTCATCACTGTGACTAAATGACAAAGTGTGTTTTTGTACATATTTTTGTACATATTTGAAGAATAAACAGAATGTAAGCAAGCAAATCCATGGTTCTGTTTGGATGGCTATTGTGAAACACGTACCTTAAGTGGAATTATATAACCATCCATCTGCAAACGTTGAGTGAGGAGAGCTGGATTTCAGTCACAGCTTATCCATGACCAGCAGCTTGACCTTGGATAAGTCATTGCCCTTGGACACCTGCTGTCAGCCTTCCCAGTATCCATTTCTTTATTCTCCCACCATTGGAACCCCCACCCCCCAAAAAATTTGGGAAACCACTTTTTCTCCATTCTAACCTATATGGTATTAAGGTTGTTCACCTGACCCCAGACTCCAGGAGTTGGGCCTGATTGTCTTAAAGCCATTGTTTCTATCCCATCCACCTGGCTACAGAAGTTAGTTTAAAGGCAGTCATGAAACCCAATCAGAGCAAAGGGATTTGAAACACACTTGCAAACGGCTTCTGGCAAAGAAAAGATTCCTCTGCCTGTAGTAGATCCTACCAATGATAGATTGATGATAAATCCATGATAATGTGACCACTTGGATAGAGATGAGATTGCCAGGCAGTGAAGGAATACTGAGGAAAGCAGAATGGGAAAAGAAGCAGAACGTTGGTTATACTGCTGGGCAGTGAACAACTGGATCAAACAACACCTGAAGCTGATAGACCTCTATACGCTTCAGTTATGTGAACCAATCAATTCCCTTTGTTGTTGGAATTTAGTTTTCTGTCTATAACATAAACAGTTCTAACAGTAACAATCTCTCTGGGCCTCCATTTTTCATAGATAAAAGTAATACGGATAACATCTAAGGAGGCTGCTGGAGTGCCAGGAGGAGGCCGTGGGAACACCGTCACCTGGTCCCAGGGCCTGGATTCGCTGCTTCCAGCCAAACACGCGCATATCAGGCCGGGGCCTTCAGACCTCACGGAAGGCATTCGCCCCAGGCCAGGTGGACTTCTGATGCAGGTTGAGAACAAAAAGAAGCACCTGGACATTCCCCGGAGCCCTCTGCGTGGTCGCGCTTCAGTGGAATTTGGGGACCCTTGGCTGCCAGCCATGCTTGCTTGATAGCAACAGAAACCAGTTCTGCCCGACTCTGTGCCACAAAAAAGCCACACCCCACTCACCTGACACCCACCCCATCAAGAGTCCATGCTGCTGGGCCCTGAGGGAGGGGAGGGCTTTGTGGTCAGGCTCCATGGCCCGCCCTGGCCCTGATCTGTCGAGGATGCGCAGGACGTCCTCTCCAACTGCACCATGCCCCATTGGGCTCAGGCGAGTTCCATCTACACCGGAGAGGGGTAGGCAGAGTGGTGAGGCTTTTGCTGAACTTGGATCAGAAGAGGACGTAAAAATGGCCCTGGAAAAAGACCGGGAAAGCATGGGACACTGGCGCATTGCGGTGTTCAAGTCCCACAGAACCGAGGTGAGTTGGGTGTTGAAGGAAGCACGGCGGTCCCAACAGTGCGGGCAGCGCCAACTACGGCTTCGCGCTCGAACTTTGAGGACTCTCATCTGGATGCACAAAGAAGAAATCATTCAGTTCTTCTCAGTGTTGGAAATCCCAAGAGTTGGCCTCGCAGGAGTTAGCTGAGAGGCTCTCGGAAAGCCCAAGGAGAGGACAGGGCACAGAGACATGGAGGTGTTCAAGAGCAGCCAGGAGGAAGTTAGGTCGGACTCAGGTCCCCCTGAGACTCATATCCGTGCTGCCCCGGACCCCTGTGACTGGCCCGGGCTTCCGGGAGCTACCCTGGCATCGTGAAGCAGGCAGGCGCAGGATGCGGGGCCACGAGGAGCATAGCGGCCTCTGCACCACGGAGCTGCTTGGTGGGGGGTGTGGGGGAACCTCAGCTACTGTCTCTCCGGAATGTATGACCACAAATATGGCGACAGTGAGTTCACAGGGCATAGCACCACCGGCCACTGCCTCTGCATGAGGGGCTGCCATGCAAAGCGACCAAGAGCGACATTTACAACCTCTTCTCTCCTTCCAACCTGGTGAGAGTCCACATTGAGATGGGCCCAGATGGAAGAGTGACCGGCAAAGCAGATGTTGAGTTTGCTACTCGGGAAGAAGCAGTGGCAGCTACCTCCAGAGACAGGGTCAGCATGTGGCACAGATACATAGAACTATTCCTGAATTTGACAACAGGGGCTAGCAATGGGGCGTACAGCAGTCGGGATGCGAGGCATGGGCTTGACCACCTACAGTGACCTGAAGAGCCAGTCAGTGAGCGGCTGTGATGGGTCTGGCCACAGCGGGCAGAACAGCATGGGTGAATAGGACTCGTTTTGTTAGCAACGTTTGAATTAATTCAATCAAATTTTCACAGGCCGCTAACAAGCAGTGAAGAGCAGTTATAATGAAGGAAGCTGTGGGACCCATTTTGCACAAAGAGTTTGTGAAATCTGGATTTAAAAATTACCTCTTTAGGCCAGGCGCAGTGGCTCAGCCTGTAATCCCAGCACTTCGGGAGGCCTAGGTGGGTGGATCACTTGAGGCCAGGAGTTCACAACCAGCCTGGCCAGCATGGTGAAACCCCTTCTCTACTAAAAATACAAAAATTAGCCGGGTAAGGTGGCAGGCGCCTGTTATCCCAGCTACTCGGGAGGCTGAGGCACAAGAATCACTTGAACCCAGGAGGCGGAGGTTGCAGTGAGCCAAGATGCACCACTGCACACCAGCCTGGGCAACAGAGTAAGACCCTGTCTCAAAAAAAAAAAAAAAAAATATATATATATATATATATATATATGCCTCTTCAGTGTTTTCTCATGCAAAATTTTCTTCTACCATGTGATATTGAGTAAACTAAAACTATTTTCAGCTTTTCTCAATTAACATTTTGTTAGTATACTTCACAGAGAAGTTATCCAAGTTTAAGTATGTTACATGTGGACCTATTACACCACATCACAGTGAACACACTGGGGAGATGTGCTTTTTTGGTAAACTCAAAGGCATCAGCTCCCTGATTCAAAGAAATGTTTCTCATGTTTGTTCATTCTAATTTATATTTTCATTTAAGATCCTTTAGGTTAAGTTGAAGCTTTTTAAAAGTGAGTTTTGAAAATTGAGACACAATACTAATACTGGAGGAATTGGTGAGGCCTTAACTTAAAACTTTCTTTGTACTGTGATTTCCTTTTGGGTGTATTCTGCCAAGTGAAACTTGTTAAATTTTTTGTTAACTAAATTTTTTTCTTAAAATGAAGACTTTTTCACAATGACTGGCACAGATTATCTACTCAGCAAAAGATAGCGAAATGACTGGGTGGTTCAAGATAATTCATTTTAATTGTAATGTATTTAAGTGTGAATTTAAAAATAGTTTCATACATTAAATCTATGATCTCCCTTATATTCTAATAATGAGGCTAAATAAAAGTCTAATAAAAATATTTTTAAAAAATAATTCTGCCAGTTCTCACATCCTATGAGTCTTTCTGAAGGGTAAATACACTCATGAAAATTTAAATGTATTGTCTTATACCATTAAGCACTAAGGAAAGTAGGACTGCCCAGTTTAACCCAACAAAAGAAAGCTAAGACTAGAAATGCAAACAGAAATCCTTCATCTTTGTCCTGTACTAGGAGTTACCCTGATCTCTACCTCCCCTGCTAGCCCCCTATACTTCAGCCACTTATTCCTCTACTCTGAGAATAGTTGGGGGTGAGGGAGAGTAATCTGGAAAGGAACCTTATAAAGTGGCCCTACTTTAGAAGACTTTGGATTCAGTCACAGACACTATTCTTGCTGATGCCCCTTGTTGGCCTTGGACTCCTTGTTCAGGTTCTGACCTCTTCTACCCAAACTCTTTGACATGAGTCTTCCCAGATCACTCTCCTCTGCCTTTTCTCCCTCCCCAGATCTGACGCCTGGATTATATATTTCGCTTGGCTGCATGCCCTCATGTCTGCATTCCCAGCCCTGACCACCTTCAATCAGTTGAAAGTGGTGATATATTAGTCAGGCAACTCCAAAGCACAGATTAGTTTATCTGTAGCAACAGGGCCTAAAGGAAGAAGTCCAGGGATGGTTATTTAGTGGAGCAGAGTCACTTAATAAAAGGCATTAAGCACCTTAGAAGCCTGAAGGTGTGAGCAAATTGTTTTATACACTGCACTTGCAATTATGTGTGAAAGTTTTCACACACCTGGCTTCCTAGATACATAGCCTTTTGAAAATAATGCATTTGGAAATGCAATTTAATCAACTTCTTAATTTGAAAAAGCATTATCTAGGTCCCTGACAGATATTGTGTTGGAACACTGGGGCCATACCTGAAGTTACGGGGACCTCAGGGAAGAGTTGATATGGAAAGAATCCTGGTTGGAAATAGTTTTTCTAGAAATAGTTAGAAATTAAAAAATTAACTAGCATGCTGCTAGTTAACTTTGTTCTTTCCTCTGGCCTTGCAAGATTCATGGGAAAAGACCTTCAGCACTGTTGTGATTGAATCATTTCACATTTTATGACCAGATAACCTTTGCATATAGAGATGACTGGGACAATAGTCCCATTCTTGAGGAGCTCAGGAGGAAAAGGACACTACATCAGTCAGGTCCAGCAGGAAACAGAGCTCACCCCATTTAACTCAATGAGATCTCAATCAAGGGAGGACTTAGAGAAGTGTGGGCAGAGCTGGTGACGCATCCAGATACCAACAACAGCAGAGAACCATTACCACCCCCAATAATGAAGAGACAAGCAGAGGGAACAGGAGAGTGGGAACCATGGAGGAGGGGCTCCCTCAGGAGCTGCAGTTAGACAAAGATCTGGCTTCTACCAGAGGGGAGGCTTCAAGGCTAGGACCATGGGAGAAACTGCCTTGACCTCTCTTGCCTCCCATTCTCTAATACCCTGCAAATGCATATCACCCACTAACTCAGACAGATAACCTACTAGCAAGGGAGTCCGGATGACAGTCTATAGGGATCAGCCTCCTGGGGGAAGAACTAAGGCAGATGTAGATAACCGATATGGCAGCATAAACAAAGAATAATCAAACCAGAACACCCCATTTTCCACCCAGGTCCCATTTTTTTTCCCTTCATTTAAATGATGAGAATCCCATCCCAAACACAAGGAGACACATGAGTCATCAGCCACTGTGTTATTACTGGTGACATCATTTCAAATGTACTCTCACCTGGACCCTAAATTTTGAGGTTGGCTACCATCAGCACTCTTCATGTAAAATAGTATGGAGAAGGGGAGGGGAGGGCAAGATAATTGGCATAAAATAAGTATGGCTTCTATGGTCTCCCCTTCTGTAGTCTTTCATGAGGCCGGAGCAAATAATCACCGCTTCCTTTTATTCCGTGATCACTTTATCCTCTACCAAACACTTATCACCTTATCTTGAGAAGGTCTGAGATCCAAACCTTCATCCCCAAATAGCTGAGCCCTTACTAGTCCTCTCTGCAGTAGGTGGTCAGTTTCCCACTGACCTTCATTATTGGACATGGAAGTCCTGGAAGTGACCCCAGAAATCCCCTGAGTTTAAAATATAGTCTTCCCAGCCCTATTGCATGGCAGCAACCCACTTTCTTCTTGGTACTCAATATAGTGATCCCTCCTCTTCCTATTGGTTCAATGGTGTGAGTTCCAAAATGGCCAAAGACAGGCTCAGCTTCCAATTCCTTGGTGGTAACATTCCTCCCTTAGGGATATTCAGGCTCAAGATCATGGAGATGGAAAGCAAAAGTTCTATTAAGTGGAGAATTAGCTGTGATAGTTACAAGGGTCACTCCTAATGCTTCCCCGTGTTTCCCAGCCCACAGGTCGTGCTAGGAAGGAGACGGGACCAGATATTGACTGCTGGTTTAAAGTATATGCTAATCCTACAGGTGAGCTCAAGCCTTGCATGGTGTCATATCCCAGTTGGCCTACTGAACCCTCACTACATACACCTTAGAAGCCCTGTGTTGAAGATGACAGCGCTGCAGTCAATCTTTGTCCTTGGATGACAATGTGGAGTGCAGCTGCCCACCAGTCTAAAACACTCATTTTGGAATTGTTATGTATGAGAGAAATGCATCCCTATCTAATTTAAGCTATTCTACTTTACCGTCTCCTAGTTACATTATTTTAACATTGCCCTAATTAAGACAGCCATCTTGGCTGTTAGCGTAGCCCTAACTTATGCTTTTTCTGGTTAAGTTGTGAGGAGTGTCGGTTGGGGTGGAGGGTGGAGAGAGGGGAGGGCCTCTGGTCTTATAATCTAGGCTTAAATATGCTGATTTGCTGCAGAGTCCCCGCTGGGCAACGCTGTGCCTCAGAAAACCACCCCATACCTTGATTCCAAGCGCTGCTCTTCCTCGGTGTCCTCCCTCTATGGTAGACAGCTCCCAGGTGATTCTTAGTGTCTTTCCAGTGGTTTTTCAGATTCCTCCCTCTTCTGTGGTTCCCTCTCCCTTCTGAGGCATTGTCAGGGAAGGGTTGAGTAACTGGTGCTGGTTCCCCATCCTGCGTTGAGATGAGGCCGTGGAGGGCCCGTAGCAGGGGGAGGAGTAGGAATTCTAGGAAGGCAGCTATATATTATATCACTTCATTCCTATGACATTTCCAGAACAGGTAAATCCATAGAGACAGGATGCAGATTCACAGTTTCCAGGGTCTAAGGGGTGGCAGGAATAGAGGGTGACTGCTTAATAGGTAGGGTTTTTCATCTGGGGATAGTAAGAATGTTCTGGAATAAAACAGTGGTGATGGTCGCACAACCTTGTAAGAACCACTGAATTGTTTACTCTAAAATGACCAAAATGGTGAATTTTATGTTATACTAATTTATCACAATAAAAAAACAATAAAGTGGTTGGATTTTATTCTAATTGAGTAAGAAGATGGTGGAGGATTATAGGGGTGAATCTGGCAGTGACTGAAGTAAACAGAGCTGTAAAAGAATCATTTGACCTTGTAGTCCTGCTTGGAACATCTGTTTCCTCCTGCATGGGGGGTGATGGGGATGGAAGGGAGTAGGGGGACAGCAGGCAGAGTAGAGGATGCTGACACCAGAGAGGGCAAAAGGCAAGCTGCTGGGCTAGGCATCATTTCTAGACTTTCCTGATTGACATGGATTTTTTGTTGTTTTTGTTCATTTATTTTTTTTTCAATTACTCAGCATTCTAATACCTTCCTATGTGGGGAGAATCCAAATGGGAGGGGTCCTCCTTTGTAAACCTTCGTTATAGGTAGGAATCTTCTCTCTGTGCCCTGTCCCACACCCCCACCTGCCAACCACACTTGGTCTCAGACATCTAACCCAGCCCAGCTAACGAGATATTCCTTCTGGGACTTGGAATCATGACGAGTGATGCAAAGACACAGATGAGAGCAGGTGAGAGTACACAGAACAGCTGCGCCACCAAGGATGAGAGTCCACTGGCTGCTGTGTTGTGCAAGATCTGGGGCTTTGGCATTGCATGTTCAGGGGCAGCTGTGCCTGGCAGCATCGTTACCAGACCAATTCTGAGGGGTGACCTTGGCTTTGGCAGCCGCTCCCTGACCTCTTGTTGTGGTTATTTTCTGAGCATAGTTCACCAGCCTCATTTCAATTCTCAAACTACCCAATATCCTTCCAATAAATTCCTTGACTGTTCAAGTTAGCCTGAGCTTGTTTCTGTTGCTTTGAACTAGGAACCCTGTTACATTAATGTAGTCTTAACCACCTCCCTTCAAAACAGAAAACATGGTACATCCCAGTTAAATGCCTATGACTCCTTGCAAAATTAAAATACTGTCTGCGCCTTGATTCTTGTGTGTGTGTGTGTGTGTGTGTGTATTTCACTTTAAAGATTACAGATGTGAAAACAAAATGCATTTCCATGTACTGAGTTATTGTAGCTATGGTGATGAGCAGACAGAGCACTGCTCTAACAATTAGAAGACCAGGCCACAGCTAGTTGTGTAACCCTGGGCAAGTCAGTTTCTTCTCTGTTCAGGCTGAGATAAACTGTGAGCCCTTTTCTAGTGTTTGAGATTCTGTGATTCAGGAATGCAAAAGAAATCATTTATATTAACACCATGCCTAGGAAAACAAACTATTTTCTCTCACAAACAGGCACAGTCTGACTCAATCTCATACAACTAAGATAACTTCAGTTGTCAATCTGTACTTCATCTATTAAATAATGCATATCATTGTAGACAAGCCACAAAAGTTAACAACAGCCTCATCTCTCTGTGGGAATGTCATCTGCAATGATAATACTAACAAGAGCTCACGCTTGGATTGCATTTACTACATGCCACAGCTCTAGGAGTATTGCATATATGAGCTCATTCAATCCTTACAGCAGCCTCAGAAAGTAAGTGCTATTATTATCCCATTTACAGATGAAGAAAGAGAAGCACAGAGAGGTTGGGAAACTTGCCCAAAGTCACTCAGTCAGTAGGTGACAGAACTCAAACTCAAATTATCTGGCTCTAGAATCCAACCACTTTGTGTGTGTGTGTGTGTGTGTGTGTGAAAATCCACATAACATAAATTCACCATTTTAGCCATCTTAAATCATACAATTCAGTGGTATTTAGTACACTCACAGAATCCATGCTTTTAATGATACACTATACTACCAAAACTAGATCTATCATCAAATAAATAAACTGTAATTACAATCAGTTTTACAGACGAAGAGATAGTGAGATAGGGCTGTCGTTTCTTTCATCCATTTCAGTGTATTCAATAGTAGTAATGTAATTTCCAAATGAAGATTATAGAGTTGTGATGTGATTCCTGGGGTCTTAGGAAGCTTTTAGCTCTAGTCTACTTTTTGCCTCTAAGAAAGCTGCATCTAATCTTAATCAGCCTGGAAAGATGAGTGTCCATCACATTTTAATACTTCAGCAGAGGATGGAGCAAGGGAATCCCAAGCTTCCTCTAAGGGCTGGTCCCACTATTTAAGGACACCTATCAACAGAAAGTCCTGACCTATGTCCTCATTCACAAATGAATGCATTCAGCTTTTCCCTGATTTTAGGGATGGAGAGGCAGGTGTTGAAATACGTTGGTCAGCATTTCCTCTGCAATAATAATTCTAATGACAGCTCACACTTGGATAGCATTTACTAAATGCCATTGTTCTAAGAGTTTTGCATATATGATAATCCTTTATGACCTGGCTGTGTGTGGCATTGGGTAAATTATTATTACTTCTTCTAAACAGTCTCTCTTGTGACAGTCATTCACTCAGCAACTCCTGATGGCACCTGTTTTGCACCAGGCGCTGAGCTGAACCCTGGAAGCAGGAAGGATTGCCAGATAGTTGGGTGGGTAAGTATTGGGCAGTGTTTCTCAGCATGGTTGGGGAGGGGGTTACCAGTTAATCTTTCCAAAATACAATGTTCACTCTCACTGGGTCCTGACGTACCACATAAGTTGTCGGGGCTAGAGTGGCAGGTGGGTTTGGGAGTGGTGCATTTCAAAAAAATCCCTCCCAGATACATCTCATTTTCCTTATTCTCCCCCCAACCACCATTGACCAAACCCCCAACCCAAGCACATCTATTCGTTTAGAACCATTGAAATTGGTGATTTCCGAGGCTACTTTGGGCTCTAAAATTCTATGGTGCATTCTCAATTCAACATTCCTTAGGCGTCTACTCTGTGCTAAGCACAGGAGCTACAGAGGAGAATAAGATCTTGGTAGACACAGTCCCTGCCCCCGTCCACTCTCGTTCTGGTTGAGACACAGACAAGCAAAACAACAGTATCAATATAACATGAGGGACCTGGAGTACAGGGAAGTATTTCATGAACTGAACATCCCCTCGGGTGACACTTCAACTTTCTCTTCTCCAGAATAAGTGATTCTTTTGCCTTCTTTTCTAAGCTCTTATTTCCCAATGATCAAACAATATCATCAACATCTGACAAGTTCTGAATCTGATGCATCTGCCTTCCTTCTGGTTTCAGATGCAAAGCATATTCTCCACACAGCCTCACACCAGTTCCAAACCCTGCATGCTAACATTTCTCTGCCGAAAGGCCTTTTTAATGAGGAACTTGGTTCAGGCATCAGCTATAGAACATTAATATTCATGGTTAGTATTTGTAAAAACCTTTATTTTAATCTTTTGTTTCTGTTGAGGGGGGAGTGTTAAAATGGCCAGAAATTCCCAATTCCCATTTATTCTATCCAGGCCTCTATTTTCAGAGTATTTTCTTTTTGGCTTCCATTATTTCATTGGGGTTGGCAATGAAAGTTAGTCCTACTCCTGTCCAAGTGTTAAATGGATACTCATGTGTCTTTTTGCCACATTGGTATACTTAATTTTATTCCAAATAGGATTTTTCTTTTTTCCCCTCTGCATGCAAATGTGTTACCCTTTCAGTGTTTGCATAATAGCAGTAATTCTTTCATTTGTACAAAAGGACATGCATTATTTTGGCAGATAGATGGAGCTTTGATGGAGAGATTATTACATTTCCAAAAGCAAAGAGAATAAATGAGAATTTAGCTAGACGCTGACTAAACACCCCCTTCCCCCAACTCCACTGATCATGAGCCAAGTGTCTAACACACTATACTTTCCTCCCAGACAACAAACCTTGCAGAACAGTAGGACCTTGCCGGCTGTTCTCGGTTCTCTGCCCTTCTCTGCGTGGCTCTGTGGACTGTATCACTTGGCCTCCCTTGCCCTACAGCTTCTGGCTGGTTAAGCCAATAGGAGGCACCAGCATGAGAATGGAGGATGGGAGTAGAGGGAAGCTGGGCTATTTATTTTCCTGCTCCCTCCCTGCCTTTCCATAGGTCAAGCAGTAGTTGTACCCCTCCAAGGCCACAGATCAGTTGAGGAGCCCCTCTTCTACAAGTCCAGCTCTCACTGGACTCTGGTAATCCCCTTCCTGCTCCTCACTGCCTCTAGCAAGATCCACAGAGCTTCATTACCCCTTGTCGACTAACCCTGCCCATATCCATGTAAATATTCCTTATACTCAACACTTTGAGTGTGCCATCTTTTTCCTTAGGACACTGAGAGAAGCATCATATTCCCAACACTTCACTTAGCTAACTAGATCCTCCCTCCTCCTCCAAAAACAAACAAATACATAGCACTGGGAAAGTAATAAAGAAGTCCAAAACCACTGAGGTCTATAGGTATCTACATGTCACCTCAAAGTGTTTAGACACTGCACAAGGCAGAAGAGGAGTTTTCCCTAGGCGCATCTAGCTTCACTGCAGTCATGTAGATGATTGGCATCTGTTGGTTTTGCCTGTCACTGGGTCACCTTCTTCTGGTCACAGTTCCCTGATTTTCCTTGGGGAGCTACCTCTTCAATTCTCTTAGTACATGTGGATTGGATGGGGCTGTTCTCACCCTCAGCTCAGAGAAAATATAAGACCCCCAGCTCGGCCACTCAGGCCATCATTTCCTCCAGGCCACAGCAATTGGTTCAGGGATGGGCAGGTGATCTAAGCCAGGCCAATGGAAACCAGTTAGATAAAATTCTAGGACTTTGGCTGGAGCAGCTAGAGAGGAGTAGAGCCCACCTGAGAACTGAAAAATCACAGAGAAAGCAGTCAATAAATGAGGAGAGGATAACTGGGCTCTGATCATGTCATTTGCATGCTGGATCAAGCCTAGCCTTGCTCTTGCAATTACATGAACAAAAGGTTCTGTCATTTCATTTGTTTCAGCTGGGTTACCATCAGGGAAAGAATCCTGACTACTACATTGAAGATGGAAGCTCTTTATACACTCAGAACCATCATGGACTGGGTAAGGGGGAGGCAGAGAAGAAAACAGAATTGAATATTTCTAGATCACGTATTATTGTGTGCTGTAGAATAGAGCACATATTAATGTAGGTTAATTCATTTAATCCTCAAAATGACTTTACTCAGCTAAATTGAGGAACTTGCTAAGTGCCATACAATTAGTAAATGGCAGAGTTAAGTTCAAACCAAGGACACTCTGCCTGCAAAGATATACTTGCTCTGCTCTGATGTGCTGCCATTATCATCATCATCTCCATCATCTGCCTCCTCACTGTTACCATCACCATCATCTTCAGGATGCTCCCTGAGGATCTGGACCATAGCGGTAGGAAGCTGAGCTTTCTAACTCAGAAAACAGACCTTCAAACATATAAGTAAATGAGTGTGCAAATAACTATAGCAAGAAGTACAAAGTGATCAGTACCACCAAAGAGGAGCAGATATCATGTTGAGAAAGATTACTTCCATCTGAGGTAGACCTCTAGAAATGGCTGAAGGAAATCCAAAGACAGGAAGGAGTCTCAACAGAGGCATTAGGGATAGGAATGTCAGATCATAAAAGATTCAGTTTGCACATTTACAACCTAAACTAATATAGTTCTGGTGCCCCAAGGTTCTGTCCTTGCCTCCCTTCTCTATTTTCTCTTGACGTCCTTCCTTAGCAATAACAAGGCCAGAAAGCTGACAACCCCCCAATCTCCCATTTACCACAGTGCTTGGCACAGTCCCTTTAAACTTCAGGGCAAAGAGTGGAGAGTCATACAGTCTTCCAATGTAAATATGCCTACTCTTCAGTGGCGTTCACCTTAAGGTCCAAGGAATAGTGAACTGGCAACTGGAACTGGTATTGAAGGTGAACCTAGAAGCCTCTAAACGTGTCCTTAAAGACCCAGCATGTCTAGGCTCCTATTCAGCTCCCAAAGAAAGAAGTGTCATATATCCTAACATTGACACTTGTTCCAAAGATGATGTGAATTCAGCCCTGGAGATACAGCCCTTTTTCTCTTTAGCAGAAACCCTGCTTCTGACCTCTCCTTTCCCCTCTAGATGTCTCATTACTCTTTGAATGAGACACAAGCTTTTCTACACGCATCACTGTCTTGTTTTAGCATACTTCCTCCCTCCATCCATCAACAAAAGGTGTTGCACTGATGCTAAACCAGGCACAAAGACCAACCCCCAAGTCAGTGTGTCTGCCAAGTAAAACACATGAAAACTTGGTGCACTATTTTTAAAAGCAAGTTAAATAAGGTGCCTTTAAAGTTGAGTCCCCCGGGATTGTACTGAATCCCTAGGTTCTTGGTTTTATGACCACAAGGGACCAAGCAGGTTGGCTTTAATTGTTAAACTAGGCCACTTAAGCCACGGAGCCCTTGTCTAACAGGACAATATTTATAGGGATTGCATCATCGCATAGTCGAACTGTTCTTCTCAGACTGAGATCATCCTTTAGTTTGCTGGGATATTTTTTAAACTCCAGGAGGAAGAAAGAAACCTTCTCTTCATTAATAGAAACTACTAATAAGAGTAGAAGAGTACAATAATGTTGAAATGATAACATTTTAGCCACATGAAAAGCAGGAACTTAATATTTTCTACCGGAAAGATTTTTGATTCACAGCTATTGAAAATTTGAAGATGATATTTTGGCCGCTGGAGGCTGGGACAAATTTGATTAAAATTACTAGACAAGGGCCGGGCGCAGTGGCTCACGCCTGTAATCCCAGCATTTTGGGAGGCTGAGGCGGGCGGATCATGAGGTCAGGAGATCGAGACCATCCTGGCTAACACAGTGAAACCCCATCTCTACTAAAAACACAAAAAATTAGCCAGGCGTGGGGGCGGGCGCCTGTAGTCCCAGCTACTCGGGAGGCTGAGGCAGGAGAATGCCGTGAACCTGGGAGGCGGAGCTTGCAGTGAGCCAAGATTGCGCCACTGCACTCCAGCCTGGGTGACAGAGCGAGACTCCATTTCAAAAAAAAAAAAAAAGAAAGAAAGAAAATTACTAGTCAAGAAAACTGAATGGAATCAAATTTTCTTCAAAAACCACATTCCTGTGGTTTTATATAACACTATTGTTCATGTGGTACAGATTGATGTGGTTTTCTTTTTTATTTTTTTCATCAACTTCTATTTTCCGGAGTACATGTGCAGAATGTGCAGATTTTGTTACCTAGGTCAACGTGTGCCATGGTGGTTTGCTGCACATATCATCCCATCGCCTAGGTATTAAGCCCAGCATCCATTAGCTATTTTTTCCTAATGCTCTCCCTCTCCCCACCACATCCCTCAACAGGCCCCAGTGTGTGTTGCTCCCCTCCCTGTGTCCACGTGTTCTCATTGTTCAGCTCCCACTTATAAGTGAGAATATGCAGTGTTTGGGTTTCTGTTCCTGCATTCATTTGCTGAGGATAATGGCTTCCAGCTCGATTCATGTCACTGCAAAGGACATAATCTCATTCCTTTTCATGGCTGCATAGTATTCCATGGTGTATATGTACCACATTTTCTTTATCCAGTCTACCACTGATGGGCATTTGGGTTGATTCCATGTCTTTGCTATTGTGAATAGTGCTGCAGTGAACATATGTGTGCATGTATCTTTATAACAGAATGATTTATATTCCTTTGGGTATATATCCAGTAATGGGATTGCTGAGTCAAATGGTATTTCTGGTTCTAGATCTTTGAGCAATCGCCACACTGTCTTCCACAATGGTTGAACTAATTTACGCTCCCACCAACAGTGTAAAAGCATTCCTTTTTCTCTGCAACCTCCCCAGCATCTGTTGTTTCTTGACATTTTAATAATCGCCATTCTGACTGGTGTGAGATGGCATTTCATCATGGTTTTAATTTGCATTTCTGCAACGATCATGACTGCATGAATGTCTTCTTTTGAGAAGTGTCTGTTCATGTCCTTTGCCCACTTTTTAATGGGGTTGTTTGTTTTATTCTTGTAAATTTGTTTAAGTTCCTTGTAGAATCTGGATATTAGATCTTTGTCAAATGGATAGATGGCACACTTTTTCTCCCATTCTGTAGGTTGTCTGTTCACTCCAATGATAGTTTCTTTTCCTGTGCAGAAGCTCTTTAGTTTAATTAAGTCCCATTTGTCAATTTTTGCTTTTGTTACAATTGCTTTTGGTGTTTTCATCATGAAATCTTTGCCCATGCCTATGTCCTGAATGGTATTGCCTAGATTTTCATCTAGGGTTTTTATGGTTTTGGGTTTTACATTTAAATCTTTAATCCATCTTGAGTTGGTTTTTGTATAAAGTGTAAAGAATGGGTCCAATTTTAATTTTCTGCATATGGCTAGCCAGTTCTCCCAGCACCATTTATTAAAAAGGTAAAAATACCTTTCCCCATTGCTTGTTTTGGTCAGGTTTATCAAAGATCAGATGGTTGCAAGCATGTGGTCTTATTTCTGAGTTCTCTATTCTGTTCCATTGGTCTGTGTGTCTATTTTTGTACCAGTACCATGATGTTTTGGTTACTGTAGCCTTGTAGTATAGTTTGAACTTGGGTAATGTGATACCTCCAGCTTTGTTCTTTTTTCTTAGGATTGTCTTGACTATACAAGCTCTTTTTTGGTTCCATATGAATTTTAAAATAGTTTTTCTAATTCTATGAAGAATGTCAATGGTAGTTTAATGGGAATAGCATTGAGTCTATAAATTACTTTGGGTAGTATGACCACTTTCATGATACTGATTCTTCCTATCCATGAGCATGGAATATTTTTCCATTTGTTTGTACCCTCTCTGATTTCCTTGAGCAGCGGTTTATAGTTCTCATTGAAGAGGTCCTTCACTTCCCTTTTTAGCTGTATTCCTAGGCATTTTATTCTCTTCATAGCAATTGTGAATGGGAGTTCATTCATGATTTGGCTCTCTGCATGCCTGTTGTTGGTGTATAGGAATGCTAGCAATTTTTGCACTTTGATTTTGTGATTGATGTGGTTTTCATTGTTTGGACTACCCATAATATACGTATACTGTAGAAGAGTGAGTTTATTTTTCTGTTACTCTTTCAGATGAACTTTCCAGTCATGTCATAACATCATGATTTTGTTGTTTTATTTATCAAAGCTAGTTGACACACATATGATTTACTCATAATGGTCACAATGGCTAACATTTGTTGGGCACTTCCTGTGTGCCAGGTGCTGTGCATATGAATTTCATACATATTATGTCATTTAATTCTCAAGCAGTTCTATCAGTTCCTATTATTACCACCACATTAAAGATGAGGAAAAGGAAGCTTAAAAAGTAGTGTAAGCTGCCCAAAGTCATAAACCTAGTAATCAGTGGAACTGGAACTTAAAGCCAAGACTGAGTGATTCCCAGAAATTCCCAAGCCTCTTCGCCACTATATCAGGCTGACTTTTATTGACAAATGGATTGTGCACTTTCTCTATCCAGTTCTGAAGTTGAATTGTAGAGTTTTTTAAGATGGTTTTCTGGGGGAGATGCCATGTTCTATGAAGGGCACAGAAATCCTCAACAAATACAACAGACTTTTGTGCTTACTTAGGCAGCACATATACTAAAATTGGAACAAATACAACAGACTTTTAAGTTGCCTTATTTTCGCTAAAACAATAAAAATGCTTATGCATTTGGGAAATTGTTAAATAATAAATACAAGTTAAATTATTTTAGTAAAAAATATTGCTTTCAGGCCAGGCACAGGGGCTAATGCTTGTAATACTAGTACTTAGGGACGCCAAGATGGGAGGATTGCTTGAGCCCAGGAGTTTGAGACCAGCCTGGGCTACGTAGGGAGACCCCCATCTCTATAAAAAAAAAAATGGCCAGGCATGGTGGCACATACCTGTGGTCCCAGCTACTTTAGAGGCTGAGGAGGGAGGATCATTTGAGCTCTGGAGGTCAAGGCTACAGTGAGACATGGTCATGCCACTGCACTTCAGCCTGGGCAACAGAATGAGACCCTGTCTCAATAACAAAAAATACTTTCAGTCTGTAGTTATCTAGCTATAACATGTAGCTTTCAGAAACTAAAATTACATGAATTTTCAAATAAAATGAAAAACTTTACAATGTGGATTGGACTTCTGGTCAAGAAAAAGCATCAAGAATGAATGCTTTGATCCACCTGCTCTGCTTCAAACTCATTAAATCCCTACTAAAATATAAGAAGAGAGGGTTAAAAAAATAAACAGCTTCACTGAACAGAACTAGAAATTAATCACAATGTGGTGAGTGGGTCTGAAGCCATGAGTCTGTTACAATCCAGGTCTGTAAGCATATAGTAGTAGCTTGAATCTTGACTCCTACCATGTAATAGAAATGAAAGTGCTTCATGCACAATTGTGGATCAGAAGAAGATTTACTGTGGAAGCCAGAGGCTTGAATGAAGCTCCTCCCTCTACAGAAAAAAAGTCTATTAAGATAAAGCAATTATTGACTACTTCCTGAGACTACATTTTACACAGGGTTCTTGGCTTGGAAAGCAGACTGTAGATGCACTTCCTGGCCAGGAACTCAGCCAGATACCTGCTGCCCTATAACTAGATTTGTGATAGTCCCAATATCACTGCAGAACAAATTCCACCTGGTGCTGCACTAGGGGCCTGAGAAAAGGTCAAATGGAGACAACTGTAAATTCCCAAAACTGCTAGACAAATAGGATGAGAGAAAAATATCACACACACACACACACACACACACACACACACTCTTTCAAGATGTAGCTGCTATAACAAATGAAGAAATCTGAAACTAAAGAAGAAAGCCTAGAAAACAATCAAAATTATTAATTGAAGCATGAAATGCCTAGAGATAAAATAATTTTTATCTTTGAAACAGTCTTACCAAGACTTTAAAATAAGGATGTCTAGACCGTTCAAAGGCATAAATTAAGGCATTGCATTCATTAATAGTGACGAAGGAACTATGAAACACAAAGCAGATATAAATAAAACAAAACCGGGTGGGTATTTAGAAAAACCAAATATACATTGGAACTAAAAAAAAAAAAAAAAAGCAGTTACCGGCTGGGCGTGGTGGCTCATGCCTGTAATCCCAGCACTTTGGGAGGCCAAGCCAGGTGGATCACGAGGTCAGGAGTTCGAGACCAACCTGGCTAACGCAGTGAAACCCTGTCTCTACTAAAAATACAAAAAAAAATCAACCGGGCGTGGTGGCAGGCACCTGTAGTCCCAGCTACTCAGTAGGCTGAGGCAGGAGAATGGCGTGAACCCGGGAAGCAGAGGTTGCAGTGAGCCAAAATCACACCACTGCACTCCAGCCTGGGTGACAGAGCGAGACTCCGTCTCAGAAAAAAAAAAAAAGCAGTTACCAAAATAAATCCTCAAAAGACAAGAAATACTCTAGATTAGATCCAAAGAGAGTAATAAATTCAGAAATAGTTTTGAGAAATAAACACAGAACTTAGTCCAGAGTGACAAAGAGATGATTTTTAGTACAATGGTTAGCAGACATGAAAGATTCATTGAGAGGCTCTAACATGTATCTGGTAGATGTTCCAAAAGAAGAGAATGGAGGGAATGATGGAGAAACATTAAGAGATTAGATATTAGGTCCTAATAGGAGATTAAAGCTGAAGATTCTCATGATCACAGATGTGTTCTCTGATGGAAAGGACACCGTAGACAGGGCATGACATGTGACAGTGAAAGTACAGATCATTGATAATAAGAAGAAACTCCTAAAATTGCTAGAGAGAACAGATAAGATATCCAGTAGGGACCATTAGGCTGACAGTGGACTTATTTTCGGTAACAACTGTGGCCAGAAGACAATGTAGTAATATCATTAGAAGGTTAAGAGAAAACAGCTGTCAACATAGAATTTTATATCCAGCTAAACTATTATTTAACAGTGAGGGCAAAAAGACATTTTCAGAAACATGAAGACTAAATGAGTCCGCCATATGCAGATGCACATTGGCACACTTAGTAAAGGATATACTTCACTAAAGAGAAATGTGAAACTACAGCAAAGGTAGGGGATAGAGGAAACAATGAAATAATGATGTAAAAATTAATTAAATATGTTCGTAGGTTTAAATATTGACTTGCATGATAAAAATTCGGTGTTTAGGCCAGGCGTGGTGGCTCACGCCTGTAATCCCAGCACTTTGGGAGGCTGAGGCGGGTGGATCAAGAGGTCAGGAGATCGAGACTATCCTGGCTAATGCGGTGAAACCCCATCTCTACTAAAAATACAAAAACTTAGCTGTTCGTAGTGGTGGGCGCCTGTAGTCCCAGCTACTCGGGAGGCTGAGGCAGAAGAATGGCATGAACCTGGGAGGTGGAGCTTGCGGTGAGCCAAGATTGCGCCACTGCACTCCAGCCTGGGCAACAGAACGAGACTCCGTCTCAAAAAAGATAAATAAATAAAATAAAATAAAATATTCTGTGTTTAGAAGAATAGAAATGCTAAATAACAATATATTTGTTAGAATACTTTTAAAAACTAAAGTAGGATATGTTGAGACTATAAGAAAAAACACTAAAAGAATAGATTAACAGGCTGGGCACAGTGGCTCACACCTGTAATCCCAGCACTTTGGGAGGCCAAGGTGGGTGGATCACAAGGTCAGGAGATTGAGATCATCCTGGCTAACACAGTGAAACCCCATCCCTACTAAAAATACAAAAAATTAGCTGGACATGGTGGTGCACAGCTGTAGTCCCAGCTACTCAGGAGGCTGAGGCAGGAGAATTGCTTGAACCCGTGAGGCAGAGGTTGCAGTGAGCCGAGATCATGCCAGTGCACTCCAGCCTAGGTGACAGAGCAAGACTCTGTCTTAAAAAAAAATAGATTAACAACCAACACAGGAAAAAATGAAAGACACATTTTTGAAATAGTTTACCAATTGAATACAAAGCCAAAAAGGACTGGGAGAAGAAAACACAAGAAAAATGTCAATAAAGAGAAAATATAAAGTTCATCAATAATCACAATAAATGTAATTAGATTAAATGCATCAGTTACAAAACAGAGATTAGCATATTAGATTGAAATTTTAAATCTAGCTGCTTGCTGAATGTATGATACATACCTAGAACAAATCAAAACAAGAAGATTGAAAGTAAAGAGGGGGGAGGTTCCAAGATGGCCGAATACGAACAGCTCCAATCTACATCTCCCAGCCTGAGCGACGCAGAAGACGGGTGATTTCTGCATTTCCAACTGAGGTACTGGGTTCATCTCACTGGGGCTTTTGGGATAGTGGGTGCAGCCCACGGAGCAGGGTGGGGCATTGCCTCACCCGGGAAGCACAAGGGGTTGGGGAATTTCCTTTCCTAGCCAAGGGAAGCTGTGACAGATGGTACCTGGAAAATCGGGACACTCCCACCCTAATACTGCACTTTTCCAACGGTCTTCGCAAACAGCACACCAGGAGATTATATCCCACCCCTGGCTCGGAGAGTCCCATGCCCACAGAGCCTTGCTCACTGCTAGCACAGCAGTCTGAGATCAAACTGCAAGGCAGCAGCAAGTCTGGGGGAGGGGCGTCCACAATTGCTGAGGCTTGAGTAGGTAAACAAAGCGGCCAGGAAGCTCGAACTGGGTGGAGCCCACTGCAGCTCAAGGAGGCCTGCCTGCCTCTGTAGACTCCACTTCTGGGTGCAAGGCATAGCTGAACAAAATGCAGCAGAAACTTCTGTAGACTTAAACGTCCCTGTCTGACAGCTTTGAAGAGAGTAGCGGTTCTCCCAGCACGGAGTCTGAGATCTGAGAACGGACAGACTGCCTCCTCAAGTGGGTCCTTGACCCCCGAGTAGCCTAACTGGGAGACACCTCCCAGTAGGGGCCAACTGACACCTCATACAGCCGAGTGCCCCTCTGAGACAAAGCTTCCAGAGGAAGGATCAGGCAGCAACATTTGCCATTCTGCAATATTTGCTGTTCTGCAGCCTCTGTTGGCAATACCCAGGCAAACAGGGTCTGGAGTGGACCTCCAGCAAACTCCAACAGACCTGCAGCTGAGGGTCCTGACTGTTAGAAGGAAAACTAACAAATAGAAAGGACATTCACACCAAAACCCCATCTGTACGTCACCATCATCAAAGACCAAAGGTAGATAAAACCACAAAGATGGGGAGAAACCAGAGCAGAAAAGCTGAAAATTCTAAAAATCAGAGCGCCTCTTCTCCTCCAAAGGAATGCAGCTCCTCGCCAGCAACAAAGCTGGATGGAGAATGACTTTGACAAGTTGAGAGAAGAAGGCTTCAGATGATCCGTAATAACAAACTTCTCCAAGCTAAAGGAGGATGTTCAAACCCATTGCAAAGAAGCTAAAAACCTTGAAAAAAGATTAGGCGAATGACTGACGAGAATAAACAGCATAGAGAAGACCTTAAGTGACCTGATGGAGCTGAAAACCATGGTAGGAGAACTATGTGACACATGCACAACCTTCAGTAGCCGATTCGATCAAGTGGAAGAAAAAGTATCAGTGATTGAAGATCAAATGAATGAAATGAAGTGAGAAGAGAAGTTTAGAGAAAAAAGAGTAAAAAGAAATGAACAAAGCCTCCAAAAAATATGGGACTATGTGAAAAGACCAAATCTACGTCTGATTGGTGTACCTGAAAGTGACGGGGAGAATGGAACCAAGTTGGAAAACACTCTTCAGGATATTATCCAAGAGAACTTCCCCAATCTAGCAAGGCAGGCCAGCATTCAAATTCAGGAAATACAGAGAATGCCACAAAGATACTCGAGAAGAGCGACTCCAAGACACATAATTGTCAGATTCACCAAAGTTGAAATGAAGGAAAAAGTGTTAAGGGCAGCCAGAGAGAAAGGTCGGGTTACCCATAAAGGGAAGCCCATCAGACTAACAGCAGATCTCTCGGCAGAAACTCTACAAGCCAGAAGAGATTGGGGGCCAATATTCAACAGTCTTAAAGAAAAGGATTTTCAACCCAGAATTTCATATCCAGCCAAACTAAGCTTCATAAATGAAGGAGAAATGAAATCCTTTACAGACAAACAAATACTGAGAGATTTTGTCACCACCAGGCCTGCTTTACAAGAGCTCCTGAAGGAAGCACTAAACATGGAAAGGAACAACCGGTACCGGCCACTGCAAAAACATGCCAAATTGTAAAGACTATTGATGCCAGGAAGAAACTGCATCAACTAATGAGCAAAATAACCACTAACATCATAAATGACAGGATCAAATTCACACACAATATTAACCTTAAATGTAAATGGGCTAAATGCTCCAATTAAAAGACAGAGACTGGCAAATTGGATAAAGAGTCAAGACCCATCAGTGTGCTGTATTCAGGAAACCCATCTCACGTGCAGAGACACATATAGTTTCAAAATAAAGGGATGAAGGAAGATCTACCGAGCAAATGGAAAACAAAAAAAAGCAGGGGTTGCAATCCTATTCTCTGATATAACAGACTTTAAACCAACAAAGATCAAAAGAGACAAAGAAGGCCATTACATAATGGTAAAGGGATCAATTCAACAAGAAGAGCTAACTATCCTAAATGTATATGCACCCAATATAGGAGCACCCAGATTCATAAAGCAAGCCCTTAGAGACCTACAAAGAGACTTAGACTCCCACACAATGATAATGGGAGACTTTAACACCCCAGTGTCAACATTAGACAGATCAACAAGACAGAAAGTTAACAAGGATATTCAGGAATTGAACTCAGCTCTGCACCAAGCAGACCTAATAGACATGTACAGAACTCTCCACCACAAATCAACAGAATATACATTCTTCTCTGCACCACACCACATTTTTCCAAAATTGACCACATAGTTGGAAGTAAAGCACTCCTCAGCAAACGTAAAAGAACAGAAATCATAACAGTCTCTCAGACCACAGTGCAATCAAACTAGAACTCAGGATTAAGAAACTCACTCAAAACTGCTCAACAACATGGAAACTGAACAACCTGCTCCTGAATGACTACTGGGTACAAAACAAAATGAAAGCAGAAATAAAGATGTTCTTTGAAACCAAGGAGAACAAAGACACAACATACCAGAATCTCTGGGACACATTTAAAGCAGTGTGTAGAGGGAAATTTATAGCACTAAATGCCCACAGGAGAAAGCAAGAAAGAGCTAAAATTGACACCCTAACATCACAATTAAAAGAACTAGAGAAGCAAGAGCAAACACATTCAAAAGCTAGCAGGAGGCAAGAAATAACTAAGATCAGAGCAAAACTGAAGGAAATGGAGACACAAAAAAAACCCGTCAAAAAATCAATGAATCCAGGAGCTGGTTTCTTGAAAAGATCAACAAAATTGATAGACCGCTAGCAAGATAATAAAGAAGAAAAGAGAGAAGAATTAAATAGATGCAATAAAAAATGATAAAGGGGATATCACCACTGATCCCACAGAAATACAAACTACCATCAGAGAATACTATAAACACCTCTACGCAAATAAACTAGAAAATCCAGAAGAAATGGACAAATTCCTGGACACATGCACCCTCCCAAGACTAAACCAGGAAGAAGTTGAATCCCTGAATACACCAATAATAGGCTCTAAAATTGAGGCAATAATTAATAGCCTACCAACCAAAAAAAGTCCAGGATCAGACAGATTCACAGCTGAATTCTACCAGAGGTATGAAGAGGAACTGTTACCATTCCTTCTGAAACTATTCCAATCCATAGAAAAAGAGGAAATCCTCCCTAACTCATTTTATGAGGCCAGCATCATCCTGATACCAAAGCCTGGCAGAGACACAACAAAAAAAGAGAATTTTAGACCAATATCCCTGATGAACATCGATGCATAAATCCTCAATAAAATACTGGCAAACCGAATCCAGCAGCACATCAAAAAGCTTATCCACCATGATCAAGTTGGCTTCATCCCAGGGATGCAAGGCTGGTTCAACATACGCAAATCAATAAACATAATCCAGCATATAAACAGAACCAAAGACAAAAACCACATGATTATCTCAATAGATGCAGAAAAGGCCTTTGACAAAATTCAACAGCCCTTCATGCTAAAAACTCTCAATAAATTAGGTATTGATGGGATATATCTCAAAATAATAAGAGCTATTTATGACAAACCCACAGCCAATATCATACTGAATGGGCAAAAACTGGAAGCATTCCTTTTGGAAACAGGCACAAGACAGGGATACCCTCTCTCACCACTCCTATTCAACATAGTGTTTGAAGTTCTGGCCAGGGCAATCAGGCAGGAGAAAGAAATAAAGGGTATTCAATTAGGAAAAGAGGAAGTCAAATTGTCCCTGTTTGTAGATGACATGATTGTATATTTAGAAAACCCCATCATCTCAGCCCAAAATCTCCTTAAGCTGATAAGCAACGTTGGCAAAGTCTCAGGATACAAAATCAATGTGCAAAAATCACAAGCATTCCTATACACCAATAACAGACAAAGAGCCAAATTATAAATGAACTCCCATTCACAGTTGCCTCAAAGAGAAAAAAAAACCTAGGAATCCAACTTACAAAGAATGTGAAGGACTTCTTCAAGAAGAACTACAAACCACTGCTCAACAAAATAAAAGAGGACACAAACAAATGGAAGAACATTCCATGCTCATGGATAGGAAGAATCAATATCGTGAAAATGCCATACTGCCCAAGGTAATTTATAGATTCAAGGCCATCCCCATCAAGCTACCAATGACTTTCTTCATAGAACTGGAAAAAACTACTTTAAAGTTCATATGGAACCAAAAAAGAGCCTGCATTGCCAAGTGAATCCTAAGCCAAAAGAACAAAGCTGGAGGCATCACTCTACCTGACTTCAAACTATACTACAAGGCTACAGTAACCAAAACAGCATGGTGCTGGTACCAAAACAGAGATATAGATCAATGGAACAGAACAGAGCCCTCAGAAATAATACCACACATCTACAACCATCTGATATTTGACAAACCTGACAAAAGCAAGAAATGGGGAAAGGATTCCCTATTTAATAAATGATGCTGGGAAAACTGACTAGTCATATATAGAAAGCTGAAACTGGATCCCTTCCTTACACCTTATACAGAAATTAATTCAAGATGTATTAAAGACTTAAACGTTAGACCTAAAATCATAAAAACCCTAGAAGAAAACCGAGGCAATACCATTCAGGACATAGGCATGGGCAAAGACTTCATGACTAAAACACCAAAAGCAATAGCAACAAAAGCCAAAATAGACAAATGGGATCTAATCAAACTAAAGAACTTCTGCGCAGCAAAAGAAACTACCATCAGGGTGAACAGGCAACCTACAGAATGGGAGAAAATTTTTACAATCAACCCATCTGACAAAGGGCTAATATCCAGAACTTAAACAAATTTACAAGAAAAAATCAAACAACCCCATCGAAAAGTGGGCAAAGGGTATGAACAGACACTTCTCAAAAGAAGACATTTATGCAGCCAAAAGACACATGAAAAAATGCTCATCATCACTGGCCATCAGAGAAATGCAAATCAAACTCACAATGAGATACCATCTCACACCAGTTAGAATGGCGATCATTAAAAAGTCAGGAAACAACAGGTGCTGGAGAGGATGTGGAGAAATAGGAACACTTTTACACTGTTGGTGGGACTGTAAACTAGTTCAACCATTGTGGAAGTCAGTGTGGCAATTCCTCAGGGATCTAGAACTAGAAATACCATTTGACCCAGCCATCCCATTACTGGGTATATACCCAAAGGACTATAAATCATGCTGCTGTAAAGACACACACACACGTATGTTTGTTGCAGCACTATTCACAATAGCAAAGACTTGGAACCAACCCAAATGTCCAACAATGACATACTGGATTAAGAAAATGTGGCACATATACACCATGGAATACTATGCAGCCATAAAAAATGATGAGTTCATGTCCTTTGTGGGGACATGGATGAAATTGGAAATCATCATTCTCAGTAAACTATCGCAAGGACAAAAAACCAAACACCGCATGTTCTCATTCATAGATGGGAATTGAACAATGAGAACACATGGACACAGGAAGGGGAACATCACACTCTGGGGACTGTTGTGGGATGGGGGGAGGGGCGAGGGATAGCATTAGGAGATATACCTAATGTAAATGACGAGTTAACAGGTGCAGCACACCAACGTGGCACATGTATACATATGTAACAAACCTGCACATTGTGCACAAGTACCCTAGAACCTGAAGGATAATAATAAAAATAAATAAATAAAAATAAAGAGATAGCATAAGTTATATATATAATAACTAGATAAAGCTACTGAGATGATGTTAACTTAATGCAAAAAGCAAAAAAGTTAAGACGAAATAAGAGGAGAATTATATAAAGTAATAGGAACAAAACTGCCAGGAATGTATAAAAATTATAAATAATGCATCTAAAGGCATAACTTCAAAATATACAAAGCAAAATATTAGAATTAAATGGAAAATGGAAAAATCCATAACCAGCATTCAAGATTTTCTAACACTTGTATCCAAAACTGAGAGCTCAATCAGGCAAAAATTTAGTAAGGCTATAGTAAATGTGAAGAACAAAATTTAAAACCATGATATAATACCGGACTTTTCAAACTTTTAAAACGTGACCTCTTTAAGAAATATATTTTATATCAACATCCAGTGTATAAATGCATGTGCATGCATGCACACACCCATTTAGATAGGTAGAGAGGTGATAGATGTTTAACAAACAATATTCACCTTTCACATGAGTAGTACATTCTGATACTATTTATTTTATTCCCTTTGTTAAAAAACATGAGTTACACTATGCAGCCTTTAAAAGGAACTATATCATGTCCTTTGCAAGGACATGGAATGGAGCTGGAAGCCATTATCCTCAGCAAACTAACATGGGAACAGAAAACAAAACACTGCATGTTCTCACTTATAAGTGAGAGCTGAACAATGAGAACACATGGACACAGAGAGGGGAACAACACACACTAGGGCCTTTCGGGAGGTGAGGGAGAACATCAGGATAAATAGCTAATGGATGCTGGGCTTAATACCTAGGTGGTGGGTTAATAGGTGCAGCAAACCACCATGGCACACGTTTACGTATGTAACACACCTGCATATCCTGCTTCTGTATACTGTAATGCTAAATTAAATTAAATTGTTAAAAAACATGAGTTACAACAAACTAAATTGATTTCACACCCAATAATGGATTGTGACCCACAATTTATGAAACACTGATCTTAGAAATATATACATCTGTGCATACAACAAGTAACAGTTGCACATTGTTTTCAACCTAAAGTAAATAGCATACACAACGGTGAAACCACAGAAGCCTTCCCAATAAAGCTAGGAACAAACAAGAATGCTTGCCATTAACACTTCTGTTTCACATTGTAATGGAAGTCAAAGTCAATATATAATGGGGGTAAGAGGAATCAGAGGTATATGAAATTTGAAAGTTTGAATATAACAAACAGCAGCTGATTAATTATTGTCTAAATAATCTAAGGTAATCTAATCTACACACAAACTTTTAGTACTAACAAGAGAAGTCAACAAGGCTCCAAACACAAGAATAACAAGCATTAATGGTTTTCCTAAATGCCAATTAGATAATGTAATAGAAAACTTATTCAAAATAGCAACAAAAACATAAAGCACCTAGGAATAAATCCAACAAAAGATGTGCATAGCCTTTATGGAGAGCATTACAAAGTACTGTGGATAGGTATAAAGGAAGACCAAAACAAACGGAAAGACATAACGTGTTCAAGGTTGATGAAGACTTTATATGGTGGAGGTGGTACTTCTTTCCAAAATAATCTAAAATTGAACACAATTGCAATCAAAATTCCAACAGAAAAAGCCGATCCCGAAATTCATTTAGGAAAGCAAAGAGAGTCAAATAACTGGGATAGTTTTGAAAAAGAAGGTTGGGGCCGGGCGCGGTGCTCACGCCTGTTAATCCCCAACATTTTGGGAGGCTGAGGCAGGCAGATCACGAGGTTAGGAGATCAAGATCATCCTGGCCAATATGGTGAAACCCCGTCTCTACTAAAAATACAAAAATTAGCTGGGCGTGGTGGCAGGCGCCTTTAATCCCAGCTACTTCGGAGGCTGAGGCAGGAGAAGCGCTTGAACCCGGCAGGTGGAGCTTGCAGTGAGCCAAGATCGCGCCACTGCACTCTGGCCTGGTGACAGAGCAAGACTGTCTCAAAAAACAAAACAAAACAAAAAACAAACAAACAAACAAACAAAAAAGGTTGGGAGGCTCACATACCAGATAGTTAGGTTATCTCAACCCATAATAATGAAGACAATGTGAAATTGGCTTAGAGAAGGATGAAGACATCAATGGAGCAGGATAGAGAGTGTAGAAATGGACTGATATGAAAACTTGATCTATGACAGAGGCAGCACTATAACTAGTGCAGAAAGGATGGGCTGTTTAATAATTTATGCTGTGACATAACCAAAAGGAAAAATTAAAATTCAATCCTTAACTCACATTATATAAAATAAATCTTAAGTAGATTAAAGATTTAATATGAGAATTAAAACTACAAGATTTCAATAGAAAATATAGAAGAATATCTTTATGGTTGTAGAGAAATAATATCGTTTAAAAAATAAGATTCCTTACATGAGAAGCAGAAAGTACAAAACATAAGGTAAACGATTGATAGATCTGTCATTTAAATTAATGTATGCCTAACCAAAGCTATCATGAACAGGTTAAAGACAAGATAGAGGAAACATTTGTAATGCACACAGCTGACAAAGCACTAGTGTCTAAATTCACACAGAGCTACAATTTGATAAGAAAAAAATACATAAGAAAATGAACAAATCACATAAACAGACAACTCACAGAAGAAGAGTAAACTTAAACCATAAATCAATGAAAAATTTTGAGCACACTGGGAATCACAAAGTTGCAAATAACATAACACTTCACACCCTCAGTTTGTCAAAATTTTAAATTTCGATAACACCAAGTAATGAAGACTACTTGTAGCCACAAGAATGTGCATATGCTGTTTATGAATGTATCAACTGGTACAATCACTTTGGAAAATAATTTGGCCTTATCTAATAAAGGCGAAAATGAGCTACTCTGTAACCCAGCGATTCCACTTCTGAGTATATACCTCAGAGAAACTCTCACACGTGTGCGAGCCAACAAGAATGTTCATTGCAGCATTGCAATGAAAGTAAAAGAAAATGGAAATGACCTAAATATCCATAAACAGGAGAAAGGATAAATAAATAGTGGCATGTTCATTCCGTGGACTGCTCTACAAATAGGTAAATAGATAACCTAAAGCTACACATGTCCACATGGTTAAATCTTAAGCCATGATCCTGAGTGCAAAAGCAAGTACATGATGAAGTATTCAGGATGATGTCACTGACAATAAGTTTGAAAACCTGCAAATTATGCTGTTTATTATTTATGGATACATACAAATATAGTAACAATATAAAAATACACATGGGAACGATAACAAAATGTATGATATTGATTATCTCTCATCAAGGAAAGGAGGAAAATGGGGTAAAGAAAAGATTATCATAAGCAAAATTGGAAATATTAGGTTTTGACAGAGCTGGATTCAAGTACACAAGGTGTTTGCTGTTGCTCCTCATACTTCTCTGTATTTCATCTTCAGAGTTAACTCTGTCCTCTCCCTTTTTCTGTTTATTTGTCGACGGTGCGGTTGTTTTGGTTGAATAAATTCTGGATTAATACATTGAAAAACCCAAATACAACAAACAAAATCTTTCTTGTATTATCTGTTCTCAAATATTCTTTGCCTTCAAAAGATGCTGTTGCTATGAAAACCTGTACTGTCATCTCATTTATGTTACTTGAATCAGGATAACTCCCACTGGTGCACAAGGGTGAATTTCTTTATACTCTCATCAGAAATATATTTTCTTGGTTGGTTCTCTCTTTTTAAAAAGCATAGAAGCAATATAACAAAACCATAGAAAATTTAGGCAATAGAATTTTTAAAATCAATCAAAATCCTCCTGTCTCCAAAACTCATATGGTCAACTGTCAGGATTTCAGTGTAGTTCTCACTTGCTTTTTATCCTTATGTATATTTTAATGCAGTTGTAACCAATTTGCACACATAGTTTTGTAGCCTGCATTATTCTTTTAAGTTGATACTGCTAAGTGGTCTTCCTAATCTTCCTTTATAATGGCTACATAATGGTCCATCCCCTCTTTCTGTGATTATTTACTTAACCTTTCTCCTATTTTTGGACATTTAGGTTTCTTTCCATTTTTTGTTTATATAAATAAAAAGCTATGACAAAAATATTCATGGAAATATATTCTATGTATTTTGAATTATTTCAGAAGTGGGAATGTCCATGTTACAGAGCATGAAACTTTTGACGAATTGCTTTCCCAATGTTTCCAATGCCCAATGGCAATGTTTGACACCACTGAGTAGTTTGCTCTAGCCATGAACTCTAGTTGGAATTCTGTGATGATAACCGCCATATTCAATGATTACTTTCTTCCTAAAAGATTGGAAGAAAACACAAAAGATGCAAGAAGACACACTAAGTCCCCGTTTTGACCATTTATAAAATTTTCTAAAAGATGATATGAGACAATGGTATCACAAACACTATGTATACAATAAGAAATAACTCTTCATTATCATACATTTGAGTTTGCACTTCTTAAATCAAAACTATGCTCAGAATTTGGGGCATGAGGGAGAATATTTTTTAATCCAAATCATAAACAGACTTCTTGAAAGTTGAGTTTTTAAAACCAATGTGCTGGGACTCCCGTATCTTTCTTTAAGAATAAGAGGAACATACTGAGGGACACCAAAATATGATAAATTAAATATAACTAAATATAATAAAAGGCCAATCTGTTCTCTGGGTGATTAATTAAACAACATTTTATAAAAATCAGAACACATTTTTGTTTTTCTACCAAAACAGGTTAACTGGAGCATATTTTGGAAATAATTAAGCAGTGGTAAAACTTGTAGAGACATATGTATAAGGATGTTCTTTGCAGCACTCTGCAGGCAGAAAAGCTAGAAACAATGAAAGACTGTAGCTGGGAAATGGTCGAATAAATGTCGCCAAATGCATGCTATACAATATCATGTAGCAATTGAAAAACAGACTTAATCACTGGCCACTTAGTTGGAGAGATTTCCATGAGTTACTCCTAAGTGAGGAAAGAAAAATGTTGAGAAGGCGATATAATAAGAACAATAGACAAAATGCTATGCGGGTATAGACAATTTTATATGATTATATCATTAATATGAGTTACCTATAGGTAGGAGGAAGAAGGAGGAAGTTGGAGTAAAGATGGGAGAAGAGACAGGAAAAAAGAAAAAAAACTATTCTTACAGAAAACTTGGACAAGTGTTTAAGTAAAACTCTGTGAATGGGTAGTATAAGAAGCAAGAAGGAGACATGCCACCCAAATATGGTGGGAGAAGCCCAGTTCAGAACTGGCCCCAAACAATTCCCCTAAGTCACATTGTTTAAAGGTTACCTGTATTGGAAACTGATATCAGATTTCATTTCCTATCTTATATATTTAGTTGTATATAAGATAACATAATAGACATCATAAGGTTCTCATTTAAAACAAATTAACAAAAATAAAATCTTATGGGATAAAATTAGAGTGACCAAGCAATATCATTTCAAAACCACCAAGCCAATCTTACTTACTTTTTTAAAATGGAGCAGAAAGAGATGACCACATTTTCCTTTAAGTTACATTAGAAAATATAATCAGAGCACACAACATAACATTTAAGGTTCTTGTAACTTGGCCTTGACCCTGATTTCCTTCACTGACTTGGCCAAGTAGTTAGTGTGCATTTACAGAACTTGAAGAATTTGAAGGTGTGTATATCAGGAAATTTATTGAGTATATTATATGGACTTACCTAGATTAGAAGTTATCCCTATGTGCCTTTCCATGGGATTAGTCATATTTCTCTGACTTACTCTTCCAGCCATTCTTATCTCTCTTTTTCCTGGCTCAGAAATTCCTCCATGCAAGAGTGTGCTTAGTTTTGTAAAAAAGCTGCCAAAGTATCTTGCAAGTGACTGTACCATTTTGCATTCCCACCAACAATGAATGAGAGTTCCCATTGTTCCACATCCTCACCGGCATTTGAAGTTCTCAGTGCTCTCGCTTATGGCCATTCTAATATGTGTGTAGTGGTGTCTCATTGTTGTTTTAATTTGCAATTCCCTAATGACATATGATGTAGAACATCTTTGCATATGCTTATGTGCTATCTGTATATCTTCTTTGGTGAGGCATCTGTTCAGGTCTTTGGCCCATTTTTTTTTAATTGAGTTGTTTGTTTTCTTATTGTTGAATTTTAAATACTCTTTGTATATTTTGAATAACAGTCTTTTAGCAGATATGTCTTTTGCAAACATTTTCTCCCAGTCTGTGGCTTGCCTTCTGATTTTCTTGAAATTGTCTTTTGCAGAACATTTTTTTTTTATTCTCATGAAGTCCAGCTTAACAATTACTTCTTTCTTGGATTGTGCCTTTGGTGTTATATCTAAAACATTATTGCCATAGTCAAGACAATCTAGGTTTTCTCCAGTGTTATTCTCTAGGGGTTTTATAGTTTCACTTATTACATTTAGGTCTATGATCCATTTTGATTTAGTTTTTGTGAAGAGTGTAATGTCTGTGACTAGATTTTTTTTTTTTTTTGCATATTGATGTCCAGTTGTTCCAGCACCATTTGTTGAAAAAACTACCTTTACCTCATTGTATTGCCTTTGCTCCTTTGTCAAAAATCACTTGACTATATTTATATGGGTCTATTTCTGGGCTCTCTCTTCCGTTCCATTGATCTGTTACCTATTCCTTCACCGCACCACACTGTCTTCATTACTGTAGCTTTATAGTTAAGTCCTGAAGTCAGATGGTGTCAGTCCTCCAACTTTGTTCTTCTCCTTTAGTATTGAGTTGGCTATTCTGGGTCTCTTGCCTCTCCACATAAACTTTAGAATCAGTTTGTTGACGCCCACAGTACAACTTGGCAGTTTCTGATTTGGATTGTGTTGAATCTATAGATCAAATTGGGAAGAACTGACATCTTGACAATATTGAGTCTTCCTATTCAGGAACATGAAATATTTCTCCACTTATTTAGTTCTTCTTCAGTATTTTAAATCAGAGTTTTGTAGTTTTCTTCATATAGATCTTGCACACATTTTATTATATTTATATCTAAGAATTTCATTTCATGAGGTGTTAATATAAATGGTAGTGTGTTTTTTATTTTTAATTCCACTTGTTCGTTGCTGATATATAGTAAAGTGATTGACTTTTCTATATTAAACTTGTATCTTGCAAATTTGTTGTAATTACTTACTAGTTCCAGCGGGGTTGTTTCATTTGTTTGTTTATTCCTTAAGATCTTCTACATAGAGAATCATGTCAGCTGCAGACAAAGACAGTTTTATTTCTTCCTTCCCAATCTGTATACCTTTAATTTCCTTTTCTTGTCATATTGTATTAACTAAGACTTCCTTCCAGTACAATGTTGAAAAGCAGTGCTTAGAGGGAACTTCTTTGCCTTATTCCTGATTTTAGCGGAAAAGCTTCAAGTTTCCCATTAAATTATATTAGTTTAAGTATAATGTTAGCTGTAGGTTTTCAAAATATATTTTGCTTATGAATTTGAGGAAGTTTTCTTCTATTCCTAATTTGCTGAGAGTTTTTATCATGAATGGTGTTGAATTTTGTCAAATGCTTTTTCTGCATCTTCTGATATTTTCGTGTGATTTTTCTTCTTTGGCTTGTTGATGGAATGGATTGCATAAATTATTTTCAAATGTTGAACCAGCCTTACATATCTGGGATAAATCCTACTTGGTCATGGTGTATAATTATTTTTATACATTGTTGCATTCTATTTCATTCTCCTTCTATTTTCTGGAAGAGATTGTAGACAATTGGCATAATTTCTTCCTTAAATGTTTGGAAGAATTCATCCGTGAATGCATCTGGGCCTGGTGTTTTCTGTTTTGGAAGGTTAATTTGATAGATAAAGTCCTCTTCATATTGTCTATTTCTTCTTGTGTGAATTTTAGCAGATTGTGTCTTTCAAGAAATTGGTTTATTTCTTCTAAGTTATCACATTTGTGGACATAGAGTTGTTCATAATATTCCTTTATTATCATTTAAATGTTCATTGGATCTGTGGGCAATGTCCTCTTTTTCATTTCTAATATTAGTAATTTGTATCTTCTCTCTGTTTCTCTCAGTTAGAGGTTTATTGATTTTACTGATCTTTTTTAAAAAGACAGCTTTTGGTTTTGTTGATTTTCTGTTTCCTGTTTTCAATTTTATTGATTTCTGCTGTAATTTGTATTATCTCTTTTCTTCTACTTCCTCTGATTTAATGTGCTCCTTTTCCTAGTTTCCTAAAATGAGAGCTTAGGTTATTGATTTTAGACCTTTCTCCTTTTCTAACATAAGCATTCAATACTATAAATTTCTCTCTAAGCACCGCTTTCACTGCATCCATAAATTTTAAGTTGTCTTTTTATTTTCAATTACCTCAAAATATTTTTAAATTTCTCTTGAGATTTCTTCTTTGACCTGTGTTATTTAGAAGTTTGTTGCTTAATCTGCAATAATTTTGGGATTTTTCAGCTACATTTCCGTTATTGATTTCTAGTTTAATTCCACTGTGTTCTGAGAGCAGACATTGCATGATTTCCATTATTTCAAATGTGTTAAAGTGTGTTTTATGGCCCAGAATGTGGTCTATCTTGGTGAATATTCCATGTGAGCTTGAGAAGAATGTATAATCTGTTGTCATGTGATGAAATAGCCTATAGAAGTCAATTATATCCAGTTTATTTATAATGTTATGTAGTTAAACTATGTTCTTACTGATCTTCTACCTGCTAGATCTGTCCATTTCTGATAGAGGGGTGTTAAAGTCTCCATCTATAATACTGGATTCACCTATTTCTTCTTGCAGTTCTATCAGTTTTTGCCTCATGAATTTTACACTCTATTGTTAGGAACATACACATTTAGGACTGTTATGTATTCTTGGGGTATTCATCCCTTCATCATTGTGTAATATTCCTCATTATCCCCGTATCTGTTCCTTGCTCTGATGTCTGCTCTGCCTGAAATTAATATAGGTACTCTCACTTTTGTTTGATTCGTGTTGGCATAATATAATACATAACGTTTAAAAAACATTTTATTGTTACATAGTATTTGTACATATTTACAGTATATATGTATTTATGATTTCTATGTCTTGGGAACATTTCAAGTCCTCTCTTCTAGCTATTTTTGAAAAATACCATACATTGTAGTTAACTATAGTCACCCTACTCTGTAATCAAACATTAGAACTTATTATTTCTATCTACCTATATGTTTGTACTCATTAACAAACCTTTCTTCATCACTGCCCCGACCACCACAACACACACCCTTCCCAGCCTCTGGTAACTATCATTTTTCTCTCTACCTTCTTTAGATCTCACATATGAATGAGGACATGCAATATTTGTCTTTCTGTGGCTGGCTTATTTCGCTTAACAAAATGACCTCCATCTATGTTGCAACAAATGACAGGATTTCATTCATTTTATGGCTAAACAATATTCCCTTGTGTGTATATATGTGTATATATTTTCTTTATCCTTTCATCCACTGAAGGATACTTAGGCTGATTCCATATTTTTGCTATTGTGAATAGTGTTGCAGTAAACATGGGGTGCAGGTATCCTTTTGACACAATGATTTCCTCTTTTAAAAAAGTATCTAGTAGTACGATTGCTGAATCATATGGTACTTCTACTTTAGTTTTTTCAGAACTCTCCATATTGATGGCTGTACTAATTTACATTTCCACTAGCAATTAATAAGTGTTCCCTTTTCTCAGCATCTTTGACAGCATCTGTTATTTCTGTCTTTTTGATAATAGCCATTCTAACTGGGGTAAGATGATATTTTACTGTGGTTTTGATTTGCATTTCCCTAATGATTACTGATGTTGAGCATTTTTTTCATATTCCTGCTGGCCATTTGCAAGTCTTCTTTTGCGAAATGTCTGTTCAGATCCTTTGCCCACTTTATAATGGAACTATTTGGTGTTTTTGCTGTTGAGCTGCTTGAGTTCCTTGTATATTCTAGATATTAGTCCCTTGTTGGATGAATATTTTCTCCCATTCAACAGGTTGTCTTCAGTCTGTTGATTGTTTCCTTTGCAGAAAGGTAAAACCTCTGCAAAAAACATAGTCCCATTTGTCTATTTTGGTGTTTGTTGCCTGTGCTTTTGAGGTCTCAGCCATAAAACCTTTGCCTAGCCCAATGTCTTGGAGTGTTCCCCATGTTAGTAGATATGTAGTTTGGGGTCTTACATTTACGTCTTTAATCCATCTGGAGTTGATTTTTGTACATGTGAGAGACAGGAGTCTAGTTTCACTCTTCTGCATATAAATACCCAGTTTTACCAGCACTACTTATGGAAGAGGTTGTCATTTCTCCAATGTATGTTCTTGGAGTCTTTGTCAAAAATCAATTGGCTGTAAATACATGGATTTATTTCTGGGTTCTCTATTCTGCTCTATTGGTCTCTGTGTGTGTTTCTATACCAATACCATGCTGTTTTGGTTATCATAGCCTTGCAATATATTGAAGTCAGGCAGGGTGATGCCTCTGGCTTTGTTCTTTTGCTCAAGATTGCTTTGGATCTCTTTTTGTTCCATACTAATTTTACAGTTGTTTTTTTCTATTTCCATGAAAAATGTCATTGGTGTTTTCATACAAATTGCATTGAATCTGTAGATTGCTTTGGGCAGCACAATCATTTTAACATTACTAGCTTTTTGATCCATGAGCATGGGATATCTTTCCATCTGTTTGTGTTCTCTTTAATTTCTTTCATCAGGTGTTTTGAATCTTCCTTGAAGAGATCTTTCATACCCTTGGTTAAATGTGTTCCTAGGTATATTTTTTCTGTAGCAATCATAAATGGGATTGCTTTCTTGGTTTCTTTCTCAGATAGTTTTTTTAATTGGTGTATAGAAATGCTACTGATTTTTGTATATTTATTTTGTATCCTGAAACTTTACTGAGTTGTTTATCAGATCTAAGAATATTTTGGTGAAGTCTTTAGGTTTTTCTAAATATAAAATCATGTCATCTGAAAGAGAGAAAATTTGACTTCCTCTTTTCCGATTTGGAAGGGCTAGGACTTCCAGCTGTATGTTAAATAAAAGTGGTGAAAGTGGGAATTTTTATCTTGCTCCAGTTCTTTTAGCTTTTCCCCATTTAGTATGATGTCAGCTGTGGGTTTTTCACGTATGGCCTTTATTATGTTGAGGTAAGTTCCTTTTACGCTTAGTTTGTTGAGAATTTTTATCATAGAGAGATGTGAAATTTTATCAAATGCTTTTCTGTATCTGTTGAAATGATCATATGGTATTTCTTCTTCATTCTGTTGATGTGGTATGTCAAATTTATTTATTTGCATGTGTTGAACCATCCTTGCACCCCTGGGATAAATTACACTTGATCATAATGTAGTATCTTTTTGATATGTGGATTTGGTTTTCTCATGTTTTGTTGAGGATTTTTGCATCTGTGTTAATCAGGGATATTGGCCTGTAGTTTTCTTTCTTTTGGTGTGTCCATGTCTGGCTTCAGCATCAGAGTGATACTGGCCTCATAGAATGAGTCAGGGAGAATTCCCTTCTCTTTAATGCTTTGGAATAGTTTAAGGAGAATTGGTGTTATTTCTACTTTATAAGTTTGGAGGAATTCAGCAGTGAAGCCATGCAGTCCTAGACTTTACTTTGTTGGAAGAATGTTTATTACTGATTAATCTTGTTACTTGTTATCGGTCTGTTTGGGTTTTTTATTTCTTCCTGATTCAATCTTGGTAGGTTGTATGTGTCCAGGAATTTATTCATTTCATCTAGGTTTTCCATTATGTTAGTATATAATTGTTTAAAATAGTGTCTGATGATCTTTTACATGTCTATGATACCAGTTGTAATATCTCCTTTTTCATGTCTGATTTTGTTTATTTGGGTCTTCTGTCTTCTTTCCTTGGTTAGCAGTTTATCAATTTTGCTTATCCGTTCAAAACAGCAATTTTTTTTGTTTCATTGATCCTTTGTACTGTTTTTTCAGTCTCTATTTTGTTTAATTCTGCTCTAACATTTATTATTTCTTTTCTCATGCTAGTTTGGGGTTTTGGTTTGTCCTTCCTTTTCTAGTTCCCTAAGGTGCATCATTAGATTGTTTATTTGAAATCTTTCTACTTTTTTGATGTAGACATGTATTGCTATAAACATCCCTCACCACTGCTTTTGCTGTATTCTATAGGTTTGGGTATGTTGCATTTCCATTTTAATTTGTTTCAAGAAATTTTTTAATTTTCTTCTTAATGTTTAAATTGACCCAGTGGTCATTCAGGAGCATGCTCCTTAATTCCCATGTATTTGTACAGTTTCCAAAGTACCTCTTATTACTGATTTCTAGTTTTATTCCATTATGGTCTAAGATACTTTATATTATTTCAATTTTTAAAAATTTGTTGAGACTTTTTTGTGGCCTAATATGAGGTCTGTCTTAAAAATTGTTCCACGTAATACTATGCAGCCATAAAAAAGGATGAGTTCATGTCCTTTGTAGGTACATGGATGGAGCTGGAAACCATCATTCTGAGCAAACTATCACAAGGACAGAAAACCAAACACCACATGTTCTCACTCATAAGTGGGAATTGAACAATGAGAACACTTGGACACAGGATGGGGAACATCACACACCGGGGCCTGTCATGGGGTGGCGGGAGGGGGGAGGGATAGCATTAGGAGATATACCTAATGTAAATGATGAGTTAATGGGTGCAGCACACCAACATGGCACATGTATACATATTTAACAAAACTGCACGTTGTGCACATGTACCCTAGAACTTATAGTTTAAAAAAAAAAAAGAACTAATTCAGCAGATTGACTTTTTTGGAAAAAAATTGTTCCATGTATATTTGGTAGCTGTTTAATAACATTTTCTATAAATGTCTGTTAGGTCAATTTGGTCTACAATGCAGCTTAAATCTAATGTTCCTTTGTTAATTTTCTGTCTAGATGATCTGCCTTATGCTGAGAGTGGGATGTTGAAGTTTCCAACTGTTAGTGTTGGAGTATGTCTTTTGCTTTAGACTGAGTAATATTTGGTTTACATATCTGGGTGCTCCAATGTTGGATGCATATATATTTAGAATTTTTATATCTTATCGGTGAACTGATCTTTTTATCATTATGTAATGACCTTTGTTTCAGTTTACAGTTTTTGGCTTAAAGTCTGTTTTATTTGATATAACTGCTCCTGCTTGCATTAGGTTTCAATGTGTGTGGAATATCTTTTCCCATCCCTTTACCTTCAGCCTATATGTGTCTTTATAGGTGAAGTAAATTTCTTGTAGGTAGCATATAGTTAAGTCATTTTTCTTTATTCATTTAGTCAGTCTATACATATATATGTGTATATATACACACATATATATATACATACACACACACACACATATATATAATATATATATAATATATATATTTTTTTGAGACAGAGTCTCACTCTGTCACCCGGGCTGGAGTGCAGTGGCACAATCTCGGCTCACTGCAACCTCTGCCTCCTAGGTTCAAGCGATTCTCATGCCTCAGCCTCCCGAGTAGCTGGAATCACAGGCACACACCACTATGCCTGGCTAAGTTTTGTATTTTTAGTAGAGATAGGGTTTCACCATATTAGCCAGGCTGGTCTCAAACTGCTAACCTCAAGTGATCCACCCACCTCAGCCTCTCAAAGTGCTGAGATTACAGGCGTGAGCCACTGTGCCTGGCCCAGTCTATATCTTTTAAGTTGGAAATTTTAATTTGTTTAAGTTTGAGGCTATTACTGATATGTGAAGACTTATTCCTATCACTTTGTTAACTGTTTCCTGGTTGTTTTGTATGTTTTTTTTCCTTTTTTCTTTCCTATTGTTTATCTTTGCAGTTGGGTTATTTTCTGTACTGGTAACATTTAAATATTTTCTCTTCCTCATCTGCATACTAGCTCTATCAGTAAGTTATATATTTTCATGATGGTAGATATTGTTATTCTACTTCCAGATACAGGACTCCCTTAAGCATTTTTTGTAGGCCATGGTCTAGTGGTGATGAATTCCTTCAGCTTTTGCTTGTCTGGGAAATACGTTATTTCTCCTTCGTTTATTAAGGACAACTTTGATGAGTACAGTATTCTGGACTGACGAGTTTTTTTTCAGCCCTTTATTATATCATTTCGTTTTCTGCAGACTCATAAAGTTCCTGCTGAGAAATTGCTGTTAATATGAGGGAAGTTCCCTTGCATGTGACTAGATGCTTTTGCTGTTTTTAGAATTCTGTCTTTGACTTTTGACAGTTTAACTATAATGTGGATGGAGACAACCTTTTGGGGATCTCTGGGATTCCTATACCTGAAAGTCTATTCCTGCACCTCGATGTCTAGACCTATTGTCTAGACCTATTGCTAAGTGTTCAGCTATTATTTTGTTAAATAGATTTTCTGTAACTTTGGCCTTCTTTTCATTTTCCAGAACACTCAACATTTGAACATTTGGTCACTTTGTGGTATCCTACATGTCATATAAGCTTTGTTCATTCTATTCTATTCTATTCTATTTATTTATTTATTTATTTTTGTCTAACTGGATTACTTCAAAATACCTGTCTTCAAGTTCTGAAATTCTTTCTTCTTCTTGATCTTGCCTATTGTTGAAATTCTCCATTGTATTTTTTACTTCATTCATTGACTTACTCAGTTCCAGGATTTCTGTTTGATTCTTTTTTGTGATAGTTATCTCTAGTAAATTTCTCATTCACATACTGAATTGTTTTTCTGATTTCTTTATTTTGTTTACTGTGTTTTCTTGTATCTCACTGACCTTCTTTAATATCAATTTTTAAAATTCTTTTTCAGGCATTCCATAAATTTCTTTTGCATTGGAATCTACTGCGGAGGAATTATTGTGTTCTTTTGGAAGTGTCATATTTCCTTGATTTTTCATGTTTCTCATGTCCTTAAGTTGATATCTATGCATCAAGTGTAACAAAAATTTCTTCCAATTTTTTGAATTGGCTTTTATATGAGAAGATTTTTTTCTCAAGATGTATCTATGGTGTTGATTGGGTAAAGATCTTTACCTTTGACTCTGGATGTGCGCAGTAGCATAGTCTCTGTATGATTTATTTGGCTGTAAACAGTGTCAGCAGTGTCTGTGATTTCCTCAGTGTGTTTGGCTGCAATTGTTAGTGGAGGCTGTGATGAGGCTTTGCTGGGGATGGGGATGCCAGGTGGGCCTGTCCTCTGACCCTAGTGCTGACAGTGGTGGGCTGTATTAGTCGGTTCTCACACTGCTATAAAGAACTACCTAAGACTGGGTAATTCACAAATAAAAGAGGTTTAATTCACAATTCCACTGGCTGTACAGGAAGCATGGCTGAGGAGGCCTTAGGAAACTTACAACCATGACAGAAGGTGAAGAGGAGGGAGTCATGTCTTACATGGCTGGAGCAGGAGGAGGAGAGACAGTGAAGAGGGAGATGCTATACACTTTCTGACTACCATATAGTGTGGGAACTCTATCATGAGAAAAGCAAGGAGGAAATCTGCTCCCATGATTCAATCACCTCCCACCAGATCCCTCCTCCAGCACTGGGAATTAAAAATCGACATGAGATTCGGATGGTGACAGAGAGCCAAACCACATCAAGGGCTGATTCTGTCTGTCTTTGGGGCCCCAGGTGGCAAATGTGGGCAGCAGTGTCAGTGGGTCCAGGTAGGTCAATCCTTGGACCTCCAGATGCCAGCAGTGACAGCAGTGGGCCAGGAAGGTGGGCAGATGTTTGGGCCCCTGGGCAACATATATGGTGTGGGCGATGAGAGTACCCAGAAGGTGGCCCAGTGGTGGACCTACCTTCGGACTCCCAGGCAGCACACACTGGTGGTGGTGGCTGCAGCAGGCTGGCTATTCCAGGACCCAGGCCCCCAGGTGGCACATCCAGGAAGTTTTCAGAAGTGGTGATAGCTGCAGGCTGGGTGGGCTTGTCCTCAGGCCCCTTGGAGGAGTGCATAGCTGCCAATCATCATAGACGGGGTGGGGTAATCCCCAGGCCCCTGGGCAGCATACTTAGGCAGTGGGGTTGGGTACCAGGTTGAGCGGGCCTGTCCTCAGGCCCTTCAGTGATGTTCATGGGCACACACTGTGGCAGGAAAGGTGGCTATCTCCAGGCTCCTGGGTGGCATGCTCAGGGGGAGGGATCAGTGGCAGCAGTGGGCAGGAAAGCATTTCCAGAGTGTGTGAAAGTATACAGCATCCATGCTGCTGGGTGGCAGGGTTGTTGTCAGTGGCAGCTGTCCCAGGGAGGTGACTCTCAGTCTCTGGGGAATGTGTACTTTGGCCCCCGGCAGGGTGTTGGCAGTAGCAGCAGCAGCAGTAGCAGGCCAGGATTGTTGTCCCTCAGGGCATGTGCAAGTGTGCAGTGGTCTTGCTGCTGAAGGGGGTGGAATTTCTGTTGGTGGCAGCAGGTCCAGGCAGGTGTATCTCAGTCTCTGAGGACCACACTTCGTCCCAGTGGCAGTGGCAGCAGTGGCTACAGGTGGGGAGAGCCTGTCCTTAGGGTGCATGCATAGGCACCCTGCCCTGCTGCTAGAATGGATGAGGTTGCTCTCAGTGGCAGCAAGCAGAGTGACTTTCTTGTGCTGGGGAGTGCATGCTTTGGTTCCCTTTGTCCCAGGGATAACCTCTCCAATGCACTATACCATCCATTCCCTGGGGTATAGTACACTGTGTAAGCTGGAGTGCTGAGGACCCTGCTGCACTGCTGGGTCCAAACAACATTGTCCACTTCAGCCCTCTGGGTGGATGTTGGGGGATGTCACTGGGGATTCAGAGACATGAAGTTACAGAGGCTCTTGGGCCCCAGGGCAGTATGCAGTCTTGTGGGGGCTGGGCTTTCAAAATGGTGTGTGCTGCAGCTGCTTGAGTCTCAGAGGATGTATGGGACCCAGCATGAGCTTCCATTCTGGAGCAATGCCATTACACAGACTCCAGACTGCTTCTGATATTAGTCTCAGGGCCCACAAGGGTCACAGGGCTCTCCCATGGCTAGGATTACAGGAATGTGGGCTGCTGGAGATCTCTCACTTACCCTTTCCCACATGGGGCAACCTCACGGGGCTCACAGGCAATCCTGGCTAAACTGGCTGCCTCATTTCCCTTTCTTTCCATGCTTCAGATGTTTCCTGTCACTTTTCTTCTGAATTCCAGTGTTCTATCTTAGATGCTCCATTTGAAGGGCTATATTGGTTCTTTGTGGAGAAGGTGAGTACCACATATCTGTAGTCAGCCATCTTGAAGCCTCCTTTAAAGTGGGTTTCTTATACACAACGTATTATTGGATCTTGAATTTTTTTTGTTTTGTTTCACTTTGACACTCTCTTTCTTTTAATTGGTGTATTTACAGCTTTGACATTTAAAGTGATTATAATATAGTTCAATTAATATCTACTATATTTGTTTACTATTTTCCCCACCTTACCTGCCACAGTGTGTGCCTGTGTGTTCCGTATGTTGCCTTTCTATATGTTGCCTTTCTTCTTTGTTCCTATTTTAGTCTTTCACACTTTTTCTGCCTTTTCTGGCTTTAATTGAGCATTTTATATGATTCAGTTTTCTTTCCTTTCTTAGCATATTAGTTATACTTCTGGTTTTACATTTTTTTAGTGGGTGACCTGGAGTTTTCAATGTATGTTTACAACTAATCTAAATCCACTTTCAAATAACACTATACCACTTCACAGGTAGTATAAGTACCTTATAACAATAAAATAATCCTAATTCCTCCCTTCAATCCTTTGTATCATTTCTGTCATTCATTTCACTTATATATAAGTACATGCAAGCATATATATATTCATGTAAATAAATACATAAGATATATACATAAGCACATATAATTAAATGCATTGTTATTATTATTTTGAACAAACTATCTGTTAGAACAATTAAAAATAAGAAAAATAAGTTTTTATTTTGCTTTCATTTATTTTATTCTTTCATGCTCCTTTTGTTATGTAGATGAAGTTTCTGACCTATATTATTTTTCTTCTCTCTAAATAACTTCTTTGAACATTTTTTGCAAAGCAGATCTACTGGCAACAATTTTTTTTCAAATTTTGTTTGTCTGAGAAAGTATTCTTCTTCACTTATGAAGGATAATTTCTTAAGGTACAGAATTCTAGGTTGCTGGTTTTTCCTCTCAACATTTTAAATACTTCATGCCACTCTCCTCTTGCTTGCATGGTTTTTGGATGTAATACTTAATTTTGTTACTCTCTGGATGTGTTAATTTCCCCCCTCTGGCTTCTTTCAGGATTTTTTCTTTGTCTTTGATGTTTGCAGTTTGAAAATGATATGCCTTGATGCTGGTTTTTTGTGGGTTTTTTTGTTTTTGTTTTTGTTTTGGCATTTATCTTGCTTAGTGTTCTCTGAGCTTCCTAGATCTGTGGTTTGATGTCTGCAATAATTTAGGGAAATTCTCAGTCATTATTTCTGCAAATATTGCTTCTGTTCCTTTCTTTCTTCTCCTTTTTATTTCCCCATTATATGTTTGTTACATCTTTTATAGCCATCCGACAGTTCTTGGATATCCTGCTCTGGGGTTTTTTGGTCTTTTTTCTCTTGACTTTTTATCTTTGGAAGTTTCTATCATCATATCCTTAAGTTCAGAGATTATTTCCTCAGCCATGTCCAGTATAGCAATAATCCCATCAAAAGCATTCTTCATTTCTGTCACAGTGTTTTTAATCTCCAGCATTTATTTTGTATTCTTTCTTAGAATTTCCATCTCTCTGTTTACATTATCCATCTGTTCTTGTATGTTGTTGACTTTATCCATTAAAATTCTTAGCCTATTAATTATAGTTTTAAAAAATTCCTAGTCTGGTAATTGTAAAATTCCTGTCATATCTGACTCTGATTCTGATGTATCTTCTTTTTCCTTGAACTGTGTTTTTGCCTTTTAGTTTGCCTTATAATTTTTTTTTGAAAAGTAGACGAGATGTGCTGGGTAAAAGAAACTGTAGTCAACAGGCCTTTAGTAATGTAGTGGCAAGGTGTGGGGAGAGGGGAAGCATCCTATAGGCCTGTAATTAGGTCTCAATTCTTTGGTGAGGCTGTGTCCCTGGACTGTGAAGTTCACCAGTGCTTCTCAGGATTTTTTCCACCTTGGGTGGGACAGAATAGCTACAGAAGTCTGGAGTTGGGTGTTTACCTTCTCCCAGGTTTGCTAGGCTCTGATAAAAACCTCAGCAGGTTAGGCTCTGGTAAAATTGTTTCTCTGAAGGACAGGTCTTATTAAGAAGAACATGTATACATATACACCATAAAATATAAACATATATCAGAAGATAGGAACATATAAAATAGGAACAAATATATCACAAAATGGGAACATTTATACCTTCTCTCCAAAAGGACAATGGAACTTTTCTCTGATATTCACTGTGAGAACCTGGTAAGACTCCTGGAGGTAAAATTCAAAAAACCATGTGGCCCACCTATGACTGGACCCCCCTGGAGCTTTTAACTTACAGACTTGTCCTCACTCAGCCTCCAACAATTCATCAGTTGCAGTTCAGGTCTCCTTACCCTGGCACTGGTTCTTGTGGAAGTTTCTGCTTGTGAGTTTCTGCTCTGGTAAAGCTCTGATTCTCTATATCTGCCTGTCTGTCTTTCCAATTTTTAGGGCAGTGGTTTGTCCTGTGACCTCATTTCTCTGACAGATTTTGAGTTGCTGATTTTTCCGTTTGTTTAGCTTTTTACTTGTTATTAGGACAGGGTGGCGACTTCTAAGTTTCTTGCATGCTGGACTAGAAACTAGAAGTCCCCTACTGTGCTATTTTGATTTAAGTGAAAACTAATGTCCCCAAGGCAGCCCTTAATGAGGACTTTAATGATCTCATACATTTTCCACCTAAATAAACACATTTGGTGTGATTTTCTTAACTCCTAATACTCCCCTTCCCTTTCTCTTGGAACTACCTCTGCTTCACCCAGCATAGGCTGCTGGCAGCCATGTTTATACCATATGACTCTGTACCTGTCCCTAGGACAATTAGATTTTCTCTGATCAGCATTGAGAAAGCCAGTAAATTTGTCTCTGCCTGTAGCTAAAGTTGGGAGCCATATTCTCTCCCCAGAGTGAAAGAAACAGAGTTTGTCTCCAATGACAAAGACTAAAACAGAGATAAAGGGTGGAATGAAAGAGAGTCTAGACGCTTTCCAGCTCTTAGTTTCAGTTTTTCTGAAGTGGCCACATTTCCAGTTTGGGGTTCCATGAGACAACCCTAGATTTTGTTGTAATAAAGTCACACTTTTCTGGTTATGCTCATTCAAATGGATTTCTGTTCCTCATAACCAAAAGGCTCCTACTAAATTTACCAATCCATGAAAAGCAAGAGCAGGAGTTCTCCAAAAGTCCTTTACTGGGCAAAGGATCTGATTACACAATCGTCCTCATGCTTTCTTTCCTAAGCAATTCAGCAGGGAGGGGGAAGAAGAAATGCCTGGCAGACTCCTTCCTGATATCTTAGCTCTACTGGATAAACCTCACATATATCCCTGCAACCTTGTCATGCTTCAGTTTTTTCCAACTGTGCAAAAAGATAATGTTTGCTGAACCTTCTCCACACAAGTGATATGAGGCTTAAGTAATAAATGCTTGCTATGCATGTTGAATTTCTCAGATTAAATAAAGACAAATGATACCCAGTATTACTTGAAAATTTACCACTCAGGGAAATATATTTTCCAGTGACACTACCTTGAGAACTTGGAATATTCTGTTACATATTTTACTTAAATATAAACCAAAAAGCTGAGACTATCTGTGTGACCCTTTGACCAACAATTTCCCCACTTACAATATCAAGATTTGACACTTGCAATAAATTTTGAATTACCCATGATAATATCAGCAAGGGAAAATGAATTAGTAAAATTTACATACTTTCCAGAGTCTTTGTTTCAGGCAGAATCATTGTCCTCCTCTCTAGCAAATGCTAGTTTCTCCCAGGGAAAGCAGGAAAGGTGCCAACTTTTCCACTTTAAGAGAACAGAGCAGCTGGGGTAGGAACAACCATAAGTACAAAAAGCCCATAGCAAGTCATAGAAAAATCACTGTCCTATAGTTTCACCACCTAGGGGTCTAAGAATTGACAAGGAGAAAAGCCTGAATAGACTTGAAATGAGAAAGACAATCAGCAGAAACTGAATTACATGAAGCTAATGAGACTTAAGCTTCAGGGCCCCTTGCTCGTGTAAATCCCTGTGACAGCTGAGAAATACTGGGAGTGATAGAGGGCTCTGGAGAGAGGGAAAGCCAGGTAGTGATCGGGAACCATTTATAGGTGTTTCCGGTCAATTGCCTATAAAGGTTTCAGAAGAAAGGATCATAGAGCTCCTGGACACAGTAATTTGTTATGATTTCTTTTTTTTTTTTTTTTTTTTTTTTTTTTTTTTGAGACGGAGTCTCGCTCTGTCGCCCAGGCCGGACTGCGGACTGCAGTGGCGCAATCTCGGCTCACTGCAAGCTCCGCTTCCCGGGTTCACGCATGATTTCTTTTTATCTAAGAAAATACTATGTACTTAATTTTTCATTTGTAATTTCATGTCATTTTTTCTGAAGAAGGTACCCTAAATTCTAAATTGTATAAACCTCAGACCTCACATTTCTGTATGTGCAATGATGATCAGGACTGTCCCTAAACAAAATAGTAATGTTCTTTCTCCATCCCTCCCACCTGTCCCCTTTTCATCACCTTATTCTGATTCCTACCTTCTCGGACCTTGCCCAGGTCAAGCTCAGCCTTGTTGCTACAGTTACACCTCATTATTCTGATTTGCCCTTTCTGCTTCTCATCAAAACCAACGTATCCGTCTAGTTCTCTTAGGACCATGCTGACCCACTTACATCTTCCCAAGGTGACAATTAGTTGTCTAACAGACTAGTGCTCTACCAAGGCATTGCAGCCTAGAAATGGGTTGGAATAATGGGCTATACTAGAAGATGGAGTCTTAATTCAGTTAATGAATTTTGGTTGAATTAAAGAAAAATAAGACTTTCATTGTTTATTTAATATTACAAAAGTCATATTTAATTAAGAAAGTTTAGAAAATACTGAAAAGCCCAAAGAAGATGATCAAATTCACTCTGAAAGAAAAAAGCACTTATAATTCCATCACCATTTGCTAATCCCCAGTAATATTTCTTCTGGGCTATTTTTTTTCCTAAGCATATATCAATGTATAATATATGATTACTGTAAAAAATGGAATTAGAATAAAATAATATTTTGGAGCCTAATTTTCTCACTTAATCTACTGTGAACATTTTCTCCTATCATTAAATATGTATTTACAGGATCATTTTAAGTGGTTGTATAACACTCTATTACATCAAATTTTTTATAAATGCCAGAGAGGAAATATTATAATCTTTGCCAGCCATATAGTCTCTGTCAAAATAACTCAACTCTACCATTATAGCATGAAAGAAACGACAGACAATATGTAAGGAATAAATGTGGCAATACCTCAATAAGCTTTATCAACAACATCATTTGAGTTTCATATAATTTTCATGTGTCATGAACTATTATATTCTTTTGGATTTTTTATTCAACCATTTAAAAGGTAAAAACTACTCAGTTCATGAGTGGTACGAAGCTGTGGACCATAGTTTGCCAACCCTATATTACATGAATATTCCCTAATTTATTCCTCAATCTCATATTGTGGTAGATTTAAATTGTTTCCATGTTTCCTATTATACAAAATACAGTGATGAACAAACTTACAGCAAAACATCTGGACCATTGGTGATCATTAAAGTTTGAATCTCTGTTGATAGATTTTTCCTATGGGTATGTAATGGGTTGTTGGCTCAGAGGGCTCTTTGGTGTCCCTCAGATTGCTCCTCGTTGGTTATTACCTACTTCTCCTTGGAGTAGAGTTGACTCTAGTGGTTGTCAGTTATGACCCTTGTTTTTTCCTCTCTAAGAAAAATGCATAAAGTGGCAATGACATAACACAAAGATATCCACCTATCTGTGTTATATACCCAATGTTTCCCAAACATATAGTCCCAGGACATGGGAGAACCCAGGGAATGTGTCCAGAAACCTAGAATGAGCTCAGAAATCTCCTGACCCCTTTTCAGGATTCTAGACCAAGATCATCAGTGTAAAACAGCTGGGACATCGTTGTGGAACACTGAACTGGGAATTTAAAAGCAAGTGGGAAAAGTAGAGAGAGACTTTAAAATATTATGCTGTAGTAATAGGGGACTAGCATGGTTAAAATCAACCCTCTGATTGAAAACAGTTTAAAAATCTGGGGGATTTTTTTAAGAGAGCGAGAACTTCCAGAGTATGACTTGCAGGACAAAAATCTCAAATAAAAAGGAAAGTCCAGAGAGGTATACCCAATATATGGCTCCACTTTCCTTATTGACACATATGTTATTTGAAAGTGGTTGAGAAACAAGAAGCTGGGCATAAAGCAGCAAGTGAGAGGCTGAGAAACTGAGCAGGACTTTGGTCAGACTCCTTGGGCTGGTAGGACAAAAATAAAAGTTCAGAGTCTGCCAAGATCAAGGAGCCCTGGTGAACACCTGAGGCTTTCATTTGGAATACTGAAGAGCTCCTAGAAGTAAAGCTGAAATAAGACTGATGAAATTTTATGAAAACCAACACTAGTCTTTTAATCAGATATGCTCCTTGCTTGGATTAAGTGGTATGCCCCAACGTAAGTGCCTGCCAGAGTGAAAATTTTGCTATTCATCTGAACAGAAAACTGACAGTACCCATAGCTTCCAATTCTCTTATAATTTTCATATAAAATGTCCAGTATTCAATCAAAAATAACCAGACATACAAAAAAGAAGAATTTTCTAAAATTCAAGAGAAAAAAAAGCAGAAAATAAAGTAAAAACAGACCCACAAGATATCTAGATATTGGTATCATCAGCCACTAATTTTAAAATACCAATGATTGATATATTCAAGAAACTAAATGACAAGGTAGAGAATTCGGCCAGAGAATTGAAAACCAGAAAGAAGAATTAAATGGAAATTTAGAACTGAAAAATAAAGTAAACGAAATAAAAATTCAATGAATGGTTTTAATAGTAACATACATACAGTTAAAAAGAGAATTGGTGAAATAGAATAAAGGGCAGAATATAATATTCAATTTGAAGCACAAAGATACAAAAAGATAGAATAAAAAACAAAAAAATGTATAAGAGAAATATGGGGCATGGTGAAAACATCCAATATAGAAATAATGGGGGTCCAAAAGAGAAACAATAATATAAGGAAGAGGTAATATTTGAAGAGAAAACGGATTCAAATTTTACAAAAACAAAGAGATCAGTCCACACATTAAAGAATTTCTATGAACTCCAAGTAGGAGTTAAACAAAAAACAAAACAAAACAAAAACTTCTAGGTATATTATAGTTAAATTGCTGCAAATAGAGATAAAGAAAAAATGCTAAAATAGCCAGATGAAGTGGTTTTAAATATATGTCTAAAATTTTTTAATACTTTTTTCTTTAAGACATGAAACTTACTTCCCTTCTCTTTTAGTATTTGTTGAATTGACTTCTAATAAAGACAATACAGGAAATGTGACAATGTGTCTCCTTTGAGATGAGGTTATGAAAATACTGTAGCTCCCATCTTGGGCATTCTCTTTCTGTCTGTCTTGGATAAACTAATCTGGGGGAAGCCAGTTTTCATGTCATATATAGGCTGTGGAGAGGTCCATGTGTTGAGGAACTGAAGCTTCCAGCCAACAGCCAGCCAAAAACGAGGTCTTCCAATACCACGTGAGTGAGCTTGGAAGCAGATTCTCTAGTCCCAGTCAAACTTTGAGATGACTAAAACCCTTACAGACATCTTGATGGTAACCTTGTGAAACAGGTTACAGAAGCACCTAACTAGTCATTCCCAGACTACTGACCATAAGAAACTATGTAAAATAATAAATACTTGTTTTTTAAGCTGATAAATTGTGGTATAATTTGTTATGCAGCAATGTATAATTGATACACCAGCCAAAAAACACATGTTACTTCAAGAGCAATAATAAAACCAACAGATAAATTTTCAATAGAGTAACAAAGCCAAAAGGAAATAGAATTATTATCTTCAAAATACTAAAATGAAACACTACAACCTAAACATCATACCTGATAAAAATATTCTTCCCAAATAAAGGTGAAATAAGTACTATTTGGACAAACTAAAACTGAGATAATTCATTAGCAGCAGTCCACACTAAAAGAAATACTAAATGGTAGAAAATAAGTGATCCAAAGTGGAAGCATAGAATGAAGAATGAAATGGATACATATTAATTAATATTGATGGTTTGAAACATAATAGTAATATCCTATGGAGTATAAAATAAGAACAGAATTAAAGTACATGTCAATAATGGCATAAAGGCAGGAGGGTGGTAAATATAGCTGAGGTATTCTAAAGTCTTGCATTGTCCCAAAAAGTGGGAAAAAATATTAATTTCTATTAGACTCTACTAAGTCAAGAATGCTTATAATCTTTAAGGACACCTCTAAAATAACAGTAAAATAATGTATAATTAACAAGTTAATGAGGCATAATAAAAAATGAAGTCATAATAATAAATAATTAAGCCCCACAAAAGAAGGAAAGGATAGTGAACAGAGAACAGGTAGGACAAATAGAAAATAAATAATAAGATAGTAGATTTAAACACAACACTATCAATAAGTATATTAAGTATGAATGCAATAAAAACTACAACTACAATTAAAATACATAGATTGCCATACTGAATAAAAACATAAAACTTGATTATACATCTTATATATAAAACACTGTACCCCAAAACTGAAATATAATCATTTTTGTCCAATGCACAGAAGACACATACCAAAATCAAATATATTCTGAGCCTCAAAGCAAGCCTCAATAAATTGCAAGGAAACAAAATTGTATTCAGTATATTGTGTGACCACAGTGGAATTAAGCTACAAATCAACAAGAAAAGATAAGAAAACCTCCGAATGTTTGGAACTAAGCAATGCATTTTCATGTAGCCTGTGTATCAAAGAACAAATCATAATAAAAATTAGATATTTTAATTGAATGATAATGAAAAATTACATAATTAGAGAATGCAACTAAAGAAATACATTAAAGAAAATTTCTAGTTTTAAGTGCATGTAGGAGAAAAGAATGAAAGCTGAAAATGAATAATCACAAAAATTTGGACAAGATAACAAATTAAATCCCCCCAAATAGAAAAGAACATAATAAAAAACAAAAATAATAAAATAAAAAACAAATATATAATATAAAAATGTACATTAGAGAATTTTTTGAGTAAAAAACTGATTTCTGAAAAGTGACAAATCCTCAGTGAGACTGATCAATAACAAAAGAGAGTAGAAAAAAATAATATTACAATGAAAAATGGGACATCAATATAGACTCTGCAGATACTACAAAAATAATAAAGGGATTATTTTGAGCAATTTTGTGGCAAATTTTTTTAAATTTAAAATAAATGGATAATTTTTAAAGCACAATTTACCAAAATTGAAATAGAAATGTAAAATCTGAATATGCCTGCATCCATTTAAAAAGGTATATCTACAATTTAATACCTTCCTACTCAAAAAATTCCAAACCTAGATTTCTTCATCAGGGAAGTTGTTCAAATAAGTGAAGAAGAAATTGAATTACTCTAACAACAACAACAACAACAACAACAACAAAAAAGGCAATACTTTCAATTTAACTTTCTGAGGCTGGCATAATCTTGCTACCAAAACCTGACAAGGACACTAAAGGAAAGGAATAGTATAAGCTAATTTTGCTAATGAATATTGATTTTAAATGCCTAAATGAAATATTAGCAAATGAAATTCAGTGTATATAAAAATCAGAGCACATCACAACCAAATTAAACTTATTCCAGGTATGCAAGGTTGTTATATAATTCAAAAACAAATTGCCATCGTCTGTTTTGTGTTCTATAAAGAAATACCTGAGGCTGGGTAATTTATCAAGAAAAGAGGTTTATTTGGCTCATAGTTCTCCAGGCTATACAAGAAGCATGGTACCTGCATTTGCTTCTGGTGAAGGCCTCAGGCTGTTTCCACCCATGGTGGAAGGTGAAGGGGAGTGGGCTTGTGCAGAGAGCACATGGTGAGAGAGGAAGCAAGAGAGAGTGGGGGAAGATGCCAGGCTCTTTTTAACAAACAGCTTTCATGGGAACTAATAGAATGAGAACTCACTCACCTCCACCCCATTAAGGGCATCAATATAGTCATGAGGGATCTGTCGCCATGACCCAAACACCACCCATTAGGCCCCCACTTCCAACATTGGAATAAAATTTCAACATGAGCTTTGTGGGAAACAAACATCCAAACTATAGCATTCTGTCCCTGGCCCCACCAAAACTCATGTTTTCCTGATATGCAAAATATAATTATTCTATCCCAATAGTTCCCCAAAGTCTTAACTTGTTGTCAACATCAACTCAAAAGTCCAAAGTCTCATCTCAGACTAAAGGAAAGTTCCTTACAGCTATGAGCCTGAAAAATCAAAAGCAAGTTATTTACTTCCAACATACAATTGTGGTACAGGCATTGGGTAAATATTCTTATTCCAAAAAGGAGAAATTGGCCAAAAGAAAGGGGTAACAGGCCCCATAAAAGTCTGAAACCCAGCAGGACACACATTAAACCTTAAAACTCCAAAATAATCTCCTTTGACTCCATGTTCCACATCCTGGGCACACTGGTGCAAGGGGAAAGCTCCCAAGGCCTAGGGCAGCCCTGCCACCATCACTTTATTGGGCACAGTCCACATGGCTGCTCTCATGGGTTGAAGCTTAAAATGCCTGCAGCCTTTCCAGGCTGAGGTTTCATGCTGCTGGTGGTTCTATGATTCTGGGGTCTCAGCAGCAGCCCTGCTCCCAAAGCTCCACTAGCATTGCCTTGGTGGGGACTCTCTGTCATGGCTCCATCCCTGCAGCAGGTTTCTGCCTGGGCACCTAGGCATTCCAATACAACCTCTGAAATCTAGGTGGAAGCTACCAAGCCCCCACGGCTCTTGTATTCTGGGTGCTTGCAGACTTACCACTACATGGATGCCACCAGGGCTTATGGCTTGCTTGCATCCTCTGGAGTGGCAGCCCAAGCAGTACCTGGGGCCATTTGAACCAAGGCTGCTCCAGCTGGGAATATATACCCAATGCCTGTACCACCATTGTGGTATCCAGGGAGCTGGGATGCAGGGAGTAGCAGTCCAATGTGGTGCAGGGCAGAGGTGTCCCAGGCATGTCCTCCAAAACAATTCAGTCCTACTAGGCCTCTGGGCCTGTGATGGGATGTGCAGCTGTGCTGATACATTTTACATTGCTATAAAGGAATACCTGAAGCTGATTAATTTATAAAGAAAAGAGGTTTATTTGGCTCACAGTTCTGCAGGCTGTGCAAGAAGCATGACACCAGCATCTGCTTCTGGTGAGGGGCTCAGGAAGCTTATAATCATGGAAGAAGGCAAAGGGAAGCAGGCACATGAAATAGTGAGAGAGAGAAAAGAAGAGAGAGAGGAGGAGGTGCCAGCCTCCTTTTAACAATTAGATGTCACGTGAAGTAATAAAATGAGAACTCACTCATTACCAAGGGGAGAGCATTAAGCCATTCATGAGGGATCCACCCCCATGACCCAAACATCTCCCACCAGGCCCCACCTCCATCCTCCAACATTGGGGATCACATTTCTTTTTTTTTTTATTTTTATTTTTATTTTTTATTTTTTTATTTTTTTATTATTATTATACTTTAAGTTTTAGGGTACATGTGCATAATGTGCAGGTTAGTTACATATGTATACATGTGCCATGCTGGTGTGCTGCACCTGTTAACTCGTCGTTTAGCATTAGGTATATCTCCTAATGCTATCCCTTGCCCCTCCCCCCATCCCACAACAGTCCCCAGAGTGTGATGTTCCCCTTCCTGTGTCCATGTGTTCTCATTGTTCAATTCCCATCTATGAATGAGAACATGCGGTGTTTGGTTTTTTGTCCTTGCGATAGTTTACTGAGAATGATGATTTCCAATTTCATCCATGTCCCCACAAAGGACATGAACTCATCATTTTTTATGGCTGCATAGTATTCCATGGTGTATATGTGCCACATTTTCTTAATCCAGTATGTCATTGTTGGACATTTGGGTTGGTTCCAAGTCTTTGCTATTGTGAATAGTGCTGCAACAAACATACGTGTGTGTGTGTCTTTACAGCAGCATGATTTATAGTCCTTTGGGTATATACCCAGTAATGGGATGGCTGGGTCAAATGGTATTTCTAGTTCTAGATCCCTGAGGAATTGCCACACTGACTTCCACAATGGTTGAACTAGTTTACAGTCCCACCAACAGTGTAAAAGTGTTCCTATTTCTCCACATCCTCTCCAGCACCTGTTGTTTCCTGATTTTTTAACGATTGCCATTCTAACTGGTGTGAGATGGTATCTCATTGTGGTTTTGATTTGCATTTCTCTGATGGCCAGTGATGATGAGCATTTTTTCATGTGTCTTTTGGCTGCATAAATGTCTTCTTTTGAGAAGTGTCTATTCATATCCTTTGCCCACTTTTTGATGGGGCTGTTGGTTTTTTTCTTGTAAATTTGTTTGGGTTCATTGTAGATTCTGGATATTAGCCCTTTGTCAGATGAGCAGGTTTCGAAAATTTTCTCCCATTTTGTAGGTTGCCTGTTCACTCTGATGGTAGTTTCTTTTGCTGTGCAGAAGCTCTTTAGTTTAATTAGATCCCATTTGTCAATTTTGGCTTTTGTTGCCATTGCTTTTGGTGTTTTAGACATGAAGTCCTTGCCCATGCCTATGTCCTGAATGGTAATGCCTAGGTTTTCTTCTAGGGTTTTTATGGTTTTAGGTCTAACATTTAAGTCTTTAATCCATCTGGAATTAATTTTTGTATCAGGTGTAAGGAACGGATCCAGTTTCAGCTTTCTACATATGGCTAGCCAGTTTTCCCAGCACCATTTATTAAATAGGGAATCCTTTCCCCATTACTTGTTTTTCTCAGGTTTGTCAAAGATCAGATAGCTGTAGATATGTGGTGTTATTTCTGAGGGCTCTGTTCTGTTCCATTGATCTATATCTCTGTTTTGGTACCAGTACCATGCTGTTTTGGTTACTGTAGCCTTGTAGTATAGTTTGAAGTCAGGTAGGTAGCGTGATGCCTCCAGCTTTGTTCTTTTGGCTTAGGATTGACTTGGCAATGTGGGCTCTTTTTTGGTTCCATATGAACTTTAAAGTAGTTTTTTCCAATTCTGTGAAGAAAGTCATTGGTAGCTTGATGGGGATGGCATTGAATCTATAAATTACCTTGGGCAGTATGGCCATTTTCACAATATTGATTCTTCCTATCCATGAGCATGAAATGTTCTTCTATTTGTTTGTATCCTCTTTTATTTCCTTGAGCAGTGGTTTGTAGTTCTCCTTGGAGAGGTCCTTCATGAGATTTGGAGGGGACAAATATCCAAACTGTATCAACAGCCTAGAGACTTCTGAAATGTTTTGGGTCCTTTTCCCCATTGTTTTGACTATTAGCACCTGGCTTCCTTTCATCCATGCTAATCTCTCTAGCAAATGTTTGCTCTGTAACACCCTTGGATCCCTCTCCTAAAAACTCTCTTTTATTTTCTACCATATGGTCAGGCCACAACTTTTCCAAATTTTTACACTCTGCTTCCCTTTTAATTATAAAGTCTACCTTTAGGTCATTCTTTTGTTGCCATATCTGACCATACATTGTTAAAAATAGCCACACCACTTCTTGAATGCTTTGCTGCTTAGAAATTTCTTCTGCCAGATACCCTAGGTCATCATTCTTAAGTTCAGCCCTAAAGCATGGACACAATGCATCCAAGTTCTTTGCAATAGTGTGACAAGCATGACCTTTGCTCCAGTTACCAATAAATTCCTCATTTCCATCTGAGACCTCATGACCTAGCTTTTACCATCTATATTTCTATCAGCATTTTGGTCCACTTAACCAATCTCTAAGAAGTTTCAAACTTTTCCTCATCTTCTTGTCTTCTTCTGAGCCCTCCAAACGCTTCCAACCTCTGCCCATTACCCAATTCCAATGCTGCTTTTACACTTTCAGGTATCTTTAGAGCAACACCCCACTCTTCAGTACCAATTGCCTGTCTTCTTTGTTTTGCATTGCTATAAAGAAATATCTGAGGCTGGGTAGTTTTTAGAGAAAAGAGGTTTATTTGGCTCATGGTTCTACAGGCTATACAAAAAGCATCTGCTTCTGGTGAAGCATGGCACTAGCATCTGCTCAGGCTGCTTCCACTCATGGCAGAAGGTGAAGAGTAGCTGGTATATGCAGAGATCACATGGCAAAAGAGGAAGTAAGACAGAGAGGTTGTTTAAAAGAGGTGCCAGACTCTTCTAAACAACTAGCTCTCATGGGAACTAATACAGTGAAAATTCACCTACTCCCTCAAGGAGAGCATGAACCTATTCACGAGAGATCCACCCCCCATGACCAAAACACCTCTCATTAGGACCTACCTCCAATATTGGGATCAAATTTTGACATGAGGTTTGAGGTTACAAACATTCAAACTACAGCATAAATTAATATAGTTCAACACATTTATAAAATAAAGGATAAATGTCATTGAACCATCTCACTGCATGAAAAATAAGCATTTGATGAAACTCAAAACTAGTTCCTAATTAAGTAAAACAACACATTTCACAAACTAAAACTAGACTTCATATGATAAAGAGCAGCTACAAAATATTTATGGTAAAAGTAACACTTAGGGTAAAGTGTTAAAAATTTTCTGCCTAAGCTAAGGAAAAAGAAAAAATTCTACTTCCGTTATTTCTATTTATCACCGTACTAGAGATCCTGGCCAGTGTAACGTCATCAAAAGAAATAAAAGATGCAAGAACTGGAAATGAAGGAAAAAACTGCCAACATTAAAGAAAATATAATTGTGTATGTAGAAAACACAACAGACTCTACAAACTATTAGAATTAATAAGTGAAAATGGATAAGTAAGGACTTCTTAAAACCTACTCTTCAAAAAAAAAAGCAACAAAAACACTGGCAAAGGAGACTGTAAAAATCAACTTCTTCAGAACTCAGAAAATAATCAAAGGTTTGACGCAATCTGAAGAGCATTTGTTAAAAATACACACACACACACACACACACACACACAGCTAAATCTCAGTAAGAGCAGTATGGTTTGCAGTACTTTAACCTGCCTTATTTCCATACTTTTCTCCCCAACTCCATGGTAGCCTTAAAAACCAATCGACTTACAATCATGGTAACCATGAAACCAGCAGCCTAGCCGCCATTGAGGGGGTAGAATTAATTTGGTGCTCCCCAAAATCCCCATCCTCAGAAATATATCATTATCTGGCTTTTCTGGAAGTTCCCTGAAAGCCCCCACTCCTGGAGCTAGTCTTTACATGCACACATATGTTCATTGCAGCATCATTCACAATAGTAAAGACATGAAATCAACCCAAAATGCCCATCAATGATAGACTGGATAAAGAAAATATGGTACATATACACAATGGAATACTATGCAGCCATAAAAAGGAATGAGATCATGCCCTTTGCAAGGACATGGATGGAGCTGGAAGCCATTATCCTCAGCAAACTAACACAGGAACGGAATACCAAACACCACATGTTCACACTGATAAGTGGGAACTGAGCAATGAGAACACATGGACACAGGGAGGGGAACAATACACATCGGGGCTGGTCAGAGGATGCAGTGGGAGAGAGAACACTAGGATAAATAGTTAATACATGCGGGGCTTAATACCTAGGTGATGGGTTGATAGGTGCAGCAAACCACCATGGCACACGTTTACCTATATAGAAATGCAAATCAAAACCATGATGAGATACCATCTCATACCAGTCAGAATGGCGATTATTAAAATGTCAAGAAACAACAGATACTGGTGAGGCTGTGGAGAAATAGGAAAGCTTTTACACTGTTGGTGGGAATGTCAATTAGTTCAACCATTGTGGAAGACAACAAACCCGCACACCCTGCACATGTATCCTGGAACTTAAAATAAAATAATAAAATAAAATATGCCATTGTGATTTTGATGCAAACTCAATGGGAAATAATATCGAGTTTCCTCAAAAAAAGTTAAAAATCGGACACCATATAATCCAGCAATGTCCCTTCTGGGTAGATATCCAAAAGAATTGAGATCACAATCTCAAAGAAATATTTGCATTCTCATGTTCATTGGAGCATTATTCACAACAACCAAGATATAAAATAACTTAAATGTCCCCAAACCAATGAATGGATAAAGAATATGTGTTATACATACAATGGAATATCTTTCAGCCTTAAAAAAGTAGAAGGTCATGCTATATGTGACAACATGGATGAACCTGGAGGACACTATGCTTAGTGAAATAAGTCAGTCACATAAGCACATATACTGCATGATTCCACTTATATGAGGTATCTAAAATAGTTAAATTCATAAAAGCAGAGAACATAATGGTGATTACAAGGGGCTGGAGGGGAGGGGAAATGGGGAGTGCAGCAGGGGAAAAGTTTTAGTTATGCAAAAAGAAGTTCTAGAGAGCTGCTGTAAACACTGTGCCTATAGTTAACAATACTTTATTGTACACTTAAAATTTCATTAAGAGGGTAAATCTCAAGCTAAATGTTCTTACTGCAAAAAAGAGGCAACTGTCAGAGGAAACTTTTGGAGGTGATGAATATGTTTATTATCTTGATGGTGATGATGGTTTTATGGGTGTGTGCATATGTTCAAACCTATAAAATTGTATACATTAAATATGTGCAATTTGGAATAACAATTATATTCCAATAAGACCACTCAAAATATTTTAAAACAGAGTGTATTGTACAAGAAATAATTTGACAACCCTTTAGCTATACTCATCAAGAAAACGAAAAAAGAGAGAAACCTCAAATTACTAAAATCAGGAATGAAAGAGAGGACATTACAACTAACCTCACAGAAATAAAAAGATTATAAGGGAATGCTATGAAAAATTGAATGCCAACAAATTTTAAAACCTGGATGAAATGGATAAATTCCTAGAAAAACACAAACTACCAAACTGACTCAAGAAGAAATAAAAAATCTGAATAAACCTATAACATGTAAAGAAATTGAATTAGTAGTAATTCACACAAAGAAAACCCCAATGCCTTAACTAGTGAAACACACCAAACTTTTAAAGAAGAATTAATATTAATCTTTCACAAATTATTCCAAAAACTAAAAGAGAATGAAACACTTTCCAATCCATTCTATGAGGCCAGTATTATACCCTGACACGAAAACCACATAAAAACATCACAAGGAAACTGCAGACCAACATGGCTTATAAATATAGACACAAAAATCCTCAACAAAACACTAACAAACCAAATCCACAAAATATTACATAACAGGATTATACACAAGATCAAGTGGGATTTATTACAGGAATGATAGTTGGCCCAACATATAAAAATCAATCAATGTCATGCACCATATTAATGGAATAAAGGATAAAAACCTCATGATCATCTCAATAGATGCAGAAAAAGCATTGACAAAACTCAACACCTTTTCATGATTAAAAAAACACTAAGCAAACTAAGAATAGAAGGGAACTTCCTCAACCTGAAAAAAGTTGACTACGAAAACCCACAACTAACATCATACTTAATAGCAAAAGACTGTAAGTTATCCTCCTGAGATCAAAAACAAGACATAGGATGTCCACTGTCACCACTTCTACTCAACATTTCACTGGAGATTCTAACTATGGCAATAGTCAATGGAAAGAAATTTTTTAAATTCACATTGGAAAAGACATAAAACTCTCTGTATTCATAGATGACGTTATTCTATAGACAGAAAATTTTAAGGAAGCCACTAAAAAGCAAATAGAGCTAAAAAACAAATTCAGCAAGGTTGCAGGACACAAGATCAATATAGTGAAATTAACTTTATTTCCACACATCAGCAACAAAAAAATCCAAAAAGGAAATTAAGAAAACAAATCTATTTATAATTACATCAGAATGAATAAAACAATTAGAAATAAATTCAGTAAAAGAAGTATAATATTTATATGATAAAAGTTACAAAAGATCATTGAAAGAAATTAAAGATCTAAATAAATGGAATGGCATCCCATGTTACAGGATGGGAAGCTTTAATATTATTAAGATGGCAATATTTCCCAAATTGATCTACAGATTCAATGCAATCTCTACCAAATTCCAGTTGTCTTTTTTGAAGACATTGAAAACTGATCCTAAATTTATATGGAAATATAAGGGCTGCAGAATAACCAAAACAATCTTGAAAAAGAAAAGCAAGTTCAGAGGACTCACGCTTCTCAATTTCAAATGAGCCAAGACAGTGCAGTGCTGGTGTAAGAACAGATACAAAGATAAACAGGATAAAAATAAAGAAGGGAGGAGGGGAGAGGGGAATTGGGAGTGACTGCTAATGAGAACGGGTTTATTTTTGGAGAGTTGAACATCTCTGGAATTAGATAATGGTTGCATAACTTTGTGAAACCATTCACAAAGTTTTCTCCATTCAGCCCAAATTGGAAAAAAACAAATATCAGTGGTTTAAAAAAAAAACCACTGAATTGTACACTTATAAAGGGTAAATTTTATGGTATGTGAATTATGTCTCAGTTCAAAATGAATAAATGAGTTTAATAGGTACATAATTTCAGTTTTACAAGACAAAAAGAGTTCTGTGGATGAATGGTGGTGAAGATACAACAATGGGAATGTGCTTACTGCCACTAAACTGCACGCTTAAAGATAGTTAAGCTTAAAGTAGTTAAGATAGTATATTGCGTGTTATATGTATTTTACCACAATTAAAATAAAGTCATTAAATGACTGAATGATAGAGAAAAATAGTGAATTTAGCAAGGCCAGTGCATACAAAATCAATATGTTTTTTAAATTTTATTTATATATACCAGCAACAAGCCTTTAGAAAATAAAATGTTAAATGACGAGTTAATGGGTGCAGCACACCAACATGGCACATGTATATATATGTAACAAACCTGCACGTTGTGCACATGTACCCTAAAACTTAAAGTATAATTTAAAAAAAAAAAAAAGTTAAGAAAAATACTATTTACAATAGCATCACAAAACAAATCAACCTAGAATTCGATTCAAAATAGATGTGTAAGACCTCAACCCAAAAACTCAAAAATATTGTTGAAATATGTTAAAGACTGAATAAATAAATGGAGAAATATAATATATTCATGATTAGACAATATTGTTAAGATGTTCACTCTCCCTCTATAGATTCAAAATGATCCCAATAAAATCCCCAGATGGTTTTGATTTTTGTGGAAATTGACAGGCAGACTCTAAATTTTTATTGAAATGCAAAGAGTCAAGGCAATTTTGAAGAGAAAGAAGAGCAGAGCTAAAGGATGTATGCTATCAGATAATGAAACTTATTATAAAGGTACAGGAAATAGGACAGTGTGGCATTGGAAAATAAACATAGACAAATAGACCAAACATAAACTATCTATAAACAAATTCGTGCACATATGGATGCTAGATTTAAGACAAAGCTGCCAATACCACCCAATAGGGAGAAGAACGCCTTCTTAGAAAATGACATAGGACAAGATCTTTATGACCAAAAGATTGATAAATTGGACTATGCTAAAATGAATAACTTTCTTTCTTCAAAACATGCCATTAAGGGAATGAGAAGCCATGGAGTGGGAGGTATTTACAAAAGAGAGCTGATAAAGAGCTCACAGTCATGTATATTAAAAGTCCCTACAAATCAGTAAGAAAAAAGACAGACAATATAATAGAAAAATGGGCAAGAGACTTGAATAGGCACTTCACAAACAAGGATAATTTCAAATGGCCCCCAAGAAACCTATGAAAAGATGTTCAACAGCTTTAGTCATCTAAGAAATGCAAAATAAACCCAAAATGAATTACTACTACATGCTCATCAGTATAGTTAAAATTAAAAGAACTGGTATTACCAAGTATTGGCAAAGATGTGAAAAAAAAACCTAGAACTTTCTATGCCGCTGGTGAGTGGGGACAATTGTACATTCACCTTCAAAAATGGTTTAGCAGGATCTGGCAAAGTTGAACATATGCATATCATAGGATCCAATAATCCCAAGTATAGTTCCAAGAGAAATGTGTGCATATATGCACAAAAAGACATATATAAGAAATCTATAGCATCATCACTTGTTATCACCCCAAACTGGAAAAAAAAATGTCTGTTAATAGCAAAAGAAATAAATAAACCATGGTGAAGTTCTACAATGGAATAATATACAGCAATGAAAAAGAGTAAACTACATGCAAGAGCATAAACAAATCTCACAGATGTAATGCTGACCAAAAGAAATCAGACACAGAACACACAGTTTGGTTCCATTGATTCAATTTCAAAACTAGACAAAGATTTCTATGGTGTTAGAAAGCAGAATAGTAGCTGCCTTTGGGGTGAGGGTTTGGGACTGGCTGGAGACACAAGGAGCTGGGGGTCTGGAGTGGTCTTAACATTATGTTTTTTGACCTGGATGGTGTCCGAACAGAAGTTTTCATTTTGGAAGATGTCACTGCACTGTGAACTTATGACTTCTGCTCTTTCATGTGGTATGTTATACTTCAATTAAATAGCTTGAAAAATTAAAGTAGATATATTCGACTCTGATGGCATCTTCAAGCTAAGTCCATCCAAGTAGTGTGGCCCTGGTATCCACTGATGTGCATTCTGGGGTCTAGAGAAACCCACTGATCAGCTCCTCAAAACCCACTGAGATCCATGGGCTTTGGCTCCTCATCCCAAGTCTGCAGCTGCTCAGTGTGCCCCACCGCTACCTGCAAAGACAGGTGAGGGGCTCCATATTGTAATCCTTCTACCCCTTTCCTCTTCTTGGACCCAAAGCACTCTGAATATATGGCCCCTTGCCTCTCAAATTCTGCCCCTTTAATCCTAAAACCACGCATGGTTTTCCCCTAAGCCATGTGAATCCAAAAGCCTGAGAAAGTGTCTCACCTCATGAATAAGGAAAGAAAATCACATAACTTCACCTCCAAAAAAAAAAAAAAAAAAAAGCATCCTACATTTGAATCCCATCTTGGCAACTTGCTAGCTTAAGTGGTAGCCTTGAGTAAATTATTCAACCTCTCTCAGGATGAGGGTTAAAAATAGTATCTGCCTTTCAGATTTATTTCAGAGAAGAGAAAATACATGTAAATACTTAGCACAAAGATTTGTACTTTGCTCGTTAATTTCATTTTTGGAAAAATCAAAAGCAGAAACAAAAAAGCACACCTTTTCTAAAGCCTGGCCTTATCTTGGCTTTTGGTGTTAACTCTTTATAGATAAGGTAGGGAAACCATGCTAGAGCATAAAGCCATGAAAACAGTGGGCAGAAAGGAAATGTAGGCACCACGTAGCCAATCTTCCAGACAAAGCGAGACCCTCTGCGAGTCCACCTCTGGGACCACCTACTTCCATCCTCCTTGTCACAGGAAGCTCACCCCTTCATAGTACAGCCCACCTAGCTTGATTAAGATGTATTAATTCATTCAAGGGCTACTTATAGACTGCGTGGTATATGCCAGGCACTGTGCCAGGTGTTGAAGATGCAAGGAACAAGATGGATGCCAGTCTTGCCCTTTTGGCACTAAGAGCCTAATGGGGTAATGAGCTCTAATTTTTAGGAAGTTCTCTATGTAACAGTGTGTTGAACAAGTAGGACTCATGGTCCAAAGCACCTGTCTTTTTGTCTTCCACTCTTCAGGTCCTCCTTTGACTTTTCTAGCCACTTTTGGGTGATACAAGTCCTCCAGTCAGTCATGAGGGTGTCCAATCTCAGGTAGCTGTCAACTCTCCCAAATCCATTCAACATTACAGCTCTTCACTGCCCCTCTGCTGAGCTCAGACCAGGCCCAGGTGGAAAACCCAACCAGGCTTCTTTCCCTCTTCCTCCCTCGCCCACTGGCTGGCTAATACTGATGCCCCCCACCCGAGACAGGAAAGTTCTTAGGTGCTGGGTACTGTTTTTTGCTGGCTTTGGGCTCCCTGGGTCTGGCAGGTGTTTAGAGTTGACCCTTCCTTTCCATGGGTGCTTCTGTGGTTTCTTTAGGGCTAGCCACTCACCCATCACTGAGTGATTCTCTTGGTACAAGCATCTTGCTGCATGTTTGCCCCTCCAGCCAACCTTCCCAGGGGAGGTGGAGGCTGGGGACCTGTTGTGACTCCACCCAAGGCTTTTTGTGCATATGGCCAGAAACTGGTCTATGCAAAACACTTCAGCATCCTCTGCCCTGACATTCTGGGGCTGTAGGATTCCCCCAACACACCCTCCTCTTTTTCCACTTACCCACTGGCAGCTGGCCAGCCTGACCTGCTTCAGATTTCTCAGATGGGAATCAGACCCCAGTTCACAGCCCTTCTCCCCTCTCAAACTGCAGATGCATAAGTTTCTCTTATAATGGAGAAGAAAGAAAATAGCATTTCTCTCTTGACTTATGGAAGACAAAGATTCATCCCTCCAGCAGCATCCTAAGGTTCAGGGGTGATGGGAGCATTCTGCCCTGGGTACAGGCAGTGAGGAGGTGCAGTGTTGCAGAGAATTTTTAAATCATAGTGAAACCAGCTAAATGCTGGTCTAATTTTTATGATCAACATGCTCTGGCAATACTAAACAGTGTCTGTGACAAAGTACCTCCCCCTGCTGGGACAGACTCTTCCTGCCCCACCCTTTGGTACATCACTGCCCCCACTCTCTCCCCTTTGTGTTGGGGTTGGGGGACTTTGGAGCACACTTATAGTTCTCTCCAAAAGTCCTCTCCACCAATGGTTACACAACCTGGCCTCTTACTACCCTTGAGGTGAGTGGTAGCATTTAAAGTCATTGAGCCAAAATTTTTATATCACCTTTGAAAATGAACATGTTGGACTGGCCGGTGCATGACTTTAACACATGGACACAGGGAGGTGAACATCACACACTGGAGCCTGTCAGGGGGTGGGTGGCTAGGGGAGGGATAGCATTAGGAGAAACACCTAATGTAGATGACAGGTTGATGGGTGCAGCAAACCACCATGGCACATGTATACTTATATAACAAACCTGCACATTCTGCACATGTATCCCAGAATTTAAAGTATAATTTTTTAAAAAATCCAATTTAATAGGTTGTTGCCCTCACAGCAAGCTAGAATATGCCTTCCTATAACTCCTGCTCCCATCCTGGAGATAATTATGTTCTTCAGGGGCAGGAACATACTAAGGATTCAGTGAGTTAAGAGGCAAAGCACCTGACTCAGGAGTGGCCAATAAGTCCTAATCGCAACTCTCCCACCCTGCATCTGGGCGTGTGAAGGACTGATGGAGAAGTGGTGTCTTCCTGACCTCCGCTAGAGACTCATCTAAAGAGTCTCACACATCCACCTGTCTGCCTGCTCTACAAACAGAAGCTCCTTTCATCCTTTCCCACCTGTACAAACATCACTGAGTCTTTTATTTTTAATTTTTTGGTTAAAAAAATTATAAAATCAAGAGTGTTCTTTAAGAAAATTAAAACACATATCTCACAGAGAGCTAATAGCATTTAATAACACTGTTAATCACATTTTGGGGTACCACTGTTGTGTTTATTTATATGCATCTATCTACTTGGACGCACACATCCTCACTAGCATCACACTGTGTACAGAATCCTATATTCTGTCCTTTTCATGTAATTCTGTTCTCTTTGCCTCTTCAGAAAGCCTCCTTCTACCTCTTCAATGCTGATTGATCTCCCCTCACCCTAACTCCTGTGGCATTTGAGATATCCCAAACTTTTTGCACTTAGTTACATTTTCCTGCAACGACATTTCATGGTTTAATGCTTTATCTTTTTTAAATTAATTTTCCTCAAATTTGTATATTTTACTACAAAAGGGATGCGTATTCATGCAACATCCCAAACATTACAGATGTGTATAAAATCAAAAGTGAAAACTACGCCACCCAGCTTGTAATTCCACAGCCTGGAATTACAGCTAACACTGCAGACTACACCCTTTCACATTTTTCTATGCATATACAAACATACGTGGGTATATATGCAAACATATACGTGCATATTTTTTCACAAAAATGGAACATTTCTATGTGTACTATTCTCAAACTTGCTTTTTTAATTCATATCGCTTGGACATATTCTGTATCAGTATATATTGATCTACTTTTTTCTTTTCAATAATTGTATACCATTCTATTATGTACATGCACCATAACTTTCTAAATTTGCTCCCTGTTAGCTGGGCACAGTGGCTCACACCTGTAATCCCAGCACTTTGGGAAGCCAACGCAGGTGAATGGCTTGAGCCCAGGAGTTTGAGACCAGCCTGGGCAACATGGGGAAACCCCATCTCTACAATAAAAAAATTTTAAAAAATTAGCCAGGCATGGTGGCGCACAACTGTAGTCGTCCCAGCTACCTGGGAGGCTGAGGTGGGAGGATCACTTGAATCCAGGAGGTCAAGGCTGCAGTGAGCCATGATTGCCCCACTGCACTCCAGCCTGGGCAACAGAGCAAGACCCTGTCTCAAAAGTAAAATAAAATAAACTTGCTCCCTCTTGATGGGTATTTAAGGACTTTCTGGTCATTTGCTATCACTAACAATGTTTCCATGAACGTCTTTATAGATAAATACTTAAGCATGTTGCAGGATGCTTCTGTAGGATAAATTTCTAGAAGTGCAATTGCTGGGACAGAGAGCATGCACATCTTAAAGAGTGACTGATGCTGCCAAATTTCCCTCTAAGAAGCTTACATCAATTTACACTCCTGTCAATATTGTATGAGGGGACCAGCTTACCCACATACTCACCAACATTGGATGCAATCACTTTAATGTTAGCAACTCTAATTGGTGGTTTTGTTCTGCTGTTTTGTTTTGTTTTTTGAGACGGAGTTTCGTTCTTGTTGCCCAGGCTGGAGTGCAATTACGCAGTCTCAGCTCACTGCAACCTCGGCCTCCTGGGTTCAAGCAATTCTCCTGCCTCAGCCTCCCAAGTAGCTGGGATTACAGGCTCCTGCCACCACACCCAGATAGTTTTTTTTTTTTTTTTGTATTTTTAGTAGAGATGGGGTTTCACCATGTTGGGCAGGCTGGTCTCGAACTCATGATCTCAGGTGATCCACTCGCCTCGGCCTCCCAAAGTGCTGGGAGGATTACAGTCTTGAGCCACTGCACCGGGCCTCTGTTATTAAGTTCAATGATGGGACAGAGACTGCTAGTCCCCCTCTTTAATCCAATTCCCCCTTCCTCCATACCAATATACATTTTAGCTGGGCAAATGTTCACTCAACTAAAGGGACATTCCCTAGACTCTCTTCAAACTGGGTGTGTGGCTGTGTGACTAAGATCTGACCATATACATAGCCAGACATAAGTGTAAGAGGAGTGTGTGATTTCCACGTTGTGCTATAGAAGGGAAGAAGCATTCCTTCCCCTTCCCCTGTGCTAGATAGACTACTAGATGCAGTAGGCCCTGTGCCAGCTAAACTATGGATGCAATGGCTGAAACGTGCAGCCACCATGGAGGATGACATGGAATCTGAATGTTGAGGATGGCAGAGAAGCAAGACATCTCAGATCCTCAACACTACAGAATCACCATACTAGCTCTGGGCCATCTACTCATATTTTCACACAGGAAAGAAAAAATCTTCCTTTAAGCCACTGTATTTTGACCTTTCTTTATTACAGCCCCCAAACTTGTATCCTGACTAATAAAGGTGGGAATTTGAGAAGACATTTTAAAATGCATTTACTTTGGTTTTTTCCCCATCAAGTCCTGCCAGCTTTTTTCCCAACTGAGTTGAAGTTCCTTGAGAGCCTGACCTTATCTCACTAGATGTTTACTGGTTGATTACAAATGTTCTGCCGGTGTTCCAGCCACTCACAGTGGAGAGAACCCGCTTTCATAAACTTGAAGTATTCCTAAGGGTGACCTGTTTTACAAATACTGGCCCACACTGCACCAAGATCAGAGGTGAAGTAGAAAACTTTCCAAAATTTTCAGCCGAACAGTCATTGTGCCTTAGGCAGTCTAAAAAATTCTTGTGGAATTTATTTCGGTATGATTTCTCAGAGCTATATATGTTTTTTGTTTGTTTGTTTTGTTTTTTGAGTTGGAGTCTCTCTCTGTCACCCAAGCTTGGGTGCGGTGGTGCAATCTCGGCTCACTGCAAGCTCCGCCTCCCAGGTTCATGCCATTCTCCTGCCTCAGCCTCCCGAGTAGCTGGGACTACAGGCACCCACCACCACGCCCGGCTAATTTTTTATATTTTCAGTAGAGATGAGGTTTCACCGTGTTAGCCAGGATGGTCTCGATCTCCTGACCTCGTGATCCACTATATGTTTTTAAAAGTTAGAGATTTGATAGACCATGAGCACCAATACTACAAGTCTCTTGTTATCTGCCTTTTGCACATTCATATGGTTCCTAAGTAAAGCGGGTGAGAGGGTCGGGGCAACTGATAATTAGAACCACATACATTGATGCACTAAGTTATTTGTGAGATGCTTCTCCTAAAATTGTAGGTCTGCTCAGCTGCCAGACACACCAGCTGCGATAGAAGTATCCATAGAATCTGGAGAAAGTAGCTTGGAATCTTCTGAAGCCCAAATAAGTCTAAGTCACAGCTATTGATGGTAAATATCAGGAAGGTTTGAGCTGGGTTTTAAAAATAGACATTCAGGGTGAGCTGGGAAAAAGGATTTTACTAAAGCCTAAGAAGAAAATCAGGGCCTGGTGAGTGATGGCAGTTACAAAGTTGGTGCAAATTTTGGGGAGATGAATTTCAGTTCTCTCTGATATTTTATAATTTGTGAGCTGCCTTGTTAAGGTGTTAGTTTGCTGAAAATATTTAAGGAGAAATTAGTTGATCATTTTCAGGGAGATTGTAAAAGGGCTTGCCTCACTTATGAATGGTCAGTGTGACTTGGCCCCCTGTAATTATAAACTTCCGCATCCCTATGCATTACCCCAGTGACCTTTATTTTTGACCAAGGCATTATGAAGGTCATGAGAAAGGAATTTGTATTTGCTATGGTATGAATGTATTCCCCAAATTTCATGTGTTGGAAACTTAGTCCCCAAATTCGTATGCTGATTGAATGTGAGGCCTTTGGGAAGTAATTAAAATTAGATAAGGTCATCAGGGTAGGGCTGTCATGATGGGACTGGTGGCTTTGTATGGAGAGGAAGAGAAACCTGAGCTGACACCCAAACACTTGCCCTCTCACCATGTGATGTCCCCCACCATGTTATGACACAGCAGGAAGGCTCTCACCAGATGCAAGCAACATGCTCTTGGACTTCCCGGCCTCCACAGCTATGAGCTAAATAAACTTCTTTTCTTTATAAATTACCCAGTCTGTGGTATTCTGTTATTGCAACAGAAAATCGACTAAGACAATATTCTTTTTTAAAATATCTCTAAGACTCCTAGGACTTCCATGAGCTAATGCCTATTACCTAGAGGTGATTTGCTGTCAGATATAAGGTCTTTTAAAGACCATGTATATTTAGGCTGGGCACAGTGGCTCACTCCTGTACACTCAGCACTTTGGGAGACTGAGGTGGGCAGATCACTTGAAACCAGGAGTTTGAAACCAGCCTGGCCGACATGGTGAAACCCCGTCTCTACAAATATATATATATATATATATATATATATATATATATATATATATATATATATATATTAGCCATGCGTGGTAGCTCACGCTTGTAATCCCAGGCACAAGAATCGCTTGAACCCTGGAGGTGGAGGTTGCAGTGAGCCAAGACTGTGCCACTGCACTCCAGCCAGGGTGACAGAGTGAGACTGTCTTAAAATAATAAGAAAGACCATGTGTATTTAGAAAGATTGACAACATCAACAATACCTCTTAGAGCTCTATTTCTTAAGCAACTTAGAATCTTCTCTCCTACATTTATCAAGGCAAATACTTTGCCAGCATTACAGAACTTACTGTAACCACCAAAAGGCAGAGGTGTATGTTGTATTGCTTTGAGGCCATTCATAACAGTCTTAACTGGGATCAGTATGCCCCACCTAACATAAAGGTAGACTCAGGAAGTAATCCATGATTGCAGCAGCGACCATGTGTGGTGGGTGCTCATGATCTTTGCAGGATGAGCACATCTCTTCAAAGCTAACTGTACTAAGTTTTTGGCTTGGGATCTCCCTCACCCTACCTCCATACCCCAAGACTCCTTTCTCAATAATAACTACACTTTAACCTAGTCCTTGTATTCACTAAATTACCAGTAAGTCATAAAAAGTGAACATAGGCACCCAAGATGGACCTCTGCTCTGAAAGAACAAAACACACTCCCCAGGGACCAAGCGTCCGTTGGTAAAAACAGAAATGAGCAGCTTCACCAAAATGAGCCAACATATCCCAAATCCATTCAATTTTCTCCTCTACCCAGTGGCTGTGTGGTCAGCCTCACCCACATCTTCTTCAGGAAAGCCCGTAATTGAATCATTAAATTCCACCCTCTCATGTTTCACTTGAGGAAACGGAACCAGAAAAGCTGGGTTATTTTGCAGAGCTACATACCCCTTATGTAGTAGAAGGAGGCATGGAGTGGAGACCTCATGCATCCCTGTTCACTGCTTCGCCCATGTCATCCTGCTGCCACCAAATAAATGTATTTTCTATAGTGCATCTGTAGTTTCTTGGTAGAAGAAACTGTAAAGACTGCCTTCTGCCTTTGTGCTTCCTGAAATCTTGATATTTTGGTGAAATGATGTGCAGCAGAATCCTTAGGTTCTATTATGGCAGTCAATAAATATCACACATTTTAATTCCTGTTGATTTTACAGTTCACGCCTACATAGAATAAAAAAATGCATGCTAAAAAGAAGAATTAGGAAAGTTGGCAAAGACTTGACCATGGGTACATTAAGATTATATAATATCACATTAAAAGTGTAGAAGTGAATATAATATAGAGGATAAGGAGAAACACTTTTGGAAATCAGATATACCCAGTAGAGAGCTGGTAAACATTTAACAACAGATGGGGGGCAGGAGAAAGAAGAGATCTTGCTTGTAGTATCTGCCAATTTTCACAGTACAAATATTGTCACCCTCACTGAATTCAAGTTATCATAACATCACTGAATGCAAAGTTGGAAAAAGAGGTCCACAGTCAGCTGTCATGAGTAGGTACAAGCCAGCACTGCCACTGGATGTAGCCCAGTTAAAGTTTGTGGTAATTTATTATTCATTTATTCTTTCTTTCTTATATTGAGTGCCTACAATAAGCCAGGTCTTGTGCTAAATTCTGGGGTTAAACAGGAAGAAAAAGGAGACTTGGTGCTCATCCTCTTGGAGCTCACAGTCTAGTGGAGAGATAAGCATTTAATCATAAAAGTATGAAAAAATGTAAAATTGTAACTGTGACAAATGTTAAGGAGGGACAGTATATGGTGCCAAGAGGTCGTGGAACTGGAGGTTAGGTAGGGTCAGTTTTCCTGAGGCTTTAGAGCATCAACATGCAGAAGAAAAGAGAAGAGATCAAGCCAGTAGCCAGAGCATGTGCAAAGGTCCTGTGGTAGGAGGGAATGTTGCCTATCACAAGATAATACCTAGACACGATCATCTTTGTCCTGTTCTTTTCTATACTCCCTTACTTACAAAGATTTCAAAAATCAGTCAGAGGCCAGGCACGGTGGCTCACACCTGTAATCCCAGCACTTTGGGAGGCCAAGGCGGGCGGATTACCTGAGGCCAGGAGTTCAAGAGCAGCCTGACCAACATGGTGAAACCCCGTCTCTACTTAAAATACAAAAAATTAGCTGGGCGTAGTGGCAGGTGCCTATAATCTCAGCTACTTGGGAGGCTGAGGCAGGAGAATTGCTTGAACCCAGGAGGCGGAAGCTGCAGTGAGCTGAGATCACACCATTGCACTCCAGCCTGGGCAACAAGACCGAAACTCCATCTCAAAAAAAAAAAAAAAATCAGTCAGAAACATCCTGGATGCTGCTGCAAAGATAATTAGGATTTTTATATCAGGAATACAAAGACAGAGGTAGTGTTCTTTTTCAGCTTTTTAAAATAAGCTTATGTGTTGAACTCCATGTCAGAAATAATAGTCCTAAAGGCCAAAGATTTGGATTTGCAAGGGTTGGGTTTTCTTGGGGGGGAAAAGTGTCTCTTGAGACTCCAAACGGAGAGGATGTCGAATTTAAGCCTTTGCTATGGAATGAATAAAGAAGAGGAGAGATGCATCCCACCCTCCCCTGAGCATGGGATGGGAGCCACACAGGCTGTAAGTAGAGTTGGATGAGTAGTGTTCCTTCATGAAGAAAACCAGTGGATCTTGGAGAAGATGATCAGCAAGGAGAGGAGGAGATAATGAGCAGGAAGAGGCCAAGCCAATGGCTGCAGACCATCATCAAGCCAGTCCCGGGAGTCCTTCCAGCTGAGGGGCCACAAAAGCAGTGCCATCACCGCTCTCTGGAGAAGACCTTCCATTGACAGAAGCCTACAAGACACCAATGATGAACCAGAAAAGTGACAGTCTCCTGGACCCCAAACTTGTGCTGAGTGTCATTGGAGCTGCCCCTTGGCCAACAACCCGAGGTGCTCATAAACTCCCAAACATAGGATGGTATTCCTGACACCCAGAGGGGAAGTAAGAAGCACAGGAGGAAAAGCCCTTAACTATGCTGGGCTGTCACTTGGGAAAACCTGCCCCAGTTCACTCCTTTGGGAAACAGAGAGGTGGACCATGTGGCTGGAGCATAGTGCAAGCTAAGGGTGAAAGGACAGAGGCCACATCATAAGGCCTTGTAGACTCTGCTCAGGCATGTGTCTTTAGATAAAAGTAATAGGCCATTGGAGGACTTTAAGCAGAGGAGAGACATGAGTTGCTTTGTGAAAAGAATCTAGAACTGGAGTACTTTCTGCTGGGGCCGGGTAAGGCGCCAGCTTGGAGAGAGGTCCATTGTCCTCTCACTTTCTCTCCCCAGTGCTCTGCCCATTATGTCCCAGCATTCCTGATGAGCTTTAGGGACTCCTTGACTCTCCTGATCCCAGGCTAACCCTGGGGTCCTCATTCTCTTTCCATCGGAAAGCAGATATGTAATATGCACTACTGGTGAGAGTGTGAGGAAACAGGTTCCGTCTACTTCTTGGTAAAAATTAAAATTAGTACCAAATTTTGGAGGGCAGCCAATGGAGATGCACCCTAAAGAAACAACCTCAATGACTGTTAATAGGAAATTAGTTAAATACAATATGGTACATGGTGCATCCACATAGGGAATATTATGCAACAGTTAGAATGGGGTTGTAACATTTATTGACACGAAGAGTCCCAAAAGAGACTGTGAAGTAGAAATGGCAAGTTACAAAACTATGTAACTCATGTGTGTCGGTGAGGGGCAAAAAAAAAAAAAAACCATGAAAGACTATTTCAAGCTGATGATGGTGGCTTTCTTTAGAGGGGAAATCATGGGGAATTTTCACTTGTTACAGAATGCATTTTAGTAATAGTTGACGATAATGCACTGCATTTGAACACATGAAAAGCAGTAAAAACGTAAGGCCATTTGGGAGGTTGGATGAAATGGATGCTTTGACGATTGGCCGAGAGGCTGTTGCTGAGGGGGACCACAAGGACGAGACCGCTGGTTTTACTATTAATATTTCCTCTGACTATTTTACTATTAATATTTCCTCTGACCCTGGATAAGTCCTTTCTCCTCTCTGGGCCTCCATTTCCTTGTCTGTAAAAGGCCGAGGGCAAATGTAAGTCTCCTAGGAAAAGCCAAGACCTGCAAATGGAAGAATCCTGATTCTTCCATTTAGTAGATGAATGACTTTGGCTGAATGACTGACCTCGTTGAACCTGTTTTCTTGTATGAGAAAGGGCACCACCCCAACAGAGGCCCTGCCCCACCCTGGAGCAGGGTGGGTGCTTAACACAGACTTGGATCCCTTGCTCAAGTGATCTCCAGAGCTTCTCCACCTCTGCGGTTCAGTGATTCCATACCAGTGAGTGGTCTCACCTTAAAGTGGGACCTCAGTTAAACCATTTTCTGCTGTGGGAAAGCGTTCTTTTATCACAGCGTATTTAAGTTACAAAAAATTTTTTATGCTACTGTGTGTCCAGCTTCAGGAATTCAAATGAAATGTTAATCTCATGATTCTTCCCTTGAAACAATTTGCAGTCTAAAATAGGACTTGGGGCAGGGAGAAAGAGCTCTTATTTCATCAACTTAAAATTAAAAGAATGCTTCTTTCTAGCGCCTTTTTTTTAATCTCAAAAAATCCTTTCCTATTATACAAAGTCTTGTCAAAAAAGGAGCATTAATTATATCAAACACTAAAAAGAGCTTTTAAAACTCTGAATTTGAGCAAACTAATTGAAAATAATTATATTTCAAAGAATTCTTACATTTCACAAGAGCCAGTCAAGCTCAGTTAACTTCAATCATTCACTCACCTTTTCAATGGGTATTTTAATTTTGAGTGACTACTATGTGCCTAGGTGTTATAGATAATTATTTTCAAAACATACAGGGATTTAAAAAATCCTGGCCAGGCGCGGTGGCTCACGCCTGTAATTCACAGCACTTTGGGAGGCTGAGGCAGGTGGATCACGAGGTCAAGAGTTCAAGACCAGCCTGACTAACATGGTGAAACCCCATCTCTACTAAAAATACAAAAATTAGCCAGGTGTGGTGGCAGGTGCCTGTAATCCCAGCTACTCGGGAGGCTGAGGCAGAGAATTGCTCAAACCCAGGAGGCGGAGGTTGCAGTGAGCTGAAATCAGGCCACTACACTCCAGCCTGGGCGACAGAGTGAGACTCTGTCTCAAAATAAATAAATAAATAAATCCTGACCTCCTGCAGCTTACCCTCTAGCAGGGATGGGAGATGAGGGAAACAGACAATAAACAAACAGTGTAGGAAAGGTAAACAGAAAAGATCAGGAGATGAGCACCCTAATTTTAAATGCAGGGTCACTTAAAGCTTCACTAAGGCTTTCCCTATTAATTAATTCCCCATTAATAGGCATTGAGGTTATTTCTTTAGGAGGCACCTCCATAGACTGCCCTCCAAAATTTGGTACCAATTTTAATTTTCACCAAGAAGTAGACAGAGCCTGATTCCTCACACTCTCACCAATAGTGCCTATTACAAATCTGCTTTCCAGTGGAAAGAGAATCACGACCCCAGGATCAACCTGGGGTTGGGAGAGTCAAGGGGTTCTCAAAGTTCATCAGGGATGCTGAGACATAATGGGCAGAGCACTGGGGAGAGAAAATGAGAGGGCAATGGACCTCTCTCCAAGTTTTCCAGACCGAAAACCTGGAAATATGGAGAAGCAGGTCATGTGGGAATAGCAAATGCAACATTCAATGACAGCCTGGAATATTGAAGAAAGAGCCTAGAAGCAAGACAATGTAGTCAGAGCAGAGGGAACAAGGAGCAGAGCTGGCACAGTGGGTCAGAGAGGCAGGCCCACGATGGAGCATGCCTGGCTCATTAAAGAACAACAGGGAGGCGGGGTGGGGAGTGGGACTGGGGCAGGGAGTGGACAGGCAGTAGATGAGGTCATAGAGAGACAGGGACCAGTCTGTGTAGACTTGCACTGGCCACACTAAGGACTGGTTTTCACTTTGAGTGAGATAGAAGCATTGGAGAGGTTTTTTGTTTTTGTTTCAAGATCGAGTCTTGCTGTATCGCCCAGGCTGGAGTGCAGTGGCACAATCTCAGCTCACTGCAGCCTCCACCTCCCAGGTTCAAGTAATTTTCCTGCCTCAGCCTCCCTAGTAGCTGGGATTACAGACACCCACCAGCACACCCAGCTAATTTTGTATTCTAGTAGAGATAGGGTTTCACCATGTTGGCCAGGCTGGTCTTGAATTCCTGACCTCAAGCAATCCACCCACCATGGCCTCCCAAACTGCTGGGATTACAGGCATGAGCCACTACGCCCAGCCCATTGGAGAGTTTTGAGCAGAGAATGATGCAATCTGAGTTTGGTTTTTAACTAAATCACCCTCACTTCTGTTCTAGGAGCAAGGATGGAAACTGGAAGGCTGGGTAAGAGGCCCCTGCAGGAATATCCCAGAGAGAAAGTTGAGGTTAGATTAGAGCAAGGTCGGATACTGGAAGGCTGGGTAAGAGGCTCCTGCAGGAATATCCCAGAGAGAAAGTTGAGGTTAGATTAGAGCGGGAGCTGGGGGTGGTCAGATTCCGGGTATGTTTTGCTGGTAGTGACAACAGGCTTTACTAAAGGATAAGATACGGGGCGTGAAAGAAAGTGAGGGAAAAAGGGTTTTGGCCTGAGCCATGGAAAAGGTGGACATAAGAAAGAGCAAGTTTAAGGGGGAAGATTAAGAGCTCATGGGCATTTTTTATTTGAGATGTTTAGTAGGCATCCAAATGGAAATATGGAAGTAGGAAGTTGAACCCATAAGGGAGGAGTCTGAGTGAGACATAAGGTTTGGGAGTTGTTAACATATAGTGGCATTTAAAACTCTGGTGGATGAGATCCCCAAGTGAATAGGTGAAGAAAGGAGAAAAGCTCCAAAGACTGAGCCCTGGGCACCACAACATTTAAAGCCTGAGGTTGTGGAGACGCTAATGAAGGTGACTGAGAATGGGTGGCTTTTTAGTGGAATATTAAGGAGATTGGGGTGTCCTGGAAGCCAAGGGGGAAATGTGTTTCAGGAGAACAAAGAGATCAGCTGTGTCAAATCATACTAAAAGGTCAAGTAAGATGAGGACCAAGAATTGACCTCTGGATATGAATATGTGGAGGTCCCTGATGATCTTGGTGAAATCAATGTCTTTGAAGGGGCAGAGAGGGTTCAGGGGATCAGGGGAGAAGAGGAAATGGAGACAATATGTTACGCAATTCCTCAATGAGTTCTGATGCAAAGGGAAGAAAGGAAGAGAGACGTTTCGGCATGTTTGCATGATGATGGGAAGGATGGAGTAGACACAATTGACAATGGATGCAGGAGAGAGGGGAGATCAACAAAGGAGCCGGGAGCATTCAAATGCATGAGGAGGCTGCGCTCCATTGCACCCATGGTCAACTTGGTCATAGATGGGAACACAAATGCTTCATCCACGGGAAGGAAAGGAATGGCAGAGCGGCAGGTACAGATGCTGGAAGGTGCTGCCGGTGGCGCAGGGAGGTCGCAGAAACTCTCTTCTGACAGCTTCTGTTTTCTCTGAGAGTAAGCTCACAGAGCAGGTGCTGGAGTTTGGAGACAGATGAAGAGGCATGAAAGAGGAGAGCAGACTGGGGACGGACGAGGGAAAAGCCCCACTCACTGAAACTGGAGAACAGTGGGCTTAGAAAACATCCCAATAAAGTAATTTGCAAAAAGAACAGCAGAATTGAAAGGGGTGAGGGACAAGGGTAGAGTGAAAACTGCTATGTCATTTTGGATAAGTCAGACAATAAGAGCCACAAGTACTAGCCTTGTAGGTGGAGGGGCGATTTGAGCTGATTTACTGAGAACAGTGAATTTGAGTATTTATCGAGAAATTAATAATAATGCCAAGTACTTTACATTAACTAGTTTATTTAATCCTAACAAAACCCAAGTAGCTATTTGTATCATCATCACCAAGCACAGAATCATCTGCTTTAGGTCACACAGATTTAATGGTAGAGCTGGTACTGAATCCAACTCAGTCTGGCTCTAGTGTCCCCACTTCTAAGCTCTCCTTCAACCTACCAGTTAAAAAGTGCTTGAGAAGCTGCGGTCTTGATGTCAGCAAATGGGAATTCAGCAGAGCTTACTGGCAGGATGAGTTCCATGTGGACAAGGCTGGGTAGTCCACCAGGGCACACTTCACTCACTTGTGAAGGACAGAATAAAAGGATATTGTCTCTTTAGAAACAGTGGACTTTCCAGAAGAATTGTATAACTCATGAATATAACTGTTCAGGGTCATAAAGGCACAAAGCCACACACTGCATTTTCTTAAAGCAAAGCATATTTATATTTAGAAACAAACTGCAAAGAGCCAGTGTAGGAAAATCCAGAGGAAAAAGTGTACCCAGGGGCCTATTGTTCATGAAGAGGAACACTGACTACTCCCTGAACTTTGTTAAATATTCAGGTTATTGATATTATAATTCTACTAAGCTAGCATCATTTTAAACCTGAAATCATTAACATTCTTCTCAGTCACCCAAAATGCATACAAAATACAAATCATAACTGATGGATTTAGTAAATTAGGTTTCCACAAGCACTCAAAAACTGACTACTAACTTAGTCTTCTGAGGTGTTCAGGATCATAACTCTCATATCAGATTCTCCTAAATACCTTAAACACCCCCAAAATATCACAATTGTTTAAAGTGTGATTATTACTATTATATTAAAACTATTTACAGAAATACTAATGCCCCTGACTTAAATTTATTTCTCGGTCATCTCTATTTTTATCTTTTACCTATTGTTATTCTTGTTTTTTCCCTGTTCTGGGGGGTTACCTCCTAGAATTGTAGTAATTTTACCAGCTCTGATATATACCTCCTCTGCATAATGCAGTAGCCAATAGCCATTTAAATTATTTAAATTAATTAAACTAATTAAATTTAAATTAATTAAGTTTAATTTAAAATTCAGTCCCCGGCAGTCACATTTCACGTGCTCAATAGCTACATATAGCTGGTAGCTACCATATGGGCAGTACAGATAAAGAAAATTTCCACCATTGAAGATGGTTCTTTTGAACAGAGCTCATCTATACCTTCTTCGGGATGTAGTCATCTTACTAGACTCAGAAGAAGAAACAAACACCATCTCAGAGGAGCTAAGTTTGCAAGTTCTGGGATGTCAACCTATTAGCTCTCAGTTGAGAAACAGGACCTGGTTGCACAGTGCAAGGAGACTCAAACCTGAGCCTCTATTCATTGGCCTAATCTTCTTGTATAATAAAGTTTCACTCATTGCATCAATAGGACTTATTTCATGTAAAATTTGTAATTTTGACATTTGGTATCTTTCCCAGATATGATATACTCTTTAAGTCTCACAAGCTCAGAATTACCTTATTAATTGACTGTCATTGCGATCTATTGACCCACTCTGTGAGTAGTATTGAAATTTTAAGTAGACTTCATCAGACTCTCATTATAATTAGCTAGAACAGCTAGAAGAGAGATAGAATCTGTGCAATGATTTCTGCTGTTTGAAAGACTTGGTTAATTTATCATCTTAGAACTGAATTTGGTCGTACTGTAGACGACCATTGATGCCGAATGATTGCTGACCTTTTGTTTACCTGGATAAGTTGCTTGACCCATGGCTTCAAACAGTCCTTGTTCTTGGTACCATTCTTACATTTTCCAAGATTCTTGGTCTATTCATGTATGTTTGTGTTTGTTCTTTCTTGCTTACACATATTAAAACACTAAATATATTTGCTTTATAACCCAATATATGTTTTAAAAGCATCTGGCCAGGTACAGTGGCTCAAGCCTGTAATCCCAATACCATGGAAGGCCAAAGCAGGTGTATCACTTGAGCTCAGGAGTTTGAGACCAGCCTGGGCAACATGGCGAAACCCCATCTCTACAAAAAATTGCCAGGTATGGTGGCATGCACCTGTTGTCCAGGCAACTCAGGAGGCTGAAGTGGGAGGATAGCTTAAGCCAGGGGGGTGGAGGTTGCAGTGAACTGAGACTGCACCATCGCACTGCCGCCTGAGCAACACAGTGAGACCCCATCTCAAAAAACAAAAAGCACCAAAAACTCTAAATATCAAGTCTTCTGCTTATTGAAAGTAATGAAAATTGGGCATATTCTATTATATCCATCCCTCCTTTTGTATTACAGTTACTTTTTGTACATTTACTTTTAACTTTTATCTTTTGGATATCGTTAGAAACTTATGGACTTCTATTAATTTATTCCAAATAATTACATTCATAATAATGATATGTATTCTTTATGTTCAATTGTTATAACTTATTGAATGGGAGTTTCCTGAAGTCCTTTCAGTTCAAACATATTTGAAATTATTCTTGCATCTGGAAAACAAAGTTTTCCAGAATTATTTTGATTTTTCCTAGTTCTTTAAATAGAGAATGATACTAAAGACCAAAATCTGTGTGCTAGATTGCTATTTCTTCATAGATAAAAGTGTTTTTATCACTGTTGGGCCACTTTTATTAACAGAGCTTAAAAAGATATTTTTTAAGGTCATAACCTCACATTGATTTTTTTCAAACGAACATTTATTTGCTGTACTCTCCTAAAATTATGATGTTTCATTTACCACTAAGACTTACTAACATAACTGAACAAAACAGATTTAAATAGTCTTTCAGAAGGTCATCTTTCCCATAAGAGCCGTTCAGTACAATTTTCAGAAGAAAATAGAATTCTTTTGCTTCCATTATAACAGGCTAGGTTATTTGGACCTAGCAGAGCTTTCAAAGGGCTACTTCCTCAAGCTAAGAGCGAACCAAAGTAAACTATCCCTCATGTACTGGAAGCCCTAATTCACTTCACCTAAGTGGTTCAATTTTTTTAAAGCCATATATTTAATTAAAATAATGCCCTTACACACAAGAAAGAAACAAAACATCTTTGGAGAAAGCCTAGAATGACCAGAAATAAGCAAACAATGGCCCTCAGGCCAAATCCAACCTATGGCCTGTCTTTGTAAGACCCACAACCTAAAAATAGTTTTAATATATTTAAAGTGTTGTCAGAAGAAGAAGGAGGAAAGGAGATGCAGGAAGAAAAGGAGAAGCAACTGAGACTGTATATGGCCTTCAAAGCCTAAAATGCTTATTATGTTGTCCTTACAGAAAATGTCTGCCAATCTCTGTACATGCCTTCACCTTAGGTCACTGAGCAATACATAATCATAAATAAACAAGAGCATAAAAATCAATAAGCCATGAGTAAAATCAACAGATGGCACAGACAACAGAACAAGATCTGCAAATATTTCTGACACTGGAATTATCTGGAAACTCTAGATAATTAAGCTTAATGTTTTTTAAAATAAAAGACAAGGTTTATAAGATGTAGGGGAGAAGAGGAAACTATAGAAACTTCTAACTATGGTATAGAAGATAGGAAAAAGAACCAAATAGAACTTTTGAAAAATAAAACATAACATCTCAACAAATGGGTGGACTTTAGAATTTGACATGTTGCAATGGGAATTTGTGAATTAGAAAATAAGTCAGGAGAAATGCAAAATGGGAAGACAGAGGAGTGGGAGACATACAAAATAGGCTAAGAGATACGGAATATAAAGTGAGATGGTCTAGTAAATGGCTAATGTTTCTTGTTCTAGAAAGAGATGGAAGAGAGAAAATGACTCAGAGAAATATTTCAAGAGAAAATATTTCAAGGTAATTTTCCAGAACTGATAACACCATTCCAAATATTCAGGAAGCCAAGCAAATTCCAAGCAAGACAAATAAATATAAATACACTAGACACATCATAATGAAACTGTCAAACATTAAAGACAAAGAAAGGAGTCTTAAAAGCAACCAGAGAAGACTTTTTTTTCCTGAGACAGAGTCTCGCTCTGTCACCCAGGCTGGAGTGCAGTGGCACGATCTCAGCTCACTGCAATCCCTGCCTGCCGGGTTCAAGCAATTCTCCTGCTGCAGCCTCCTGAGCAGCTGGGATTACAGGCATGTGCCACCACACCCAGCTAATTTTTGTATTTTTAGTAGAGATGCGGTTTCACCATGTTGGTCAGGCTGGTCTCAAACTCCTGACCTCAGGTGATCCACCTGCCTTGGCCTCCCACAGTGCTGGGATTACAGGTGTGAGCCACCGCATCCAGCCCTAAGAGTTGATTTCTAAACAACAATGAAAACCAGAAGACAATAAAATCATGTCATTAATGGCCTGAAAAAAATTGCCAAACTGGAATTATATAGCCAATGAAAATGTTTTTCAAGAACTAGAACAAAATAAAGATATTTCCAAATAAACAAAAACTGACAGAATTTGCCACCAGTGAAATCACGCTAAGAGGAATTAATACAGGTTGTGCTTCAAGCGGAAGGAAAGCGAGCCCAGATGAATAATCTGAGATTCAGGAAGGAATGATGAAACTGATAATACCAAGTGTTGGCAAAGATGTGGAGCAACTGGTACTCTTATACATTGCTAGTGAGAATGTAAAATGATACAGCTACTTTGGGAAAAAGTTTAGTACTTTACTATAAAGCTAAATATGCACTTACTATTCAACCTAGTAATTCTACTCATAGTTGTTTACCCAAGATAAATACAAATATATAACATTTGTAACCAAATGTTACAGTGGCTTTATTTGTAATAGCCAGAAACTGGAAGCAACCAGATCCAACTCAAATGTCTATCATTTGAAGAATGAATAAAAAATGGTGGTATACCCACACAATGGAATACTACTCAGCAGTAAAAAGTAATGAATTACTGATATATGCAACAAAAGGAGTGGATCTCAAAAACATTGTACTGAGCAAAAGAAGGCTGAAACAAGAGGGAATATACTATATTATTCCACTTATATGAAGTTCTAGAAAAGACAAAACTAATCTATAGGAATAGAAAACAGATTAGTGGCTACTTAAGGCCAAGAGTAGAGGGCAATTGACAATAAATGGCACAAGGGATATTTAGGGGTGATGGAAAGGTTATCTTAATTGTGGTAGTGATTACATGGGTGTAAATATTTATCAAAACCTATCAAACTCTACACTTTAAATGGATACATTTCACTGTATGTAAATTCTACTACAATAAAGTTGTTTGAAAATAAAACAAAATGATGGCGCCAACGAACATCAGATACCTAGAAATAAATGTAACAAATGTGCAAGTCCTCCACACTGAAAACTATACATGAGAAAAATTAAAGACAAAAGAATGAGATGGGATATTAAATATTACACAAATTCTTTAAAGCTCCTTCCATTAAGAAGCCAATTCTATTGTCCTACCTTTTGAATCTGGGTGGCCTTGTGATTTTCTTTGACAAACAAAATGTGGTGGAAAAGATGTTGTATGAATTTCAGAGTAGAGGCCTCAAGAGACCACCTTTGACCTCTTGGAACAGTACTCTGAGACTACCATGTTTAAAAAAAACAAAAAAACTGGCCTACGCAGGATAAGAGGCCACATGAAGGACAACCAAGAGACCCCAGCTGACAGCCTGCACCAATTGCCTGATGTATGAGTGAGGCCATCCTGGACCCTCCAGTCCAGCCAAAACTCTAACTGAATACAGCCACAAGAATGAGCCCCAGTGAAACCACCAGAGGAAGTGCCCAGCCAACCCACAGAGTCATGAGAAATAATAAATTGTTGTTTTAAGCCACTACATTGTAAGGTAGCTTCTTACACAGAAATAGATGATTTTTAGAAGTGATATACTATGTGCATGGATTGAAGACTACATATTTTAAAGACATCAATTATTACCAAACCAATTTGTAGATTTATTGCAATCCCCAAAAAATACCAATGGGTTAACTCTGTGACAATATATTTCTAAAAACTATTTGGAAATCTCAAGTGCCAAAAGTAGGTATGTTATTCTTATAGAAAGACAAAGGTTAAGAAAGTGCTTTATGAGTGATCAAGATTTCTTATAACAATACAGTAATTATGAGAGTGTGGTAATAGTGCAAAATTTTAAAAATAAAACAATGGAATAGAATAGAGAGTCCAGAAATGTGTGTGTGTATGTGTGTGTGTGTGTGTGTGTGTGTGTGTGTGTGTCTGTATGTCTGTGTAGACAACTGGTTAATGATAAAGGTGACATTGCAGAGAATTGGAGAAAGAAAAACTTTTAAAATAAACAATATGGAGTTAATTGAATACTCATATAGAAAAATAACCAAACTCAATCCCTACCTCATAACCATATACAAATATGAGTTTCAGATGGACTGTATATATAGATGTGAATGGCAACAATAAAGCTTTTAAAAGTGAATATGGGGGATAGCTTTACAATATTGGGGTAAAGAAAAATCTTCATAAACTGGATATAAAAAGATTAACCGTAAAGAAAAAACTACAATTCAATGACATAAATATTAGGAATATCTCCTCATCCTCAAAATATACCATTAAGAAGTCTGGATGTCATGGCTCACACCTGTAATCCCAGCACTTTGGGAGGATGAGGCAGGTGGATCACTTGAGTCCAGGAGTTTGAGACCAGCCTTGGCAACATGGCAAAACCCCATCTCTACCAAAATACAAAAATTAGCCCAGCGTAGTGGCATGCACCTGCAGTCCCAGCTACTTGAGAGGCTGAGGTGGGAGAATTGCTTGAGCCCGGAAGGCAGAGGTTGCAGCGAACCAAGATCGTGCCACTGCACTCCAGCCTGGGTGACAGAGTGAGACCCCATCTCAAACAAAAATAAATAAATAGATGTAGATAGATATAGATACCATTAAGAGAGTGAGAAGATAAGCCACTGGGTGGAGAAAATGTTTGCAAAAATATAACTGACAAAGGGCTTGTATCCAGAACATTTACAAATCAATAATAAAAATAGAAAAGTGAAATAGAAACAGTAAAATAGAAATACAGACAAAAGAATTAAATAGGCACACCACAAAAGAAGAAAAAGAAATGGGCAACAGCATACAAAAAGATACTCAACATCATTCGTGATCAGGAAAATACAAATCAAAACTACAATGATATGCTCCTACATGACCTACAACCCCACAATACTACTCCACCTAGATATATACCCAACAGAAAGTACTAGGTTGGGGCAAAAGTGATTGCAGTTTTTGCCATTACTTTTAATATATATGGCTGCACCAAGAAACATGTATAAAATGTTCCTGACAGCTTTGCCTGAAATGACCAAAAACTGGATACAACCTAAATATCCATCAACAATAGAGGAAATAAATACATTAGGGTAGATCCAAACAAAGGAATATTAAGCAGTAATGAAAAATGAATCCACTATGGTTACATAGAACAAGATGGAAAATTTCACAAACATAATGTTGAATTTTAAAAAGCTATGCCCAAAAGAATAAATTATTTTCTTCTATATACATATTAAAGTTTTTTTAATAGGCAAAATGAAACTTTAGAATTTAGGAATATGAAGTTGGGTAGTAAAGTTTTAAATAAAAGCAAACGCAAGATTACCATAAAAGTCAGGATAATAGTTACCTTTGGGTGAAGGGAAGGAGCAGTAATTAAGAGGAGATAAAGTGGGGTTTTGGAGAGGGGAAGAGACTAGCAATTGTTTAGTTTTTGACCAGGCTAGTCATTACACAAATATTTGCTTTGTGATAAATAACTAAGTTTTATACTTTTATGCACTTTTCTGCAAGTGTGTTATATTTCACAATAAAATTATGTTAAGGAAAATAAAATGAAGGGCATCAGACTTTACACCAGCAAGTCTGGATGATAGAAGATAATAAAGCAATGCCTTCAAAATTCTAAGGAATTATTTTCAGAGTCAATTGTTACAAATAAACAAGATATTTATCAAATGTACGGGTAGTATAAAAATATTCTCAGACATACATGGACCAAAAAAATTACCTTCCACATGCCCTTTCTAAGAAAGCTTTTTGAAGATGTGGTTTAGTAAGACAAGAGGTAAACCAAGAAAGAAGCATCCATTTCTGGAAATAGGGATGTAATCCCTGAATGCAGTGAAAAGTTCCAGGGTAACATCAGTACAGCTAGTCTAGACTGAAGCAGGAGAACGAGGTTCTAAAACCCTAGAAGGGAATTCTCTTGGGAAACATTTTTTCTCCAATAGAATATCTGATATTAGTAATAGTTTAGAAAGATAGAGTGAAAGAAAAAGAAAGGCCACTTAAAAATTTAAATTCAGTTGGGAAAATGAAAACCATAGCGCACCATTTGGCTATAATGGAACAAGGTCTTTGTTATAATAATGTAAACAGTCTTAATAATGTAAATAATTTTGTTGATCTTCAATTCTAAAATTCATCTAGAGTTAAAACATGGATATTATAGTTATAGAATAAACATCACTGACCTTGACAATATGCAAGTTAAAGTATATACAGAACTTGGGGTATGAGAGAAGGAAGAAGAGAGAAGGAAAGAGTACAGACACTAATACCCTCATCTTACAAAGAGGAGAATCAAAAGGTTCTAGCTACGTTTGATAAAACAAGAACTAAAGGCATAGCCTCCCTGGTCTATTCCCTGTTTCCTCCCTTCACCCTGTCTTTCGCCCTCCTCGCATTACCTCCTCCCTTCAGTGCCTCAAAATGTCCCACTGCCTCTCTGCTCAAGGTCTTTGTGCACGCTGTTCTCTCTGCCTGGGATGTTCGGTCCTCTTTTTTGCTCGTTTAACGATCTTTATCCTCAGTCTCACTTTGAACATCAGCTCCTCAGAGAAGCCTTCCTTTAATGCCCAGGCTTAATCAGTTTCTCCTAAACCCTCAGAGTCTACCACACCTTCTTTGTCATTGATCAGGTCAGAATTATTCATCTATGTGCGCGTCAGTCATCTTTGCCACAATAATGCTGCATAACAACTACAACCAAACCTAAGTGGCATACAACAATAAAAATTTGTTCTAAGAAGCCTGTGGGTCCATTTGGATAGTCCTGATCTGAGCAGGGCTTGGTGGGACTCACCTGAGCATATGCAGTCAGCTGCTGATCTTGGCTGAACCCTTTCATGGGTCTGAGCCTTGGCTGGGACAATCTCTCTTTCTCCAACAGGATCCCAGAATTGTTCTCAGTGCCAGCTTTCCAGGAGAACCAACAGATGGACACAAGGCCTCTTGAGATCCAGGCTCAAAACTGGCACACCATCACTTTTGCCACATTGTGTTAGCCAAAGCAAGCGCAAGGCTAGCCCAGATTCAGGGAATGGGAAATAGACTTCACCTGCTTGCTGCTGGGAGCACTGCAAAGTCACACTACCAAGGGTACAGATACCGGGAAGGGGGAGAGGAACGTGGAGGACTGGGTCCATTTTGGCAATCAACCTACCATAGCAGGATTTATTTGATTAATGCCTGTCTCCCCAAGAAGACTATAAAAGCATGATAAGGTCAGGAAGCATGCTTTGTTTGTGCACTGTTTTATCCTTGATGCCAGCACAAGTGTCTGACCTATAATAGTTACCCAATGACGATCTTAAATCTGTGTCTGATAATTCTAATATCTGAGCTTCCATGTTTCCATTATCTGTTTTCTTCTGATGGATGTCAGTTATATTATCAGGTTTACTCACATGCCTGATTTACTTTGATTTGATATCCAATTTTGTAGTAGAAGAATTGTTTATACGCATAACTTGAGGTCTCAGATGATCGTATCTTCCACTAGAGAAGATTTATATTTGCTTTTGCCAGTTGCCTGAGGGGCACTAGCAATACAGGACTATCATCATCCAGTGGCAGGAACTGAGATTTTTCCGGGCCACCGAGATGACTGGAAGCTGAGCCGCAGTCTGGGTAAGGCCTGATTTAGCTCTCGGATACAACAGACCATTTTTTTTAACATGTCCAACCTTTCTTGTTGTCCTTAGCCAGACAGTTGACCCTTCTATTCCTAGAGGTGGAAATTCTCCCTCAATAAATATTCATTCAGTAAGATGCTAGATAAATCTAATGGCCTCCATTCTTGGCCTTTTTGCAATATTTAATATTATAGGAGGAATGAAAACGTTGCAGTTTTCAAAGATGCCTGCAGCTGTTTCTGCATTCTAGGGGTGGCAGCAAAATTCATCTTTGGGAGAAGACTGCTCTTTTGTTTGGGAAAATGTTTTAATGAGTCTCTTGAGTGTGCAAAGGTGAGCTGAGAAATTAGTCTGGAGGGAGAGGTTGAAACAATGAAGAGATACTGTGCAGCTAGAAAATGCCAAAAGGTTGTCTTCCTAGCACAGAGGTTGTAACAATGCAAACTAGATTTTTGCCTTCTTGAGTGGGGGCAATTGGGGATTTGGGACCCCAGGATTGGAGAAAAGACATTCTGGGTTTAGCATGCTCTGCAGTAGGAAGGAGCCGTAGAGCTCCTGTGAGAGGGAGTGGCTGGTCCTGCCCTATGATCTCTCTGTGTTAAGGACACTCAGATCTCTGCTCCTTTGTTATCCTACAGCTGGTGTCTGCGGTACTGAAGGGAACTAAGAGATGAGCCTGTGTCCACACTGGGACAGACTCATCAGGGGAATGTGACCTTTCTCATGCCATGCCTTCCTCTGGAGCCAGCATGAGGGTGTAGCAGCATCTTAATGGAGGAAGGTGGTCCCCACATGCCAGCAGCCCAGAGCAGTGGATCAGAGCTGGCAGCTGCAAATGGCACCCAATCTATAAGCATCAGCCATTAACAACTCCTGTCATCCTCCCAGTTACTCCCCTAATCCTGCCCATTTTACTCCTTATGTAATTCTTGAATTTTTCCCCTCTTCTCCAGCCCTTCAGGTCTCCTCAGGTCTTGCCTAGACAACTGCAATAGCCTTAAACCAGCCTTCAGTTTCTTCTGCTTCTAGTTCATTATTATAGCTGCTAAGATGATTTTTTTTTTCAAAACATAGATCTGGTTGCAAGCTCTCCTACGCAGAATCCTTCTGTGCCTACGGGGTAAAGTCTCAAATCTGACAGATGGCAGACAAAGCTATCACCATCTAGCTCTAACTTACATGTCAGATCTTTCCTAGCTTAGCTTCCTCCACTCCCACATCATGCTCTCATGGTACATGGTGACAGAGTGTAGTGGTGAAGCCCAGGCTCCAGAGAGCCGGGCTGCCAGGGTTCAAATCCCACCTCTGTTCCTAACAAGCACTGTGATCATAGGCAAGTGAGCCAATCTCATCTGTACATAAGATTGTGTGAGGATCAAGTGACCCAATATATCTAAAATCTAAGAACAGTGCCTCGTGGTGCCTCATTAGTATTTGCTAGTGTCATCATCGTTACTGCTATTCCCCACACATTCCTATTTACTATCAATCTATTTTTTTCCCTCCCAGCCATTGAGACGGAGTCTCGCTCTGTTGCCCAGGCTGGAGTGCAGTGGTGCGATCTCAGCTCATTGCAACCTCTGCCTCCCGGGTTCAAGTGATTCCCCTGCCTCAGCCTCCCAAGTAGCTGGGATTACAGGCACCTGCCACCACATCTGGATGATTTTTGTATTTTTAGTAGAGACGGGGTTTCACCATGTTGGCCAGGCTGGTCTGGAACTCCTGACCTCAAGTAATCTGCCGGCCTCGGCCTCCCAAAGTGCTGGCATTATAGGCATGCTCCACCGCACCTGGCCACTATGAAGCTACTTCTAATATTCCATGCCCACCTCCTTCCTCTCAAGAATGCTTGGCATCCACTTATCATTTGGGATCACAGTTCTCTTCTCACATGTCTGTCTCCCGTCAAGTTATGCATTACAAGCAAGCAGTGCCCCCATCTTACTATCTCTGTTTCCCCAGTGCCTGGCACATGGTAGATGTGCTTTACATATCTGTAGAACAAACGTTCCTCTCCCATCCTGGATGGTAGAATCCCCAAAATGGGATCACATCTCAGTCATCTTTGTGTTCCTCAGTTCTTAATCCAGCACGTTGAATTTCATCCTCCGCCTGCTGCCAACACTCTCCAGTGATCCCTGTGAGAGCCACAGGTCTCCAACCAGTCTCTGAACAATTCATTTCTGATCTTAGACACTGGGTCATGCCTGGTGAACACCAGAACAGTTAGTGTGTGACCTATCACCCGCTCTTGCTGTGTGCAAACCCTCATACTGCTATGTCAATGTCTTATAGCCCTAGGCAGGGAATTCGGAGAGTGTTTGCAGGATTGACACAAGGAGAAAATGGGCAACTTTTGTTCTGACCCCAGTTCCCACAGAATTCCAATATGCATATGATTTACTCAAATAGGGCTTGGGTTAGCAAAAGTCTAGAGAATTTGATGGGTGCATGGAAGCAGAACCAAATGGTCTTTGGCAACAGAACACTTCATTGCAAAGGAAAACATCCACTTAAATAAAAGATAAAACAAAACAGCCTGCCAATTTTATGACCTTGAATACTGCGTATGATCATCTCAAAAGAATGGTCAAGAATATCCATTTCTAACACATTTTTGGGTCTACTGAAACTGAGGAACAAGACAAGTTCAGCAAACACTGAAAATATTAATTGCTTGGTTCTGCCAGATGGCCTGACTCTAATGTTAAATCATCTCCCATCAGTGAGCTGGTGGAGTACACACTAGCCCACCGGCTCCCCTGAAGATGGTTTATTATGGATGGTGACCAGTGTCAATCTGTGTTTTCTATCACCTAAGAGTCAGAAGACTGATGACCCTGGCTTTTTTTAAAACCAATTACCCAACATTTCAAATGTCTTTTACCTGCCTAGGAACTGGATAGGAGAGACCCAGGGTGTTTTGAAAATCATTTCTTAGGGCTGGGTGTGGTGGCTCATGCCTGTAATCCCAGCACTTTGGGAGGCCGAGGCAGGCAGATCACAATGTCAGGAGATCAAGACCATCCTGGCTAACACGGTGAAAACCCATCTTTATTAAAAATACAAAAAAAAAAAAAAAAAAAAAAAAAAAAAAAAAACTAGCTGGGTGTGGTGGTGCACGCCTGTAGTCCCAGCTACTCGGAAGGCTGAGGCTGAAGAATCATTTGAATCTGGGAGGCGGAGGCTGCAGTGAGCCAAGATTACACCACTGCACTCCAGCCTGGGTGACAGAGTGAGACTCCGTCTCAAAAAAAAAAAAAGTCATTTCTTAAAGAGAAATACCAAGAGAGGCCACAGAGACAGGAGGACTAGCTGCTCACGGGCACTGGGAGGAGACAGTGCTTTAGAGCAACCACCCCATTCCTGGGTCTTGTGCCAGCTGGGAACAATGTTGTCTGAGCACCGATGCTAAGATGGGATTTTAGTAAACCAAATCACAAGATCCCAGAGCACATCCCAGAGCACCAGTGTGCTCATTTCCTGTGGAGATTACTCTTCCCAGTCCCTGGCCTGGCTTCCCAAAGGCTCTGAAATGCAGGCTTCATGGAACAGAAGGTGGTCACAGAAAGGTGTCTTCAGCCTGTATTGGGGGGTATCTTAGGATCCCCTCAGACTTGAGCAGCTCAGGTCTCAAGTCTTAGGAGGCTCAGGGGTAAACCCCTCCATCTCTGTCTATTAATCAGGGCCACCAGCGATTGTCTCCACTCCCTTTATCTTAGTATGTTGTTCACCTGCCTACACAAAGAGCTTCAGGCAGGGAAACAGGATGGCCGGAGGACAGGGTGAGGGGGCACCTGTTTCTTGTAACTTCTTTTTAACTTCTCAAATTTTATGCCATATATAACATATTCAGAAAATAAATATAATTAGAAAAAGAATACTCATACCCTTGGCCTTGTGAGCAAGTGGGGAAAAGCATATGCCCTAAGGAAGGGCATAGTCCCAGTGTTTGCCAGAGCCCAGGAAAAAGGCATGTGGACCCTCTTGGGATGTCCAATTGCCAGGGCCTTGTAACCCTGAGGCTGCTGTGGACAGCTCCTGCCTGAGAAGGAAGCTGACACCCAGGAAAGCAGGATGCAGAGAGGGAGTCCTCATGACAGCATTGGAGCACCTCCATCTACCCTCCCTCCCACTTTCCAAGCACAGAAACCTTTTCTGCTCTAAAAATAAATAAATAGAATTTGTCGTATAACAATGCAGCAGAGAACTCCTGAGCCCATATAGAGGGTCATCTGCACAACCTCTAGGGGATTCGGCACCAAAAAAAGCAGCAGGAGGGCCAGGTGTGGTGGCTTATACCTGTAATCCCAGCTCTTTAGGAGGCCAAGGTGGGCAGATCACTTGAGGTCAGGAGTTCAAGACCACCCTCGCCAACATAGTAAAACCCCATCTCTACCAAAAACACAAAAATTAGCCTGGCGTGGTGACACACACCTACAGTCCCAGCTGCTAAGGAGGCTGAAGCAGGAGAATCACTTAAACCCAGGAGGCAGATGTTCCAGTGAGCCGAGATCGCACCACTGCACTCCAGCCTGGGCGACACAGCAAGACACTATCTAAAAACAAACAAACAAACAACAAAAAAAAATACAGCAGGAGAAGTGCTCAGGCCTTTTGGGGTCAGAGACATCTAGAACTGAATCCTGGCCTGATCAAATTGTTTATTAAACATAGAATCGGGGCAAATGACTGGGCTTTTCAGAGCTTTGTTTTTTTTTTAGATTATAGGCTGGGACTAATAATGGTGTGTGTCCGCTAGAATGTAAGTTCCAGGAGGGCAGGGGCCTGCCCTGTCTGTCTTCTTTACTGTCTACATCTCAGGGCCTGTACAAGGCCTGGTACAGGTGCTCGTTAAACAGCTTTTCAATGAATGAATGATGAGTGTCTCATAGGGTTGTTGTCAGGATTAAACAAGAAAATGCATGTCAGGTACTTAGAAGAGCAAGTAGCCCTTGTTGAACATGAAACAAAGATTGCCTTTTATTGTTATTACTGATTTGGGTAGAAATTTGTGGAGATTGGGTTTTTTTTTTTTCATTTTGTAACTTGTTACTGAAGTATAACACTCATGCATAAAATTACAAAATTATTTATATTATTTGGCCCAACCCCCACCAATTTCTCTTTGTCCCAGGGCACTTCAGCCAGGTCATCCCTCCTGCGACATCTTGTTCTGTCCATCTACACACTTGCCATACCTCAGGCTGATTGGTTCAGTTAGATGGTGGCCAGTTGGCTTCACTTCCCCAAAGGAGAAATCGATGTGGGAAAGTCTTTGTTCCCTGCAGATACCAGTTATTGGAGAGCTGATAGTAGTGCATGTCAGTGTAGCAACGTCAAGAACACGTCTTAGCTCCAGGGCCTTCGTGATTCCCAAGTGCTGCCTGCAAAGGCAGCCACCAAGCCTGATGGTTTTCTCATCTCCTCTTCTAAATGGGGATCCTGCCTTTCATCATGATGATGCCAACAGCTATTAGAAATAAAACACCAAACAGATAGGGATAAACTAGGGAGTGGTCTTTTGAGTTACTCATTCATTCATTGCACATCCGCTTAGTGTTATCACTGAGTTACATGCTTAGCATAAAGCCATAAACAAATTATAGTCTCCGCCTTGGAGGATTAATTGTCTTATAGGCTAAATAGATACTGAATGAATCATTACAGATCAAACGAGTGTTGTGAGAAGGGAGGTCTGGAGTTCTTTGTGCATATGGAGAGGAAAGGGCTAACTTAGCGGAGTGAGAGTGAGGGATGAGGGAAGGCCTTCTCGACTGTCCAAGCTGTCCAGAGACAAGAATGGTGGGATCAGGTGAGGCTGCTTTGGGGACCACCTTTCTGAGGAGTCTTCCTGGGCCACTGCTAGCCTGCATCGCTGAGCCACATTTGAGCAGTACCAGGCCACACACAAGACATTCTGGGTGTCTTGAATGTCCCTGAGCTATGCCTGGCAGGCAGTTGGGAGTTCTGACTCTGAAGGAGAAGCCAGGATGCCACTCACACCCAAAGTTCACTGGGCCTGCCCGCCTCTCACTCGAGGGACTTTCCCTAGTACCGGGTGGCAAAACCGTCCCTGTGACATGTCCCCATCCTTCCTCCTCTATGCAGAGTCCTCCAAGCTTTGGATTCTGGCACGTAAAAATGCAGCTCCAGATATTCCAGGAAAATGCCTGCTCTCTCCAAAGTCTGCCTTTCTCCACTAGAGTCAACAAACTTTTTTTCTGTAAAGGACCAGATGGTAAATATTTTAAGCTTTGTGGGCCACACAGTCCCTGTCACAGCTGCCCAGCTCTGTTGTGGTAGCATCAAAGCAGCACAGACTCTATCTGAGCACACAAGCGTGGCTGTTTCCAATAAAACTTTATTGACTAAAACGCCACAGGATCTGACCCACACGCCACAGTCTGCCAACCCTGTTCTAGACTATTGTCTTCTGCAGAGTTTTAAAGTCTAATTCCATGCTCAGCAATGTGTTCTTTGTTTTAGGAGGTATTCCCCCTCCTTTCCCTGGAGCAGCTCGGCCTCCCAGCCCAGCTTTAAGGGCTGCAAGAGGGGCAAAAAGCAAATTACTAAGAAGGGAAAAGATATCAGGATGTTTTTCAAAGCATTATTCTGCAACGTATTACAGCCTGAAAAAAGTATTAATACTTATGGCACATAAAGTGCAATCCTGTCTGAGTCTACCTATTGGGATAAAAGCCTGGACAGCCAGGAACTAGTCTTCCCACTTCCGTTCATGCTTCCATTCAACCTCACTCTCTTGCCAAGATGACTTCTGACAACACATTTTTGATCACGTCACTCTTCTGCTTAAAGCCCTACAATGGCTCCTCATTGCTCTTATGATAAAGGATCTATAGGACAATAGAGTTCCTATCCCACTTCTTTTTTGCCACCAAAGCCCAGTGTGCCTGGGCCCAAGAGATGGATCATGGTGGTCTATGCCAATCATGGCAATCCTATGCCAGTGATTGGCCTGGGGGAGGACCAGTGTCACAGTTCTGGTCAATAATACACAAGCAGAGGTCTGCTGGGGACATTTGGGAAAGTTCTTCTCTGATAAGACAGCCGGCAAGGAGAAGGTTTGTTCATGGCCCCTTCTTTTCTATTTGGGAAACAGGAATATAGGGATGGGATGCCTGGAGCTGCAGTGGCATGCTGGATCATACTGCTCCTACACTGTGCCTTAGAGAGAATGAAATTCACCAAGAGTCCCTTGGGACCCCTGATGTCTCAAGTGCTCAACGTATATCCCAGACTGAGCAAAGTTTCTAAGACAGCCCAGACCAAATTCAGTTCTTAATGGTGCGGGAAGCAGGAAGAGGAATGGGTAAGAGCAGGTCTCCCCACCTCATGGCCGACAGGAGCCTTTCTTCCTCTGCTGCTGGTGCACAAAGGATCAATGTTATCCTCCCAGGAGATAAGTTTGATGGATGGTCACCCAAGCCTGCCCACTGATGGCAAGTCGGACCTATGGGTAAGCACTTAGGAAACTTCTACTTGAATTAACATGAGGAGCTGCAGAAGTACTTGGTTTTATTTACACAGCTCAGCACCTAGATAGATTTTCAAGATTTTGAGCTCTTGTGTAACATGTCATGCCGCCAAAGTTGCTATTAACTCTTGGGCAATTTGCAACATATCCTAGACGAGTCTTGGCTTCCAGTGGTCACCCTCCAAGCAGGCACTGCTGGGTTCTTGGAATGTGGTCAAAGAACTCAACAATCAAGGACTTCTCCAAATATGTGTGTAAAGTTGTGAAAGCTGTGCCTTCTCCCCACCTTCTGCCAGCAGCATGGGGCATTACAATGGGCAAGAGCCAAGGGGAGTTCATTTTTCTTTGCCTTCCTGTGAAGAAAGCACCTCTTTCTTCAGACTTACTGTGAAAGGAAGCATTGTTGGAAGAAACTGTCAATAATCTTGCTGTCTGTCAAGGAGAAGTTGGAATCCAGGTTTTCATGGGGTTCTCTCCTTATGTCCCCTGAGTGCCCCCCACCTTCTTCCTTTCTGTTCTACAACCACCCCGTGGGACAGAACACAAGAATGCCAATCAAGCTGGGATTTCTCCTGGGAGAAGAAAAAGCCTAATAGAAAAGAGAAACATACAAAAAAACCAAATCTTTCAACTCATATTTGTATGTGTATTCAGAATGAGAAAAGCCAAGATTTCTAAAATGGAGTGTCCCCCAACCCCAGGAACTTACTATTAAGTAACACTGAGTGGTGACCATGTGTCCAGTCCTGTTCTAAGTGTTCATCACATAATAACTCATTTAATCATCACAACAAGCGTATGAAGTCAATGCTATTATCATCATCATCCCCATTTTACAGATGTGGAAACAGGCACTGAGAGAGTTCATGCCCAAGATTACAGTTAGGAAGTGACAGAGCTCCAATTTGACCTGGAAGTCTGATTCTAGAGCCTTCTGTAATCTCTTAGGAGGGGAGATAAAACATCAAAGACAGAGTGAGCTATTTAAAATGTGAATTTGATCATGTCACCCCACCACTTAAAATCCTTTCAATGGCCTCACACTGCTTTTAGGATGGAGGCCAACTTCTCACCCTGCCAGCCTCCCTGGCCTCCCTGCACTCCACCATGTGGCCTCTGGTCTGTGTCTCAGATGTGCCATGCTCCCTCCCACCACCCAAATTTGGTATTAGCTGTTTCCTCTACATAAATCCATTTGCCCTTCTCCTCCCCCTCCTCCTCCTTCTCTTCTCCTTCCTCTTTTCTCCCCTCCTTCTATTTCCTCTTTCTCCTCCCCCTCCTCCTTTTTCTCCTTCTCCAGTTCTTCACTCTAGCATCTCTTCCTTAGGTGAGCCTCCCCTGACACTTGATCTTTGACCCTTGTCTACCCCACATACTGTCATGGCCACACCACTGTCCCTGTCAGTGTGCCACCACACTGATTCATGGTCATTTGAGTAAACTTTGTTCCTTCTCCGCACCAGCACTGTCCAATAGAAATATCATATGAGCCAAACAGGACATCTGACATTTTTCCAGTAGCCATATTTTAAAAAGTAAAAGAAACAAATGACATTTATTTTAACAATGTATTTTATTTAACCCAACGTATCCAAAATATGGTCATTTCAACATGTAATCAATAACAAAATTATTAATAAGATACTTTCCCTTCTTTTTATTATCCTAAGCATTCATACCCTTAGGATACATGTCAATTCAGACCAGCTGTGCTCCAAGTGTCCAGGATACACATGTGGCTTGTGGCTATGCTATTGAACAAGGCAGGTCTCATCCCATCACTGTTTTTCAGAAAGGTCAAGTGTGTGGCCGTCTCTCTGGTGATAGAACCGAGGTCAAAGCAATCAGTCCAGTGGCTCTCACCCAGCAGGGATTCCTACCCCAGGGAACATTTGGCAACATCTGGAAATAGTTTCGATTGTCTTGATCAGAAAGTGAGAGGGTGGGATCGGCTATTGACATCTACCGGTTAGAGGCCAAAGAAGCTACCAAACATCCTAAAACGCACAGGACATCCCCTCACAATGAAGACTGATTCCACCAAAGCGGTCCAGGGCTAGATGAGCTCTTGGACTCCGCATGTGTTCATACGCTCATTCATTCATTTCCCCCCGCTTCTTGGGGCCTGTTCCTTCTGTCGTCTACACTGTCAGCTGTGCTGGTTAAAGACTAACAGCCTACTTAATGCCGAGCCTGCCTTTATCCATCAGTCCAGTAGACAGGTTCTTCCCGACAGACTGCCAAGCCAGGAGGGGAGAATTCCACATCTGCCTCCTGGAGGGGTGTTGGGAGCCAACTGGCATTTGCCTTGGGTTGGAATCCACCCCCAACAACACACAGACACACCAAGAGGCTGGAGAGTGAGATTTAGTCATTATTTCCATTGCAAACCATTTCTGAGCATCATTAAAAATCTTCACTTGAGTTTGTGCAAGGAGGGCAGGTGCACCAGACCGTGAACAAGCACATTGTCAGCCTGGCCTTGTCTGCCCAGTCGGCCTCAACAGGAGACAAGCTAGAATATGCATGAGACAGCCCGACTTCCCCAGGGGAGCTCGAAAGTGACGCGAACCCCGCCTGGGCTCACCCAGGGCTCTGCCTGCCTCGACAACCCTTCCCTCCCTCAGCTCTGTGCCAGGGAGGCGGGCACGACTGACAGCATCCACTGAAACACATTTATCCTTTAACGCCCTCCTCATTTTAGGAGATTTAGGGAACACAGCTCACTTTCTAAAAGGGCCAGAACAACACGTTTGTAAGCAGAAAACTGGATTGAGATTTGAAGGGATTTCCCCAAGCCCTCCTGGCTCTGAGCAGCCCTTCACCACCCCATTGTCTTTTGGGGGATATTTCCTTACACAGGCTCTGACCAGGCCCTGAGAAAACAAAGTGAAAGTTTCTAGTACAGGGCCTGGCCTATATTGGAGATTTTATTTTAAAAATAACTTTTTAGTTGACAGCAACCTAGAAGGAGCCTGAGTTGAACCATCTGGGACCTCTATGAGCTCCCAAACTCCTTACTCTTGGCACACGAGACACGACTTTTGTTTTTTACAGCTTTGTTGAGGTATAATTAACATGTAAACACCGAAGATAATTAAAGCGCACAATCCGATAAGTCTTGACAAATGTGTACACCTGTGAAACCATCACCACAATCAAGATGGTGAGCAAATCCATGGCTCCTAAAGCTTCCCCAAGGCCCTTGGGAATCCCTCCCACTCTCCCCATACCCAGGCAAGTACCCATCTGCTTTTGGTCAGTGATATGGTTTGGCTGTGTCACCACCCAAATCTCATCTTGAATTGTAGTTCCCATAATTTCCACATGTCGTAGGAGGGACCCAGTGGGAGGTCACTGAATCATGGGGGCAGGTCTTTCCTGTGCTGGTCTTGTGACAGTAAATAAGTCTCACAAGATCTGATGGTTTTATAAAGGAGAGCACCCCCTGCACACCTTTCTTGCCTGCCGCCATGTAAGGCATGACTTTTCTCCTCCTTCGCCTTCTACCATGATTGTGAGACCTCCCCAGCCATGTGGAACTGTGAGTCAGTTCAACCTCTTCCCTTTGTAAATTACCCAGTCTCGAGTATGCTTTTATTAGCAGTGTGAGAACAGACTAATACACTCAGTATGGGTTGGTTTGCATTTTACATAATTTTATATAAATAAAATCAGACATCTACTCATTTTTTGCCTGGCTTTTTTCATTCAGCATAACTATTTTGAGTTTCATCCATGTTATTGCATGTTCTCTTTTATTACTGAGTAGTATTCCATCGTATGGATATACCAAAATTTGTTTATCCATTTACTTGATGGGCTATTACAAATAAAGTGGCTGTGAACATTCATGCACCAGTCTTTGTGTGGACATGTCCTTCCATTTCTCCTGGAGAGAAACCTAGGAGGATTTATCTAGAAATGGCTAGGATCATAAGGTAGGTCTAAATTTAACTTTTTAAGGAATTGCTAAACTGTTTCCCAAGGTGGTTGTTCCATTTGATGTTCTATCAGCATTGTATGAGAGTTCCAGATGCTCCACATTCTTGCCAGCTCTCAGTGTAGAGCGTAGTCGGACTTTTTAATTTTAATATTCTAGTGGGTGTGCAGTATCTCAGTATGGTTTTAATTTGCATTAAGACCATGAGGATTGATGTGCCTTCCATGTGCTTATTTGTCATCCATTTATCTTCTTTGTCGAAGTGTCTGCTCAAATCTTTTGCTCATTTTTTTTTAGTGTGATTATTGTTTTCTTGTTATTGCCTTTTAAGAGTTGTTCATGCATTCTGGACCTAATTGTTTTATCAGCTATGTGATTAGCAAAATATTTTCTCCCATTCTGTTGCTTGTCTTCTCATTCTCTTAATAGCATCTTTTGAAGAATAGGAGTTCTTAACTTTTAATTTAAAAAAGAATATTCACCTTATTGGGAGGTGGTTTCCCAGATGTTGGGGTATATACTAGGATGCTCCACCAGATGATAACAGTGAGTTCTCTCATCCCAAACCAACCTGCCCCCTTGCTGAGCAACCTGCATCCAAATGGAGCCTCCCAGGAAATTTCTAAGTGAGACCTCTCTGTGCCTCAGTTTCCTCATCTGTAGAATGAAGATGATAATAGATAATAATACCCGCATCATAGGGCTGAGGAAGGAATTAGTTAATAGAGTTAAAGCTCTTGGAACCATGTCTGGCACTTAGTAAGTGCTATGTAAGTGTTACCTTGGTATTGTTACTTCACACTACAGATTTCCACGCAAAACAAATATATCACCTTGGGGCAAAATACCTGGACAGTCTTCTTTACTTTGTTTTATGTTTAATAAGTATCTGTTTATTTCTTATGCCAGTCCTGGGCTGAATGCTTACCTCATTTACCCACTAAAACAACCCTAAGAAGAAGGTACAATCATTATCCCCATTTTACAGGTGAGGAAACTGAGAGCCAGCATGGTTAGGGAGTGGCTAAGCTAGAACTGAAACTAAGTTCCTCTGGCCCAAACACATGCTGGAAACCATCAGTCCGCAGTGACTGTCCTCCAGGAAAGAGTGGGCCCATGAGTGGAATGGGCCACTCCTAGAATCACATGGGGCTGCTGCCTCAGGGCTTTGCTTGTCCACTCGTCCAGGTGTGGAATTACAAACACACCAGAGAACACAAAAGGAAGGTGCAGGGACATCTGCCATGTTCTCCAGGCCTTTTAGAAAACATGCAGTTTGGCGGGCGCGGTGGCTCACTCCTGTAATCCCAGCATTTTGGGAAGCCAAGGCGGGCAGATCACGAGGTCAGGAGATCGAGACCATCCTGGCTAACATGGTGAAACCCCATCTCTAGTAAAAATACGAAAAAATTAGCTGGCTGTGATGGTGGGCGCCTGTAGTCCCAGCTACTCGGGAGGCTGAGGCGGAAGAACGGCGTGAACCCGGAAGGCAGAGATTGCAGTGAGCAGAGATTGCGCCACTGCACTCCAGCCTGGGTGACAGAGTGAGACTCCAACTCCAAAAAAAAAAAGGAAAGAAAGAAAACATGGAGTTGTTCCTTTGGCCACATACATGTGACTCTACAAAAAATTGTGATACTGTAGACATCAAGGGAATACGCACTGTTAAAAAATGGGAATGCCCCAAAAATGTTACCATGGCAAAACCAGAAAGTCTACAGTGTCCCCCAGTACGCTGTTAGCATTGTTGTAAACAAACAAGTTAAGGACCAGAGAATTAATGTGCATATTGAGCATATTAGGCACCAGAAATGCATGAAGGAAAATGATTAGAAAAAGAAGGAAGGCAAAGAATAAGATACCTGTGTTTAACGAAGCGCCAGCCTGCTCCACCCAGGGAAGCACACTTTGTGAGAGCCAGTGGAATGGGGTCTGGGCTGCTGGAACCTATTCCCTATGCTTCATGTCATAATAGGTATTAAATAAAAAAGGCTTCTGGACTGCAAAAGAAGATAAAAAAATAAAACATTTATTGACCACATTCTTTTTTCTTTCTTTCTTTTTTTTTTTTTGAGACCAAGTCTCGCTCTGTCGCCCAGGCTGGAGTGCAGTGGCACGATCTCGGCACACTGCAACCTCTGCCTCCCGGGTTCAAGCAATTCTCTGCCTCAGCCTTCCGAGTAGCTGGGACTACAGGCACCCACCACAACACCCGGCTATTTTTGTATTTTCAGTAGAGACGGGGTTTCACCATCTTGGCCAGGATGGTCTTGAACTCCTGATCTCGTGATCCACACACCTCGGCCTCCTAAAGTTCTGGGATTACAGGTGTGAGCCACCATGCCTGGCCTGACCACATTCTTTTTGCCAGCACTGGGTTAAGCATTTGGGGGGATACAAAAATGAATACTATCTAGTCCTTAACCTTGAATAGTACTAGCTTATACTTTTATAGCTTTTACTACATGAGGTTTTGTGTATGTGCTTTACATATATTAACTGATTTATTTCTCAGAGCAGCCCCATGAGAAACAGGGCTATGAGATGGACACCCTCCTAAATCCCCATTTTATAGATGGAGAGGCATTCAAAACCTTGTCCAAAGTGTCACAATCAGTAAGGAGTAGAGCCAGGATCTGGTTCCAGGCAGGCAGGCTGCAGAGTCCATACCACGCTCTACGTGGCCACTTGAGCTCAGGGGGAAGGTGGGAGGGGCATGAACATGCAACTGGACAATGTATTTGGAGGACAACCAGGTACCCAATGAGTCCTCGTAAGCTCAGAGGTGTTCCACTGAAAAAGCTGAGTAACTCTACTCTGGAAAATGTCACCTACACCAGCCCATTTATTCAAGAAATACTCACTGAGCATGCACAGTGTGCCGGGTTTGTGCCCAATGGGAGAGACACACCATGAGCACATCGGACAGGGATCCTGCCTTGCAATGGAGAAGGCATACCTGGGCTAGGAATCTCAAAGGAGCTGAGTGCCACTGGGAAGTGCAGAGGGATTTGGGACCATATTATTTGGGGGCTGACCTCCTCCTAGCATTGGGGTAAGCTTGCTGGAAGGAGGGACGTTCAGCAGAGAGCTAGCTGTGTTATGTGGCGAGGGGGCATTCTAAGCAGGGGAAAGAGAATGAGATCGTAATGATGGAGACTTCTTGGGCATTCAGGGGCTTAAAAGAAATCCAATGCAACTAGGATGTAGAAAGAAAAGGGGAGAGACGTGCCAGATGGAGCCAGACGGCATTCAGGGGCCAGATTTTTGTGGTCCCTCCATCCTGAAGCAATGAGGGAGTAGTTGTGGGGCACGTGAACCAGGGTAAGAAACTGCTATTACAAATCCACTCCGAAATATACAACCCTTCAGTCACAGTGCAAATATCTCGCACCTAACAGTCTGAGGCATGGATTCATTCCTGGTCGGTAAACTGCTGTATCAGTCATCTATTGTCCTAATGCCATGTAACAAACAACCATAAAGTTTCAGTGGCACACACAATCGTATTTATTGCTCAGGCATCCAGGGTCAGATAGGGCTTGGCTAGATACTCTGCTGATCTCCCTGCACCCACTCCCATGCCTTGGGTTGCTGGCTAAAGGCTGAGCTGAGCTGCACAACTGGAGTGACTTGGCTCCATCCTGTGTCTTTCCATCTCCAGCAGAACAGTCAGGAATGTTCCTGTGGAGATGGCAGAGATGCAACAAACAGGCAGAAACATGCAGGATTTTTTGTGACTTAGCCTTGGAAATGACACACCATTGCTTCTGCCTCATTTTATTGCAATGGAGAACATACGCCATTGCTTTGGCCAGTGTACTCCAGCTTTATGGGAAGGGCTCCAAGTCCACATGACAATAGACACAGATACAAGGAGAAGTGAGATGCAGAAGCATTTAATGCACTCTGTCTACCACGATCTCCAGCCCAAATATGTTGATTCAGGAACCCTGGCTCCTGCCACCTGAGGAGCCTTGTCATCACAGGAAACCACTCAATAAAAGGGGAAAATAAGAATGGAGGAGGCACGTGGCCTCTTAAGAGCCTTGAGCTACAAGTGGCACACATCACTTCCTCTCACATTCTGCTGATGAAAACCAGTCACATGACTAAGCCTACCTTCAAGTCCCCAGCCAGACAGCTGCTTTCCAGCCACAACTGTTTAGTTTGGAAGGGCAGATCAACTTTGATGGACAATCAGCCATCTCTGCTGCAGGGAGTGACCCACCTGGTGCTACCCTAAGTTCCTAAAGGAATGAGGATCAGAGTAAGATTTTTCTGCATCACAGCACTGCCGCAGGCAGAAGTGATGGCAAACCCTTCATCATAACCCGAATCACCTGCCAGATGTGTCAAAGAGGCACCAAAAAATAGCACATGTGCTCAGGCATTAGTCTACACTAAGTTGCTGCAAAGATGCTTGTCGTTGCAGAGTTAACGCAGCAGAGAGAGAGATAGAGACTAGACACATTACATTGTTCCTGGACTCCACCTCCCCTCCTGAGGCCACACCCAAGTACCCGGTGGGACATATGTGAGGGGATCCCCCTCCCCGGCCTCAGACTTCCCTCTCCCACCTCCTGTGGAGGCTGCCAGCAAGCTCTGGGCATGCCCAGCCCGTGGAGAGAAGGAATCCCAGCAACCTCTGCCCTGCCTCCCTCTCAGAACGATGCCCCCAGGAACGTGAGTCTCTGGAAAGCCACGGGTCGGCTTGTCAAGCCTCTCTCCAGAAAACAGAGACATGAAGTGAATGCCAATGATCCCCACACCCGTGAGGAGGGGGATGCAATTATAGAAAATTCTGCTTACAGTTCAGATTCAATATTTGGAAGGGATAATCCTGAAATAAGAGATTGCCTGATTTCTTTCCCAAGCCTGTGAATGGTTCATTAGCTCCTATTTGACATTTGATGGTTCCATCTGATTGGCTTTATTGTGGAGTTGGACTTTAAGAAAATCCCCAAGACAGAGCAATCAAGTTTCACAATGATCCCTAACTGCAAATTTGAAAACACAAATGGCAGCTGCGTCTTGGACATCAATCCCATGAATGCGGTGGGGGATTTGTATTTCATCCCCACTTAATGAAACTCAATCCTGCTTGGCAAATCGGGGCCCCTGACTCAGCAGTTAGGATCTCCTCTGCAGCTCAGCCCGGGTGCTGCAAACAAAGAACCCCCAGACTTGAACATCAGCAGAGATGCGGTGCATCCTGATCTTGGGCAGGGCCACTTAGGCACTGGGGCCCTGGAGGAAGGAGAGGTCTCTGAGGAATGTGCAATTGAGGCTGTACTCTCTAGAGGATGCAGTCTAACTGTGGAGGTGGGTCCCTTGCACCAAAAACAGAAGCAATAAAGACAGCAGATGTTCAATTCCATGGTGGGGGCCCAAGGCTGCAGGAATTCCCCAGAAGGGGAAAGTAGGAAAGGCTGTGGTCTGGGCGGGCTTCCTGGAAACATGATGTTTGCAGAGGGCAGAGGGAGGCAGCCCAGGCAGATGTCAGCAAAGGGCTGGAGGGTTCTGCTCAACAGCTCCCCCACTTCCTGGCTGGAGATGGTGCCCCTTCTGGATTCCCACCACCTCCTCGGCTCCCCCATTTGCTACGTGGGCATTGTCCTTATCTGTGCATCTGCCACGTGGCGCGGTCCTCATCTGTCCTCTTCAACCACAGACCCTTTGCAGGCAGGGATGAACGTATCCATTTCTGAGCCCTGGTGCCCTACAGGGACTTGGAACCCAATAAATATTTGATGGCTGAACGGAAAATGGCACCTAACTGTATTACATGCCCTCAGGTCATTGTTATTCCTGCGGGGGCGGGGGGTGGACTGGCCTCCTGGACCATCTTCTGTGCCACTTCTTTGAGATCAGGATTCCAGGAATCCAGGGCCTTCCATGGGGCAGTGTTCGTGGGAGATGAACACTCAATTGTTTTCTTTAACCCCTGGAAGGGACGTTCCAGGCTGGAGGGGACGAGGGGATACCTCTGGAGGATCTCAAACGTGAGGAGGGCTTTGTATCTGCTGACCACCCACACAGGCCCGGTGTGTGGTGCTAGAGACAGCCAAGGTGGCCTGCCCCTCAGAAGCAGGTTAGTAGCCCTCCCTGCGCTTTAGGGTTCTCTCTGTAAAAAGGGGGAAGTTCCATGCTTCCTGGGGCTGTGTGAGGAACCCGCATGTTCACACTTTTGCAGCCTTGAGACCACAGATTCCCAGCAAGCACTTCCTGGCACTACTGCGCCTTCGTTCCACCCTCCTCACTGACCCATTTCAAGGCAGAGGTGTCATTCACGTCTCACAGTGCAGGGCACAGACACTCAGAGAAGAGAACAACTTGTCCAAGACCCCTCATTCGTGTGGACCTCTGCTGTACCTGACTCCAAAGCCCCAGCGCCCGGCCGGCTGCTGGGCGAGACAGGGAGTTGAGGAAGGGCGATCCTGCTGGCGCGGACGGTGTGGGCTAGGCGCGCTCCGGGTCCTCCGTGAATTCCCAGTTTCCAGGCAGCTGCGCCCGGGCCCGCCTCCCCGAGTCGGCCCCCACCTCTGCACGCAGAGACCTCTCCTCACCTCCCGCCCGGCCAGATCACAGGGCCGCCGAGTCAGATGGGATCCCTGCCCCCATCAGCCCTTCTGCACTGCCCAGCACATATGGCCTCCCTCCCAGCCCACCCACACACCACACAGCCTCACATCCGCACGGTCACAGACACACTCACACACACAGCAAAAACCACTCGCACACGCTCCCATATGCCACTCACACACACACATCCACGCACACAGGCTGACACAGGCTCACACACACATGCCCATACTCTCACATGCAGATACACACACAGACACAGAAAGCACTCCCATATACACATACTCCCACACACCAGCACACGATCCTCACACACAAGGACACACAACACGCTCCCCTACACACACGAGAGCACTCACAAGTACACACGAATATACACAATCACTCTCACATGTGGACACGCGCGGACACGAAAAGCACACCTGGATACACATGTTCCCACGCACATTCTCACCAGGGCTTGGGGCATGTACACACATGCTCACACACAGATACAACCCCCACCCCCACCACACACACACACACCTTTCACACCTGCCGTGTGGCCATGGGCGAGAAAGCCGGGTCAGAGCCATGCACCTCTCCTCCTCACAGAACACTAGGGCGAAGCTGGTCTCTGGGGGCCCCGTGTCCTCCTTGTAGTTCTCCCTCTGCCCTTGGCTGCCCCCAAGACCCGACTTCAATGCAGGTCCCACTTGGGGCCTGAACTTCCTCCTCTCCTCCCCTCAGCCCCACTGTTCACCTCCGCATCTCCTCTCTGCAAACCCCAGGACTCGGGCATTAGCAGGAGCTTTTCGGTAACGACCCTGCACACCACCTCCCCTCCCCGCACCCCCAAGGCGCATCGCTGATGCTGACTGTCACGGTCATGCTGGTAGGACCCCCAGGCGCAGACACGGGGACAGGGAGGCTCTCCGTTACCCCTCAAAGCAAAGCGCAGAAATGACTGCTCACCCCATTAACTCTCAAGGTGGTGCCTCAGGGAAATGGATTAGGACTCATTCCCCGTCTGCAGTCTTCCCTGCCATCACCAGGGGGCAGCCCTGATTCACATTTGTGTTAAATACCTGTTACCCAACCCCAGGCCAGAAAGGTGTTACACCTTGGAAGCATTCCTGTAAACAAACCTGACGGGTGTGTGTGCGTGTGTGTGTGTGTGTGTGTGTGTGTCCGCGCACATGCTTATGTAACAAGGTCAGTACAATATGGGTAGACTGGGAAAGTAAGTCAAAGGGGAAGACACAGATTGAATGAGCTTTAGTACAGTCACTGATGTTGGAGCAAAGTTTGGTTCTGAGTTTCCTGGTGACCATAGCAAAAATAGAACCACTCGTTAGATCACCCACCTCTCCGGGGAAAAACCAAATTCATCTGGAGGGCTTCTGGGAATTCTATCACATCTTGGTTTATACAACTCTCCCTACAGAGTCTTCCAGATCAACTGTTCATGTGTTGATCCTTCCTTAAATTTTTCATCTCTCTGTTTTATGCTTTGATGTAAAGTGATAGTTAAGGGCATTGGGTCCACTTTCCATCCTCCTATCTTTTCTTGAACTCATTCCAATCGGGTTTTCATCCTCCCCACTGTTAGAATTGGTCTTATCAAGGTCAGCAGTGACTTCCATATAGCCAAATCCAAGGACAATTCTCTGTCTTCATTTTACTAGAGCTAACCACATTTGACCAAGTGAGCATGTTCTTGCTCCTGAAGCCCTTTCTTCATTGGGCTTCAAAGACGCAAGTCTCTTTTTGTTCTTCATCAACTGTTCCTTCCCCGCCATCCACTCTGCTGGTTCCTCCTTCTCTGCCTCATCTCCAGGTATTACAGTGCCCTAGAGCTCAGCCCTGGGACCTTTCCTCTCCGTCCTGTCACTCTCTCAATCCAGTTTCAGGTCTCTGAGCACCAGATACACTTGATGACCACGCTATCTATATCTGTGGCCCACTCCTTTACTCACATCTCAAACAGGCATCTCAAGCTTAATGTGTCCAGACCCAGCTCTTGATAGACTCACCTGACATGTTCCTTCCCATTTCTCATCTCAGTAAATGGCAGCACCAATTGACTTGGGGCCACCATAGAGTTGTCCTGGACTGCTCTCTTCATTCACTCTTTCCATCCAAGCACACAAAATCTGAGGCCTCTGGCTTCAGAGAATCTCTAGAATCCAACCCTTTCTCATCATCTCTATTCCCACCTCCCTATCCAAGTCACCAAACTGCCCTGTGGGCAGTGGTTTGTCTGTTTTGTTAAGTGCTGTATCCCATGCTAGTACATAATAGGCTGTAAGTTAATCATTTTTGATTAAACAATCGAATGCCCTAGGGGCTTCTATGCACACAAAACACAAAAAGCATTCTGTTTCTCAGTAAACAAGTGATTTCACAACTATGAAAACAATAATAACATACATTTTTTGAACACCTACCACATGCCAGCAAGATGCTAGATGAGGTGATTAAGGCTCAGAGAAATAGGAAATGGCCAAAGGCTAAATATCTAGTGCTTGGTGGAATAGGTACTTGAATCATATCCATTTATTCAATTCATCCAGTATTTGTTGAGCACCAATTATGTGCCAGGTATTGTTTTGGGAGAATAAAACTGGCAAATTCCTTACTCTAATAGAAAGATGCAAGAAATGAGATGTGTATATATGACAGGTGCTATGAGAAAGAAGAGAATTAGGAGTGATGGGGAAACTCTCTGAGGGAGGAAGATCAAGAAAGATCTCTGAGGCAGTGGCATTTGAGCAGAGACCTGCATGAAGAGAGGGGTGAAGAGCAAAGACCTAAAGGTAAATAATCTTCGTGTGTTTGGGGGACCTCAAGGAAGCTAGGGTGGCTGAAACTCAGAGAGTGAAGGGCAGAGTTTTTGGAGTTGAGGTCAAAGATAAAGATGGGATGCCAAATGGTCCTTGTAGGCAGAAGCCTTTGGGTTTTCCTCTGAGTGAAGTGGAAAGCCACTAGTAGGTGTGAGCGGGGGAGAGACATGATGATCTGACTCAGAATTTAATAGGATTCCTCTGGCTGCTACATGGAGAAAGGCCTGGAGAAGGTCCAGGGAGATCTGTATGGATGCTTGCGATGGTTAATTTTATGTGTCACCTTGGCCAGGTCATGATGCCCAGCTGTTTGATAAAACACCAGTCTAGATGTTGCTGTGAAAATAATTTTTATGTGATAAACATTTATAATCAGTAGACTTTGATTAAGCAGATGACCCTTCATAAATGGTAGGTGGGCTTCCTATCCAATCAGTTGAAAGCCTTAAGAGAAAAGACCTTGGGAGGCCAAGGCGCGTGGATCACCTGAGGTCAGGAGTTCGAGACCAGCTTGGCCAACATGGCAAAGCCCCATCTCTACTAAAAATACAAAAATTAGCTGGGCATGGTGGCGGGTGCCTGTAATCCCAGCTACTCAGGAGGATGAGGCAGGAGAATTGCTTGAACCCGGGAGGCGGAGGTTACAGTGAGCCGAGATCACACCACTGCACTCCAGCATGGGTGACAGAACGAGACTCCATCTCAAAAATAAAATAAAATAAAATAAAGGCTTTCTTCAGGAAGAAGCATTTTGCCTCAATGACTGCAACATAGGAACCCTAAGTTTCTCACCTGCTAGCCTGCCCTGCAGATTTCAGAGTCAAGACTGCAATATCAAATCTAATTTGAATTTCCAGCCTGCCAAACTTCCCTACAGATTTCAGACTTACCAGCTCAGCAGTCATGTGAGCCAGTTCTTTAAAATAAATTTAGTTAGATGACACATAGATAGATCTATCCAATAGGATAGACGTGCCAGGTATTGTTTCAGGAGAACAAAACAAATTCTTTACTGTAATAGAACTTACATTCTAGGAGACAGAAAGATGCAAAACTTTAGATGGATATGTATGACAGGTGCTACGAGAAAGCAAGTTAAAAGAGTTAGGAGTGGTGGGAGAAGCTCTCTGAAGTAAGATTTTTTTCAGTGTGATTAACATTTACAATCAGTAGACTTTCTAGTAAGAAATATATATCTCTATATAGGATGTATGTGTGTGTGTGTGTTCTGTATCTGTGTGTGGGTGTGTGTGTGTGTATGTTCTGCTTATCTGGAGAACCCTGCCTAATATAAGGCTATTGCAATAATCCATTCAACCTGTGATGATAGCTTGAACCTTGATCATAGCAGTGGAGATGATGAGAAACGGGTGGAATCCAGAAATATCTTGAAGGTAGAGCCAACTGGATTTGCTAGTGAATTTAATTTGGCAAATAAAAAAGAGACATCAAGGATGACTCCCAGATTTTTGACTTGACAACTGGGTGAATGGTAGTACTATCAACCGGTATGAGAGGAACTGAGGAGGCCGGTAGATAAATGAGTTTGGGATTGAGAAGAAAGGCCAGGCTATGGAGTAAACAGAGTGTTGATGGTATTAAAGCCCTTGTGATGGGATAAATCGCCAAGGGGGTGATTACAGACAGGAAGAAAGACGTCCAAAGACAGCCTTGGTGCCCCCTGGGCACTCTAACACCTAGAGGTCAGGAAGAGAAGGAAAAACCAAGGAAGGAAGCTGAGAATATGGAGCCAGAGAGATTGGCAGAAAATGTGGAGAGTCCCAGGAGTCAAATGGTGAAAGCACTTTACTCCAAGAAAGATGGAGTGGTCAGCTATGACAAATGCTGTGGGGAACTGAGCAGTTTGGGGCAGGGAGAGCCCTGGGCTCTGGGCACCATAGCAGTGGGCACTGAGCAGCGAGGCCAGGGTAGAGAGCGGAGCTGCCCAAATGCACATGGGCAAACTGTCACCCACCCCACATCTGTGATTGAGGCTTCCACACAGGGTGAACTCCAGGCTCTTGTGACAGTCACTTCCCACATCCCTAAAGAAGGAAGTGCCCTGATAATACCACGTCAATGCACATGGGCTGGCCAGGGGTAGCGTCAAGGATTTGCGTCTGTGGCCAAGTTGGTTGTGATGGATGGTGGGTCATTTAGAAAGAGATTAGGAGGAGGTGGGTTTGACAAATAAACTTGAGTCATGTTAGGCAGATAGGGAAGTCATACCTGGTTCCCAGGGAAGACTGACACATGACGGGCCCTGGCTGGAGGAGCCACAGGGCGAGGAAAGGACAGACACCATGGCCAAGGGGCCCCCAGACCCTACCGCTATGTCCCATTGATGTGGGGGTCAAGGGAGATGAGCTTCCTCTCGTGGAAAGACCATAGATTTAGGTATCAAGCAGCCTCATAACAACCTCAAACACTGGAGACGTCACATTATTTTTACAAATGAGAAACTGAGATCACAGAGGTCGTCGCTTGTCCAAGGTCCTACAGTTGATCAGACCCAAGTATGGACATTCCAGCCCAGCATTGAGTTCAGCCTGTGCATGTCAGAAAGCAGCACTGGTCCTGCTATAGATTGAGAGATGGGGCTTGTCATGGGAGTTACATAAGGAGAGGCAGGGAAACCCCCCTTCATGACGCATCCCCCATAAGCCAGGCACATGCTGGGGAAATGGTTGGTTTTAGGGAGAGTCACAGGCTCTCCTGGGACAGGTATCGTTCAGTTTTTCCTTACAACAACCACTATGAGGTCTTTTTAAAAATTATTATTACTATTTTCTCTACTTTACTGATGAAGAAGCGGAGGCTCAGAGAAGCTAAGTAATGTACCAAAGATCACACAGCTGGTAAGTGCTGTCATTCGGGTTTGAACCCAGCTCTCCTCATCTCTAAGTCCTCAGTTCCTTTTTCTATAACACCACAGGCTGAGCAAAGGCAAGAATTCCAGGTAGAAAATCTGCTTACCCCTCTTGCTCCCACAGTGACAACAAACATGGTGCTTCATTGGGCCTCAGGTTACTCATCTGTAAAATGGGAATAACCATTATGCCTATCCTTTAGGATTCAATGGGATTACGACTATAACATAGCTTTGTGCACAGTATTCAAGAAATGAGAGCTATTATTCCCAGATGGTTGTTTTCATTTTACAGATTAGAGGGCATGTAAGATTCCCTTCATTTCCATAGACTCTAAAGAGCAAAGGCTGAAGTCTGGATTCAAAGCAATACATAAGAAATTCCAAAGTTCACTTGAGCTTCTTCTTCATTTCAGTCTGAGATAAGAAAAAGGAAGATGGCATTTCAGGCAGGTGGAATGAGTAGGCAAAGACATGAGATGGGATTAGACCTGTGCAAATAGGGTTGGTATGGGGAAGCACGATGACATCAGATTTTAGCCACTTTTGGGAGTGGCATCTTAAATGCCAAGGTGAGCTATCAGGGCTTCAATCCAACGTTCAGGCTCAATGTCAGGGGAGCCTGCCACATGCCAGAGTCTGTGCCTGGCAGAGCTGAGCCCTGGCACACGCACTGTTTACAGCTGCCTGGTATGGCAGTGGTGATATCACCCTTAGAGACTTTGCCCTCTTCTCTCTGACCCAACCTTCAACCACTGGGGCAGTAGGTTATGCATTGCCTAGAAGGCAACTGTAAGATTCAGGGGCTGCTATGGATGCATTACCCAGGAGATAAGGGCAACCTCAGGTGGGCCGGGGCCCTCACAGCAACCTTACGAGAGGGGTTGTATCATGCCCATTTGATGGAAGAGAAAACTAAGATTCCATTAGAATTGATGTGACGTATCCTAAATCACACAGCTGCAGCAGGACTAGGATTTGAATGCGGGTCAATCTGCCTCCAACACTACTGCCTTTTCCTCCATGCTGGATTAGGCTATTGGCTTCTGAAAGCACAGACAGGTGAGATGGGTCAAACATGGCCTGAAGCACCCAGGCACAGGTGGGAGATGGCAAGCAGAGGCAGGTTCAAAACGTGGGGCCAGGACTGGTCTGAAAGATAGTCGTTAAATAGCACTGAGGAGAGGGAGTGAGAGAGATGTGGGTCTTGGGGGAGTGGGGTCTTGAGAACCCTGAAATCAGCAGTGTCTGCCCACTTTGCCCTGGACCAGCCTCTCTGTCTGTATCCTTCCCCCAGAGAAAGGACCATGGGCTGACCTGGGCCAAGGACACCTGGCTGGAGCCCCTTCTCTGACATTAACTAGCTCCGTGACCTGGGGAAAGCCACCCTCCCTCCTGAGCCTCACTTTTCCTGTCTGTAAAATGGCCTCCCCGTCATCACACCCACACAGGTGTCTTGAGGAGTGAATGATGGTGTGCTCCAAGGCCCCCATGGAGAGCCCGGCACATGGCAGGCACTCGGTGTTCAAGCACTGTGTTCCCATAGACTCTGGGCTCCTGCCCTCCTCGCCCCCAACCCCCTTCCTAGGAACCAGCCCCGGCTTGTCAGAGAGCCAGCTAGCTGTCAACCCCACCCCAGCTGGCCAGTTAATGAGTGACCAGGACTCCTGAGCCTGACCTATAAGGAGGTGCTAGGCAGGGACACAGATGGGAGACGGTGGACAGCGGCAGGGGGAACCCAGGGAGCGCGATGGGCTGCAGGGCTGCATCAGGGCTCCTGCCAGGAGTGGCCGTGGTCCTCCTGCTGCTGCTGCAGAGCACACAGTCAGTCTACATCCAGGTGAGTCCCTTGGCCAGCGTTCCCTTTGCCTGAAGGGCCCCATGGTGGGAGGCTAGGCTGGAGAGGGTGTACTGGGAATTCAGAGGGGCACCGGGGGAGCACGGGGCCCGGGGCTCAGCCCAACACCCATCACAGCCCAGAGACCAAGGCAGCTGGTGGGTGGGGGCAGCCAGATGTTGATGGCAGTGATGATGGCAATGACAACACCAAACTGATTCAGCGCTGCTCCCCTCAAAGGCCCGTGCTGGTCACAGAGGTCAGGGTGTGGAACAGAAGGCTCCTCCTTGCATGGGAGGAGGCCAGAAAGGGAAGGAGACACCCTGTTATGCTCCCACAGTTCCGTATATTCACCCACATGTAGGTGGAGGAGGACAGGCTCCAGAAAAATTTTCCTGAGAAGTAACCCTTGAGCTGGCATTGCAAGATGAACAGGAGGTTGCCAGACACAGATGATGGGGAAACTGTTCCAGGCCAAGGGGCACAGCATGTGCAAAGACCAGATAGAAGACTATGGGGGTTCCAGTGCCCTTCCAGGGGGCATGGGAGAGTGGCAGTAGTCGTCACAGCAGGGCCTGTCTGCCACGTCACAGGGGATGCTGCTGGCCTCGCCCAGCATAGCAGAGACGTCTGTGGCCCTGGGTGTCACATCCCTGACTCTGGGCATGGTCTCCTTGGGAAGAACAAAGTGGGTCCCAGAGAGGGGTGCAGGAGACTTGGCCTCCCCAACAGCCCTGGCCTCAGAGACCAGCTACTTGGGGCTGCCATCACTCTGCCATGTGAGCTCAGGCAGGCGTACTCAGTTAGTGATTGTGCCCTGGTACCAGGCCCCCACGGGAGATGTCAGATGAGGGAACTGAGGCTGAGTGGGGAACAGACAGGCAGCCGGTCATGGGCAGAGGTGGGATTTGAACCAGGGCTTGTCTGTCTCTAAAGCCTCGAACCACTGTGCTCCACAGCCCCGCTGCTTCTTCCTCACACCTCTCACCGCAGCGGCTCTTTCCAGTGTGGCCCTGGACTTCCCATAGAGACGGGGAAGGCTCTGGAGGATCTGCAGGGTTTGAGCAACCCTGGGTGTCATGGCAGTGCCTGCCCCTGGACCAGGTCTTGACCTGCTCCTATCTCCTCTCCCCTGTCTGTAGTACCAAGGCTTCCGGGTCCAGCTGGAATCCATGAAGAAGCTGAGTGACCTGGAGGCACAGTGGGCACCCAGCCCCCGCCTGCAGGCCCAGAGCCTCCTGCCCGCCGTGTGCCACCACCCTGCTCTGCCTCAGGACCTTCAGCCTGTCTGCGCCTCGCAGGAGGCTTCCAGCATCTTCAAGACCCTGAGTAAGTGCCCCCGCTCCCTGCAGAACCTCGCTCTGTCTCCTCCCACGCCCAGGCTCCTCCACCTGGGTTGTTTCTCTTAAGCACCCAGCGGCTGAGGATGGGGAGATTCAAGTAACTCAGGCCCTGTCCCACTGGCTCCCAGGACTCCCCGGTTTGGGCACTGTGAGTCAGGCATGCCTGGAACCTGCTTCGTCCCCTTAGTCCACGCCAGGCACAGACCCATCAACAGACAATGGCTGCGTGGAGCAGAGAGGAGAGCTGGCTGACATCTGCGATGGGACAGGGGTGTGAAAGGCTTCCAAGAGGAGGTGTCAGCCAAGCTGAAACCTGAGGGATCGTGCAGAGCCAGGCACGAGAATGTAGCAACTAGCTAGCACTTACTGAGCACCTACTGTGTGCCGGGACTTGTCGGTCCTGCATTATCTCCTCACAGTGACCCTGTCCATTTAGCAAACAAGAAATCTCAGGCACAGGGAGTGTGAGTGACTTGCCCAGTGGCCGCTAGGAAGGAGAGCATCTGGGACTTGAACCCAAGCCCTCACTCCACCTCTAGACGTTCCTGCTCCCAGTCTGTGGAAGATGCCGCCCATTCCCAAGCAGACCTCTTCTGCTGCCTGGCCACAGAGGGCCCAGGTTCAGGTCAACTGACCAGTTCTCTCCCTGCCCAGGGACCATCGCTAACGACGACTGTGAGCTGTGTGTGAACGTTGCGTGTACCGGCTGCCTCTGAGATAGCCCTGGGTACCCTGAGCCCACCAGGGACACCTCGCCCTTCAGCCCACCACCCTGGCAGGCTTCCATCCCCGTCCATGCTCAAGATGGGTCCCTGGCCACCATGGTCATCACCACCCTTCCAGGGCCTGAGCAGCTGGATCTGGTACAAAGCAATCGGACATAGAGTTGGAGGGGGAGGCCCCTGAGGCAGCCCAGCTCCTGAATAAAGATTCTACAACACACGAGTCCACGTGTCCTTTGTTCATCCCCAGGAGCCATGGGAGGAGCTTCTGGAGAAGAAGTGTGGATTGAGGAGAAAGACGGGACTAAAAATACCAGGCAGGAATTTTCCTGAAGTTTTCAAGGCCCGGGGAGTTGATTGAACCCCATCCCGAATATGAGGGAGCTGAGGCTCGGAGCAGGAATGAGGCATCCAGGATCACAGAGCTCAGAAGCCCCAGAGCCAGCCAGACCTGGCGACCCCCAGGCTGAACTCAAGGCCTCCCCAGCTTCGGAGCAAGAGCAACTGTGCTCCTGACGCAGGAGTGGGGTTGGGGCAGGGAGGAGGTGAGACAGAAGGAGAGAGTGGAGGGAAGATTCAAGCAGCATGTCCTCCCAAGCTGTAATCAGGGCCGACTCTGCCTGGGGTCTGCGTGAGAAGATCGGCCCTTGGCCTTCATCCTCATTCCCAAGCTCCCACTTTTCCCAGCCCCACAGGGACCATCTGGCCAGCTCCAGCTGGGAGGCCTTCCCACCCTCTCTCCATCCTGGCAGCCTGAGGAATATTAATAATAATTAATAGCCAACAAACGCCAGGCACAGTGGCTCACACCTGTAATTCCAGTACTTTAGGAGGCCATGATGGGAGGATTGCTTGAGGCCATGAGTTTGAGACAAACCCGGGCAACGTAGGGAGATCCCATCTCTATGAAAAAATTGAAAGTTAGCCAGAAGTATTGGCACTTGCCTGTAGTTCCAGCTACACAGGAGGCTGAGACAGGAGGATCACTTGAACCTGGGAGGTTGAGGCCATAGTGAGCTGTGATCACACCACTGAACTCCAGCCTTGGCAACAGAGCAAGACCTTGTATTTAAAAATAATAATAATTATAGGCTGGGTGTGGTGACTCACACCTGTAACCCCAGCACTTTGGGAGGTCAAGGTGGGAGGATCACTGAGGTCGGGAGTTTAAGACCAGCCTGGCCAACATGGCGAAACCCCGTCTTTACTAAATACAAAAATTAGCCAGACGTGTAATCGCAGCTACTCAGGAGGCTGAGGCAAGAGAATCACTTGAGCCCAGGAGGCGGATGTTGCAGTGAGCCGAGATTGCAGCACTGCACTCCATCCTGGGTGACAAGAACAAGACCCTGTCTCAGAAAAAAAATGAAAAAAAAATAAAAATAATTATTATTATTATAATTATAACAGCCAATGTTTATTGAGCATTCACTCTATCCCAGGCACTATCCTACTCACTTGGCACTCATGGTAACTCATGGAGTCCTCACAACAGACCGATGAAGCAGATACTGTTATTATCACCCCACCCAGTCTAAGAAGAGTCAGGTACAGAGAGAAAAACTAAGCCCAGATCATAGACCAAGCAAAATGACAAGACAGGGCACTTCCCAGGACATGTGGGCCAGGGTCCATGCTCTGACCACCATATTACTCCCTTGCTCCAGCGGATGATGCCTCATGGGGACCCAGTGCAGCCTCCACATCCTTGCAGCCAACCTCAGTGCCTTTATTCAGGCTGGGAGCCATGCTGGGAACTTCTGGGAGCAGGGCCTTTCCAGAGTGGGGTCCCCCAAAGCCTTGGTCCTGGACAGCCGCGGAGGAGCAAAGTTGGAGGCCAAGAGGCTGTGCCATCTGAACTCAGCTCCCGAAGACCCGGGTGCATGCCCAAGACAGCAGCTTAGTTCTGCTCATGAGTCCTGCAATCTCCCAGACTACAGGTTCCTCCTTGCCGTCACCCCACAGGCAAGGCTGGTGAAGGGCCTTTGCAATGCCTCCTGCAGTTCTCTGGGCCCCTACTTCTCACCCCTCCATCCTCACTCACTGGGGCCTTTATCACTACCTTTGGGCCAGGCCAGACCTTCCTTCCTGGCCCTGCGTCCTGTGGGCCCTCCATGCCCACCATGCCAGAGGAGCACCGCAGCACAACTCTGATGGTGCCCCTACTCCTCCATGGCTCCACACTGCCACCTACCAAGTCTAACCAGAGCTCGTGCACTAGCTAGATCTAGACTTATCTCCCACTGCTTCCTGCAGCTACGCTGGCTTCCCACCTGCCTGCTGGAGACAGCAAAGAGAAGTGCTGCTGTCTGAGTCCTGCCATGTGCCAGCCACACGGCTGTGCTGCTGCCCAGAAGCAGTGATGATACCAGCATCAACGAGCTGCTCTCTGTGGGCCTGGCGGAGCTTCTTCTTTTCCTTCTTCTTTGTTTACCATCTCCCCACTTCCTCCCAAACCCCAACCCCTGGTAACCACTATTCTACTCTACTTCTATGAGTTCAACTTTTTTAGATTCCACATTTCAGTGAGATCAAGTAGGATTTGTCTTTCTGTGCCTGGGTTATTTCACTTAGTGTAATGTCCCCCAGTTTCATCCACTTCGTCACCCACAACAGGATTTTTTCTTTTTTAAGGCTGAATAGTATTTCATTGTGTATATATATCACATTTCCTTGATCCATGCATTTGTTGATGGATGCCTTGGTTGATTCTATATCTTGACTATTGTGAATCATGCTGAAATAGATATGAGACTGTAGATATTTCTTTGATATACTGATTTCGCATTTTTGGCTATATGCCCAGAAGTGGGATTGCTGGATTGTATGGCATTTCTAGTTTTAATTTTTTGAGGAAACTTCATACTGTTTTCCATAATGGCTATGCTAAATTATCTTTCCACCAACAGTGTGTGAGGGTTCCATTTTCTCCACACCCTTGCCAACACTTGTTATCTTTTCTTTTTGCTAGTGTGTGTGTGTGTGTGTGTGTGTGTGTGTGTGTGTGTGTGTGTGTATTTATTTATTTATTTATTTGAGATGGGATTTTGCTATGTTGCCCAGGTCGGTCTCAAACTCCCTTGCTCAAGTGATCCTCCCGTCTCAGCCTCTCAAGTAGCTAGGATTACATACAGGTGGGTGCCCCCATACCCAGCAAGCATCTTTTTTTTTCTTTTTTGACAAAAGTCCTTCTTACAGATGTGAGGTGATATCTCATCATGATTTTAATTTGCATTTCCCTGTTGATTAGTGATGTTGAGCACCTTCTCATATACCTCCTTGCCTTTTGTATGTCTTCTTTTGAAAAATGTCACCGGGCGCAGTGGCCCACCACTGTAATCCCAGCACTTTGGGAGGCCGAGGCAGGTAGATCACCTTAGGTCAGGAGCTCTAGACCAGCCTGACCAACATGGTGAAACCCCATCTCTACTAAAAATACAAAAATTAGCTGGGCATGGTGGCACATGCCTGTAATCCCAGCTACTCGGGAGGCTGAGGCAGGAGAATCGCTTGAACTCAGGAGGCGGAAGTTGCAGTGAGCCAAGATCACGTCACTGCACTCCAGCCTGGGTGGCAGAGCAAGACTCCGTCTCAAAAAAAAAAAAAAAGAGAAATGTCTATTCAGTTGCTTTGCCTGTTTTTAAATTGGGTTGTTTTCTTGCTATTGAGTTGTTTGAATTCTGTATGGATTTCGGATATTAATCCACTAGCATATGTTTCATTTGAAATATTTTGTCTCATTCTATAGATTCTTTTCATTCCTTACCTGTGCAGAAGCAGTTTAATTTGCTGCACTCCTTTTTGTCTATTTTTGGTTTTGTTGCCTGTGGTTTTGGGATCATAGGCGAGAAATCTTTGCCAAGACCAATGTCAAGAAGTTTTCCTCTATGTTTCCTCTGGTACATTTTTTGTTGTTGTTGTTACTTTGTTTTGTTTTGGGTTTTGGTGTTTGTTTGTTTGTTTTTGGCAGGGTCTCACTGTGTTGTGTAGGCTGGCCTCAAATTCCTGGGCTCCAGTGATCCTCTTGCCTCAAGCTTCCGAGTAGCTGGGACTACAGGCATTCACCACTGCTCCTGCCTTCTTCCAGTAGCTTTACAGTTTCAGGTCTTAAGACTTTAATCCATTTTGAGTTAATTTTTGTACATGAGGTTAGATAAGTGTCTAATTTCATTTTTCTGCATGTCCCAATACCATTTATTGAAGAGACTGTCCTTTCCCCATTGTGTGATCTTGGCACTTTTGTCAAAGATCAGATTGTAAATGTGTAGATTTATTTCTGGGCTCTCTCTATTCTGTTCCATTAGTCTCGTTGTCTGCTTTGTGCCAGTACTATGCTGTTCTACAGCTCTGTAGTAGATTTTGAGATCAAGTAGTGTGATGCTTCCAGCTTTTTCTTTTTTGCTCAACATTGCTTTGGCTATTTGGGGAATTTAGGATTGTTTTTCCTATTTCTGTGAAAAAATGTAATTGGAATTTTGATAGGGATTGCATTAAATCTGTGGATCATTCTGGATAGTATAAACACTTTAAAAATATTAATTCTTCCAATCCATGAATATGGAATACCTTTCCATTTATTTGTATCTTGTTTAATTTCTTTCATCAATGTTTTATGTTTTTCTAGTGTTTGATTCTTTTCCATCATTGGTTAAATTTATTCCTAAGATGTGTGTTGTTGTTGTTGCTGTTTAAATGGGCTTGTTTTCTTGATTTCTTTTTCAGATCATTCATTGTTAATTATAGAAATGCTACTGATTTTTGTATGTTGATTTTGTAATCTGCAACTTTACTAAATTTGCTTATTAGTTCTAATAGCTTTTTAGTAGAGTCTCTAGAGTTTTCTATACATAAGATGATGTCATTTGCAAATACAGACAATTTAACTTCTTCCTTTCCAAGTTGGATGCTTTTTTATTTTTTTTCTTGCCTAATTGCTCTGGTTAGGGCTTCCAGTACAGCACTATGTTGAATAAAAGTGGCAAGAATGGGCACCCTTGTCTGGTTCCTGATGTTAAAGGGATAGCTTCCAATGCTTTTGAGTATTCTCCCTTTTTCTTAGTCTAGCTAAAGATTTTGCAATTTTATTTATCTTTTCAAAAACCCAACTCTTACTTTTGTTCATCTTTTCTATTGTTTTTCTGGTTTCTATTTCAGTTATTTCTGCTCTGATCTTTTCTTCGTTAACTTTGGGCTTAGTTTGTTCTTTTTAGTTCCTTGAGGTAAAACAATAGGTTGTTTATATGAAATCTTTCTTCTTTTTTGATGTAGGCATTTATTGCTATAAATTTCCCTCTTTGAACTGCTTTTGCTGCACCCCATAAGCTTTTGTATGCTGTATTTTCGTTTTCACTTGTCTCAAGATACTTTTCAATTTCCCTTTTGATTTCTTATTTGACCCAGTGGTTGTTCAAAACCAGGGGAGTTTTAAAAATTTTTCCAGCATTTTTTCATTTACTCTTCACTCAACCCTATGATATATGGATTCTTATCTTCCCCATTTTACAGATGAGAAAACTGAGGAGAGAACAGGCTAGGTAGCCTGCCTAAAGGCACATAGCTGTAAAAGACAGAGCCAGGATTTATACCCAAAGAGTCTGGCTCCAGAGTTAGGGCATTAAATGATTCTACTCTACCATACATCTCACTTAATCCCCCGCCAACCTTGGGAGGTAGGGTCTGTTATCATCCTCACTTTCAGATGAGAAACCAAGCCTCAGAGAGGGACACTCAGCTTGTAAATGACACAGTAAGGCTCAAACTCAGTCCTGTCTGCCTTCCCAAGCTCCACTCTGTCCTGACTGAACCATTCCTATGTCTTTGTGTCTGTCTGCACCATTCCCACCTTCTGCAACACTCTCTTTCTCCCTACTTCCACACTGGTTTTGAAATTCCCTGCATCCCAGTGCAAATCTCGAGGGGTGATGCAAATGCACTTGCCCTTCCCCTTTCACAAAGCCTTACTGATCTCAACTAGAAGAGACCTTATGTTTTGAATTCTGAAGCCCATGGAATCCCCCTTGAGACACTTCCCCTCCACCCCACTCCTCAAGATGGACCCTTGGGAGTTCTGCCTCCTCTTTTTTTTGTTCCCTCTACCTTTGCTAATAGGCCTCACTTCCACACCCTGCCTCCTCACCCTGTCTGAACCACTTTCAGCCTGATCCTGGTCCCCTTTTCTCTAGTTTGTTTTACCACTTATTGAATTCCTCTTACGTTTGTGTCAGGCCTGAACTGAGGGCTTTATATGCATTATTTCACCCAGCCTGGGAGGCAGGAAATATTAGTGTCCCAGTTTTATAGAGGAAGAGGTGGAGGCACAGAGAGGGAAGGTGACTTTCCAAAGATCACACAGTACTTGGAAAAGCTGTGGCTGGGCCCCTGCCCTGTTTTATATCCTCATGCAATTATCCATGTGGGTCTGGAGGTCAGAGAGACTTCCCCAGGCACAGAAGCCATTACACAACAGGGTGGCCACAGCTGTGCAAGGGTTGTGGGTGATCACAGTGCCCAGAAAGCACCAAGGTCAAGGTCACAATGGGAGCACTGAGACTCTTCCTGGGGGGTTGAGCAAGTTGTCTTGAGGAGAGGCCGTGGAATGAAAGCCTTGGACCCTGAGTAGGAGTTTGCCTGGACAGTAGTGTGGGAAGACGGGCAGTGGAGAGGTGAGCAGCAGCAGAGGAAATGGCAAGAGGTGTGGTTTGGGATGTGGTCAGGGCTGGAGGCCACACTAGCATGGCTGGTGGGAGCCAAGTCCTTGAATACCCAAGAGTTTGGTGCCAGTCTTCTAGTGGGCCAAGTGCCTGTATTGGTTGTCCAAACCAGCTCAGACTGGCTCCCGTGCTCACATGTGGCTCAGTGAACTTGGTGACCTCAGGAGATGTGAAATAAAAGCAAACCCTCCCCACCACCCGCTGCCTTGGTGGTTTGGAGATCCAGATCCTCTCCACGCCTCTGTGTTGTGGCAGCCCCAGGGACAGTGAGCAGCTTAGCAGGGAGAGTGGGGTCCTTCGCTTAGTACATTACATCCCGAGCTTCCAGGGCAGGATAGACTAGGGGATGAAGGAAGGAAGGAAGGCAACACCCAGAGTACTCTGGAATCTGGTTTATTAGCTGGGGGTTGAAGTGGCAGGGAAGGACAGTGTTGGGGCGAGGCCTCCAGTCACCCAGTTCCTCCCCGGGCTGCTCCTCCCGACTGGACCAGGGTAGGTTGAGCTGCTGGGAGTGGAGTATCATGGGTGGCCCTTTCTGCAGGAGAAAAGAGCTTCCCTGCTGCGGAGGGGAGGCAGGCAGTGGGCAAGCCCCCCTAGCATCCGGTACAGGCAGCGTAGGCACAGATTTCACATGTGCCCGGGTCCTCAGCGATTTCCTCTGCACAACAGAGATGGAGCCTCGTGAGAACCAGCATTTCCTCGCGAGGCCCCTGCCGCCCTTGGCCCAGAGCTTGTACGTCACCACCCAGCCCCAGGAGAATCTCAGCAGGCCCGTACTCTGACCTACTGGGCTTTTCGCCCCAAACCAGGGCACACAGACCACTCAAACCAACCAATCAAAGCAGAGATTCCACCAGAAAGAGAGGAAACTAAGACCAGATGAATGGTCTTAGTTCCCAAACCTCAGCAGTTACAACTTGGAATTGAAGTGGGCATGGAACAGACCCACCAATCAGAGCCAAGCTCCCTAGTTCCACCAGTCAGAGCTGAGCCCTTCCTCCAAATCCCACCAATCAGAGCACATCTCTTCCTCAAGTGCCACCACAGTATTCCCGAACCCCACCAATCAGAGAGGAAGGAGGCTGCTCACCCAGCCTCTGAAGTATCTCCTGGGCATTGGGCTCCTTGCAGAGAGGCTTGAGTTCTTCTGGAAAGTTCGGGTTGCTACAGAGGATGGGAACCACAGGTTCACCAGGGATGGGTGCAAAGTTCCTGAGTTTCCCAACCCTGGGCTCCTGGGGCTCCTGGAGGTCTTTGAGCTTCTTCACTGACTCCAGAGAAAAGGAGAAATTTCCATCCTGGAAGAGAGAAGCCCAGAGCATGAGGCCAGGCTGCAGCCTGCTTCCTGGCTGTGCCCCCCGTGCTGGCCCCGGTCCAGCCCAGTGGTGCTCACAGGCAGTGTTCGTGGCATATGGGAGCCAGGCGATCCACAGTGGGGCACTGTGAGGGGCAGAGTTCAGGCCCCACGTCCTGGCTTGGCTCCGTGATGCTGGACACTCTGGAACCCGCAAATTCTGCATGTTGTATGGGGAATGGAGAAAATGGGTGTGAAGCTCCAGGAACACCATAGGTGCCTAATGAGTAGGAGCCAGTGTGCTGATTTTTAGGGAGAGGCAAAGGACCAGCACCCAGGCATCGTAGTTCCACGTGGCCAAGCCCAGGCTGTCTTTCCCCTGCCTGAGAGCGGTGCGGCTGATTACTGGGCCCCCAGCTCCAGCCTGCAGCCTGGTTTTGGTTTGAGAAGCAATAAAAGGCCTCCCGGAATCTGGCTTTGATAGAGATCAGGGCCCCCGCTAGGTGCCAGCTTGGCCTGTCGCCAGCATTGGCACTGGTAGGCATACCCATCTGTCAGGACCTCCAGGGTGTCCATGTGGTTCCTGGGACCCACTGAGGAGTAAGGTCTGGATTTAAATCCAGCTCCTGCACTTCCCACAGCCATGTGCCCATGGCCTGTTACAGAACCTTTGTGAGGCTCAGTTTTCCCCTCTGTAAAATGGGACTAATGATCCCTTTCTTCCAGGTTGATAGTGGAGCCACAGTGAGGGGCTGGGGAAGGAGCCGGCACATAGGACACTCAGTAAATTGGCCAACTCCCCGCCTTCCCCATATGGTTATTCCTCTTCCCTCCACTGGGTTTCTTTCTCCTCCAAAGTTGAAGGGAAAGGTGTGTGTGTGGCTGGACTGAGCAGGAGCTCCTCGAAGAAGGCCAAGCCTGGGACACACACCCTCAATCCAGCCCCAAAGAGGAGGTACTCTCTCAGGGGACCAGACCTGGGCACTAGGGGCAGGGAGCCAGCTGGGCCGGGGTAGGGACACAGGACTCACCTGCACGGTGACCCCTCCTGCCAAGGCGGCCCAGGCCCCAAGGAGGCACAGTGCGGAGAGCAGGAAGGCATTCATGGCAGCAGTGCCCGAGAGAGGGGTGGCTGTTCTGGATGCCAGGGGGAAGCGGCGGGACTTTTAAAGAGGGCAGGTTACTGAGTAACCTGGAAGCCTCTGTCAGTCTCATCTGCTCACCTGTCAGGCCTTATCAGATAAGGCTCGAGACAGCCCTAGGAGATAAGAGCCAGGCAGGGGGGGCCCCGGCCCCTCCCTGAGCACCTACTTTGACCCACAGCCGGGCTGGGTCCTGCATTCATTCACCAACAAGGCACATTCACTCACGACTGCCCTGTGCTGCTGTGTGGGGCCGGCAGACCCTGCCCTTGAGGAGGGGGGCCCAGCCCGACAGTGAAACGCAGGGCGATTAGGGTGGGGTGATCCTAGGATGAGGTGACGGGGCTGCACTGGGGGCTGAGCTCTGGAGAATGGGTGGAAGTTTTCCCAGAGAAGGGACTGAGGACAGAAGGCCATTTCATGCCAAAGGGACAGCCAGGAGGTGAGACGGGCCTGGAATATTCAGGGAAATGTGAGAAATTCCACGGGGGAGGCTGCAGGGCAAGTCAGGGTCTGGGTTTGATTGCCGCGACCTCAAGGAAGCCCTCCGCACAGCCTGGGTTCCGTTCCACCTACTGCCCAGTTGTGAGGCGTGTGAACTTGGGCCAATGCTTTCCCCTCTCTGAGTCTCGTTGTCCCTTGTGTCCCCTGTGGGAACCAAAAATAATACCTACCTCATGGGGTAGGTGTGTGGTAGGCATTACTGTTTGGAGAATCAAGTGAGGTTTTAAAAACATTTAGCTCAATGCCTGGCACACAGAAGGTGCTCAGCAGAGGTCCATTCCCATATTATTAGCAGCCACAGCAGCTCCTGGTCCTCCCTGGCCCCTCTGGTGACCTCCTGCCTGTCTGAGTCACAGGCTGTCCCCATCCTGTGCTGGTCCCCATCCTGTCCTGCCTGCCCTGCAGCCTCAGGGTGTCCTCGAATGAGCTCCTCCCCAATCCGCCCGCCCCCCTTGCCCCTGCAGATACAGTCCCCTTTCCGCGGATCTCACTGGGGAATTGCTTGGGTGTGCCCGCGCCCCTATAGACTCTGACCCCATTCAGACTGCGCCCTCAGGGCAGCGTGCATTCACTGTGTGCTGTTGTGAGCAGGAATCCCCAGGACACAGGAGAAAGGGTAGCCCTGGGATTGTCATCTTTCTACTCAGCCAACCTGGCCCGATGCCAGGACAGCCCTAGGGCGGGAGGTTGGGCAGGAATTCCTGGGTGGGGAGAGTCAACACTGAAGAGGGAATTGGAGAGAGCAGGGCCTGACCAGGAGGGAACTGCAGGGACAAGGCCCTCAGGGAGGGGCAGGTAGCTCCTGGCCCAGCTCCCAGGGCAGTCCTCACAGCTGCACTGGATTTCCCACCCCTTTCTGGTGAGTGTGTGTGTGTGTGTGTGTGTGTGTGTGTTAAGGGGGGGTGTGTCTGCGGAGATGTGTATGTCTGTGTATGCCAAGGTGTCTGTATATACCCTGATGGGTGTGTGTAGCCAAGGTGTGTTTGTATGTGTGCTTGTGCTGAAGGTGTGTGTGTGCTGAGGCATGTGTGTACACTGAGGAGTGTATGTGTATATATGCTGAGGTGTATGTGTGTGTATGCTGAGGGGTATATGTGTGTCCGTGTACACCAAGGTATCTGTGTCTGTGCAAGGAGGTGTGCATATATACATCGAGGTGTGTGTGTGTCAGTGTGTATATACACAGGCGCGTGTGTGTACACCGAGGTGTGTGTGTTTGCTGGGATGTGTGTCTGCTGGGGTGTCTGCTGGGGTGTGTGTATGTGCACTGAGGTATGTGTGTGTGTATGCTCATGTGTGTATATGCACTGAGATATGTGTGTGTATGTGCACTGAGGTGTGTGTGTGTATGCTGAGCTGAGTGCATCTGCTGTGTTGTGCGTGTGTGTGCCGAGGTGTGTGTATACACTGAGGTGCATGTATGCGCTGAGGTGTGTGTGTGCTGACGTGTGTGAGTGCTGACGTGTGTGTATACACTGAGGTGCGTATGTGTGCTGAGGTGCGTATGTGTGCTGAGGTGTGTGTGTGCTGACGTGTGTGTATACACTGAGGTGTGTGTGTGTGCTGAGGTGTGTGTGTGTGCTGAGCTGTGTGTGTGCTGATGTGTGTGTATACACTGAGGTGTGTGTGAGTGCTGATGTGTGTGTATACACTGAGGAGCGTGTGTGTGCTGAGGTATGTGTGCGCTGATGTGTGTGTATACACTGAGGTGCGTGTGTGTGCTGAGGTGTGTGTGTGCTGACATGTGTGTATACACTGAGGTGCGTGTATGTGCTGAGGTGTGTGAGTGCTGACGTGTGTGTATACACTGAGGTGTGTGTGCGCTGACGTGTGTGTATACACTGAGGTGTGTGTGCTGACGTGTGTATACACTGTGTGTGTGCTGAGGTGTGTGTGTGTGCTGAGCTGTGTGTGTGCTGATGTGTGTGTATACACTGAGGTGTGTGTGAGTGCTGACATGTGTGTATACACTGAGGAGCGTGTGTGTGCTGAGGTATGTGTGCGCTGATGTGTGTGTATACACTGAGGTGCGTGTGTGTGCTGAGGTGTGTGTGTGCTGACATGTGTGTATACACTGAGGTGCGTGTATGTGCTGAGGTGTGTGAGTGCTGACGTGTGTGTATACACTGAGGTGTGTGTGCGCTGACGTGTGTGTATACACTGAGGTGTGTGTGCTGACGTGTGTATACACTGTGTGTGTGCTGAGGTGTGTGTGTGCTGACGTGTGTGTATACACTGAGGTGCGTGTGTGCTGAAGTGTGTGTATACACTGAGGTGTGCGTGAGTGCTGACGTGTGTGTATACACTGAGGTGTGTGTGAGTGCTGACGTGTGTGTGTGCACTGACGTGTGTGTGTGCTGACGTGTGTGTATACACTGAGGTGTGTGTGCGTGCCTGGACATGTGTGTGTGCCCACCAAGGTCAGCCACACACTGGTCCCCTCGCTGAGGGCAGGTGGGAGTGGGCGTGGGAGTGAGTGGGGTTAGGGGAAGGAATGGGGCTGAGGGTCGGGGCGTGGGACTTGGATGCTGAGCAACAGGATGTCGGGGGATGGAGCTGGGGGAAAGGTGAGGGGCAGGAGTTTCGGAGGCTGGGGTGGGGATGAACACCGGGAGAAGTTCGGGAGTGCGGCTGAGCTCCATGCTAGACTGGAGCCGGGGCTTGCGGAGACCGGAGCGGGGTTGGGATTGGGGTCAATTCGGGCGACACTAAAGTTGGTTTGGATTAGGGTCAGGTTGAGATGGAGCTGAGGTTGGGCAGGGGTAAATTAGAGTTAGGTGTGGAGCCGAGGGCGCAGTCCAGATTGAACTGATGTGGTGCTTGTAACTGACGTGGAGGCTGGTTTGGGCTAGGTTAGGGCTCATTGGCAGGACTGGGATTGGAGTTGAGTTTGCAGCAGAGATTGGAGGTGTGACTGGGTTAGGTTTATGATGGGGGTGGGTCTGGCTTAAGTGTGACGCTACAGCTGGGTTGGGATTTGACTTTCAGTTAAGGATGGGGCTTAGGTGGGGCCACCAGGCTGAGGACCTGTTTTTTCTGACTCATTTTGGTCTTTCCCCTCCCAAGCTGTGGCAGGAATGGGGGTAAAGGGCAGGGGCTTTCATCCCTGAGCCTCTTTCTCCCACAGCCCCCCTGGCCAAGGCTTGCCTGCTATAAGGCAGGGATGGAATGGAGTGGGTTCAGGAGTGACATCACTCCACACTGTGGGAAAGAGGAAGTGACTCCTAGGCCATGGCCCTTAGGGTCCTCCCCTACCCAACTCCACCTCTGACCTCTACCCTGGGAAATGGGAACCAACTCCCCTTCCCTTGTTCCCCAAGCCCCTCTGCCTAGTCTGGCCCCAGCCGTGAGTTCAGGCCCCCTCCCCTCTGAACCTCCAGGGTGCTCAGGACCTCTGCAGCCTGCTCTGAAGCTGCTGGAAGTTGGATCTTGGGCTCTTCCCAGAACTCCAAGCTTCCTGCCTCCCACCCCAGCCTACACCCTGAGTCCTCAGGCCCTGGTCCCCAGCACCCCCACATCCCTCATTCTTCCATATGGGCAGAAGGAGGGTCTGAGGCTGTTTGGGTTTCCCACACTCCAAGACTGCCTTTTCTGGCAAACTCTTGCTCCTAATAGCCTTCCAGGCCATGCCACCTGTCCTGCCTGCCTCCCCCTCTGAAAACCCATCAGTGGCTGCCCAAACCCTTTGGAAGAAAGCCAGCCTCCCTTGCCTGGCATTCAGGGTTTTTGTGATCAGGCCCCTGCTGAGCTCTCCATTCAACCAGGATCCCAAAGGACTCCCTGGAGTGGACCCAGAAGGAGGGACTTAAACCTGGGGTGCTGTGGCTTCAAGGGCTCAGGCTTCGGAGCCAGGCAACCCTGTATTAGAATCCAGTGTCACCGGCCAGGCTTGCGATGGCTCATGCCTGTAATCCCAGCACTTTGGGAGGCAGAGGCGGGTGGATCACGAGGTCAGGAGTTCAAGACCAGCCTGGCCAACATAGTGAAACCCCGTCTCTACTAAAAATACAAAAATTAGCTGGGTATGGTGATACATGCATGTAGTTCCAGCTACTCGGGAGGCTGAGGCAGGAGAATTGTTTGAACCCATGAGGCAGAGGTTGCAGTGAGCCGAGATCGCACCACCACACTCCAGCCTGGGCGACAGAGCGAGGAAAAATGCTCCATGACCTTTCTGAGCCTCAGTTTCTGCTTTAAAAAATGGAGACAATAACAGCTAGATTGCAAATTTCAGTTTTTCTGGAAGACTCTCCTAACTGACCCCAGCCCTGGCAAGCCCGAGTTAAGACCATTTCTACTCCTCTGAGCTCCACCAGCCTCCTACACCTTTGCCATCACAAAACTTAGCAAATTGTCTGTCTAGCCTACTGCCCTGGGAGCTGCTTGAAAGCAGAGACTGTGTCCTACTCAACTGAGGCCCTGTACTCATACAAGGCCTGGCACTTAGTAGGTACCACTGAGTCTTTAAAGAATGAGGCAGGTTGTAATGTTTGCAATGATCATCACATTAATGACAGCAGCTAATATTTGTCAAGACTCACCCTGTGCCAGGCTCTGGCCAAGTGCTTTACAAGTGTGGAAGCCAGTCTTGCTCCCTAAAGCCCCGCCACCCCTCACCCACTTCCAGAAGCTGCAGAGGTTCTGCCCTGCTGTTGGGGCAGCCCTCCAGTCTCTGTGAAGATGCTGATGTTTGATTCTTGTGTCTAGGTGATCTTATCATGGCTCCTGTGTGCACATTAAAATTGGGACCATTAAGCCTCAGTCCCCCCATTCCCACAGGCCCAGAGGCCTAATCGGACCTCAGCAGGAAGGCCTGGAACAGAGCCCAGGTGGGAACCTGAAGACTCCAATACAGATCTGTGTAACCTTGAAAGGGGTGTGGTCCACAATACACAGCCTCTCCAACCTGCTTGTAAATGTGTCTTGGAGGGTGTAACAATCTCTGGTTCCTATAAGAATCCAGAACTGCCTGAGGCAGACATTACAATATATGTGAACCTCCTGACAGCACTGGAAACACCTAAGAAATAACTACATAACCCTATTTTATACATGGGTAAACTGAAGCTCAGAGAGGTTAAGAAAGTATAATTTTCCCAAAGGTGCATACAGGGATGCTGTGTACAGTTGTATTGGTTGTGCACTGCACAAGGGTACCCGACCAACAGAGAGCATAAGTGTGGACACAAGCATGCGACTACCTCAGCCTAGAGGAAAGCACAATACTTCAGACTCATTGCCAGGTGGACTGGGTGGCAACTGTGGTCACGTAGCTAGAAATCCCAGAACAGAATCCATTTCTTTCAACTGCCAAAGAAAAGCCTAAAGTTCTATTGAGTCCATCCCATTCCTCTGCACTGTCTTCCTGGTCCCAAACACCCATTTTTGCCCCCTTCTAGGGAAAAGGAAAAAGAAAGGAGTCGCCACTGAGTCAGACCCTGTGAGGTAGGTCAATGATGTCCATCTTAGAGGATGAAACTGAGGCTCTCAGAAAGAGTGCTCAATGTCACACAGAAAGTGGATGGCTGAGTTGGAATTGGAAGCCTTTTGGCTGAAGCCCAAGTCCAGGCTAGGGTGGAGGGATCTCTCCCCCACCCCCAGGCCCTGGGTGGCCCGGCTCTTTCCCTTGATGCTCCAGGGGGCAGCTGGGGAGTGGGCAGGGGGCGTGCCTGGCTGTTTGCTCAGCGATGTCATCTCAGGGCCCTGTGGCCTCACCAGGAAGAGGCGGTGAAGAAACTCCGTTCACCATCTGCTCCCCCTCAGTGGGACAGCAGCTGCAGCCTTCTCCCGCATCCCCCAGCCTGCTTTGGGCATTGGCCACCAAGACAACCTCCCACACCCAAAGGCTGACAGGGAAGGAGAGCACAGCTGGAGCTCCCTCCACCTGCCCCCATAGAAGACGCTCGCAGAGCCCACAGGCTACAGGGAGGGTAGGGCATGGGTACAGACTCCCTGGGATGAGGGAGGAACAAGCCGAGGCTACCAGTCCTCCTGGCACCAGATCAGAGAATGCTTTACCTGACAAGGTGGCATTTGCAACAGGTCTTGATCAATGGGAAGATTTGGACCCATCGAGGGGAGAGCCGCGAGGCAAAGGCCTGGCAGCAGGAAGCATAAATGGCAAAGCGGGGGCGGCTGAGGTGAAAGCAGAGGGTGTCTCAAGGACTCATGGGCCAGCAGCCCAGAGAAGGCGGCTTCACACACTGGGCTGAGGAGTTTTGCCCTTCACCTGGTGACAGCAGGGAGCTACAAGAGTTTTCAGAGTAGGGGAGGCCTTGGTAAGAGTCATGATTCAGAAGGAGTGCCCTGGCACTTGGCGTTAAAAGTGGACTGTCTAGCGATGGCTGCTGCATGGGTCCAGGAGAGGTCTGTGTTCCACCCCTGGCAGTGCCCCAGAAGGGCAGGGGGTGGATTGGAAGCATAGAATGGCAGGAAAAGCAACTGGTCTTGGCAACTTGGCAACAGATGGAGAGGAGAGGGAGGGAGACAGAGAAGGGAAGACCGCCCCTGGGAACCTAATATGTGCCAGGGCAGCTTTTGCCATCTGACTCCTCACTGATGGTCTCAATAACACGTTGAGGTGAAGTATTGCATCCCCATTTTACAGATGAGCAAACTGAGGCTCAGAGAGGGCAATGTCTTACCCAAACAGAATTCTAGCTTCTTCTGACTCCAAACTCTGAATTCTTCCCATTGCCTCAAGTATTTTGCTAGCCTATGGGACCTGCAGGGAACATGCAGGCTAAGCTGCTGTTCTTGGAGCAACTTCTGGTGTAAAAGCTTTAGGGCAGCAGGCGGGGGGATGCCTGGGGGCAGGAGCCGGTATAGATCAGGGATCTAGCTCAAAGGGATAACGGAGGGAGGAGTCCTCAAAGCCACAAGGACAAGCCAGGGATGTGATAAGAAAATGTGTATCAGACCCACAGGTCTAACCCTGACAGTGCCTGTGAACCCAGCTACAATCCAGGCAAGCGTCTCCCTCCTCCTGCAAATTCCCCTATCCTAGTGGGAGGAGGGAGTGGCTATCAAGTCATCAAATTTGAGGAGCAATCTTCCTGTCTCCTGTCTCCTTTATGGGCACACACAGATACACAAAGTCCCAGTCACTATCACACAGGCTACAACGTATCACATGCTCAGCCACAGACTCACACGCTCACACAAGCACACGAGCACACGCACACAAGGCCTTGCTCACATATGGTCACACACACACACACACACACACACACAGTCACACGGAAACAGAGGGCTGTTCCAGGAAGGCCTGTCACTCAGGCATGGGAAGGTTGGGAAGTGTCCTTGGACATATTTATTGCCATTGTCTGGGACAGGAAGTTGCCTCTCTGACCTTTGGGGGATGCGGGGTGAGAGTGGTGCCATCCGTCTACCATGAGGCCAGCTCAGGCCTGCCTCTGGGGTAGGGTGACCAGAGGGTGGTCAGGGCAGCTGGGAAGTGCTATGGAAGAGACAGCACGCCCTCCAGAAGAGCAGGCACGCCTGGGGCAGATGTGGGTTCCTGTCCTCTTGCCAGCCTCGCTCGCTGGCTTTGACCTTGGGCAAATCACTTCACCTCTCTGAGTTGGCAATGTCCAGCCATAAAAGATAATGACACCAACCTCACAAGGCATCTGGGCATGCTCACTCAGATAATCGCTGTCCAGTGCCAGGCAGGGACCTGGCAAATGTGGCAATAACCATCGTTGTTTGTGACAGCCGCAGGAGTTGGTGTACAAGTGGAGACAAGGCCTGCTCCGGCTCAGAGGCAGGGCTGGTGGGGGTGGCAAGGGTAGCTGCCCAGTGGGCAAGGCGCATGGCTGGCTGGACCACAGCCCTCTGTATGCTTGCAGAAACCATGCCAGCCCCCAGCATTAGCTGGCCCCAGAAGAGGAAGGAGCAGAGCCTGAGGAGCCTCAGAGTGTGGGGCTGACACTGGGCACCTTCTCCCACCTGAGTCCTGGAGCAGGGGAGCCATAGGCACCAGGAGGCTGGGACGGGGCAGCAGACTTCAGAGGCAGCTCTAGAGTGGGCCCCAGCAGTATGTGGCCGAGAACTAGACAGGCTCCTTGGCTTCCTCCAGCAAGCTCTGACACAGGAGAGGAGGAGCACAGATTCTAAAGGCTGGCTAGTGGAATCCCTACCTTTCTTTAGGAGCACCAAAATCTGGGGGCTGCAGAGAAAGGGAGCACAGCCCTAAGTAAGGGTAAAGGAAACCCTCCAAAAGAGGAAAGGTGCACAGCCGGCAGCCCCGCCCCCTAGTGGCCACAGGCACTCACTACAGCCTAATTGCAAAGTAGCTTTGGCTTTGTTCTAAGGCCCTCATTCTCCGCCTGGTCGCTCCGGGAACAGGGCCTGAAACAGCACAATGTGGTGGTGAATGGCGCAGACATTGGAGCTGAATGGCCTAGGTTCAAAACCCCAGCTTTACTGTTGCTATTATTACCTGTGCCACTTACAAGCTGGATGACCTTGGGCAAGGGACTTCATTTCTGTGGCTCTGCAAGATGAAGTTGATAATAAGAGTATCTACTACACACAGTTACTTCAAAGAGTAAGTATGATAATCCACATCAGGTGCTTAGGATAAGTAATATTAAGTAACAGGAACTTTTAATAAAGAGTAGCTGTCCAATTCTGTACTTCTGAGGTCAGCATCGCTTAGGGGTACTGCAGGAGAGCTGGGGGTTGAAGCCCTGACCTAGGGTTGAATTCTGGTTCTGACGCAGTCAGCTACCAAGTCTCTGCTCTGTACATGTTGACTAGTCACATATATTAAGGGAAGAGTCCAAGGAGGTAAGCTCAAAAATCACTCTTGAAAATCCTTTGGGAAGGCAGCACTTTTGTGGATAAACATGTCTCAATAAGCCCAACCCGGCCAGTTTTTCTAGTTCTTGGTTGAAGTCTGTCTTTGAGCATTGGAGGAAGCTGCTGGCTTGAACCCAAGACAATGCTGCACGAAACACATGTCTCTTTATCCACCGGAATTGACTCAGTAATGAGATGCTCACGCAGAAGGTACATGGAAGCAAATACCAGTTATAGACTCAGATTTGAATCTTCCATCTCACACTCAGGGGCACATGTCCATCACAGGTGGATACTCCACCATTACATTATTTAAAATTTCCATTCCTTCTCTCTTTGGCCAAGTATATACAACTGAATTTACATGCTTTGATTGAACGCATTCATGATACAACTCCATTGTGTCTCACCTCTCCAAAGCTGTTTCTTCTTCTGTAAAATGAGGGCAGTAACAGTACTACATCATCAGACTATTGTGCAATCAAATAAGACAGTATGTGTAGGAATTTTAAATCGCTGCCAGACAAATGACTTTCATTCCCTTCCCCCAAATTTTCCCTAACTAACTGTGTGAAACGTGAGCAGACCCTTCCCTCTCTGGGTCTCAATGTTCTCCAACAACAAAATGTGGGGGTTGTGTTAGTTGATTTCTAAGGCCCCTTCCAGCTTGAAGCTTTTAGGATAGTGCTGTAATTCTAGGGCATTTAATGCAGTCAAACCTTCAATGCATTTGATCTTAGCCAAAAGGCCAAGAAGCTATCAAGCCTTCAGTGAATGTTAACTGATGCTTACATGGTTTTTCCAGGACTCCTTTACCCAACTGATAAGGGTCACATCTATAAACAGCAGCCCTTTGCACACTGTAGTATCTTAAAACCTTGAGAATTACACATGCATCTTAATCGCCTTTTCATTTGATCAGCAGAAGTATACTTCAGCTGCATCTGAATCAGCACAAGGTGACTACATTTAGTGGTGCCCTTACTACAGTCCTTCAGAGGCACCGCGAATGACAAATGCTTACCTGTGATGGGAGTGAAGCACAGCTTTCCCTCCAAGGAACACACACGGACACATGGACACACACACGGAGGATAGTCACTATCCTTGGCTTTGGGAAAATTCCTCTTTTTAGATAGCAGTGAGGTAAAAGGAAATGAACTCTGGAGTTAGGTCTGGACTGAATTATTCCAGCTCCTCTATTAGCTGTGAGAATTTGGGCAGGTTAACTTTTCTGGGCCTTGTTTCCCTATCTGTAAAACTGCCAAAGATGTTTCTGGTGGCATTGTGTGGGTTACGTTAGCAGCAGCCTGAGGCTTTGGGTAGATCATGGGATTGATGAAAAGGTCCCCCTTCTAGAGTGGGAGGGACTCCAGGTTAATCTCACTTCCAGCCACATGGCTGGTCTGCCCGTTGCTTAGCCTCTCCGGGCCTGTTTCCACATCAGTGAAGTGGGGACAGCATTTCTCACAGAATTGCTACGCTCAGCTCTTGACCAGCAGCCCTGCACTTCTCTTGCCTCAACCCACAACCCCCATGCTAAGGTAGCTCCCATGCCTTGCCCAAGGTAATGGTATAAATGGCAATACCTCCTCCCATCTGTCTGGGACCCTTTGAAGACTCAACTTGGTAGCCCATACCTGGAGCCTCTCCTAAACCACGGCCCCAATCCTCAGTATGACCTAACTCCGCATCACCAGAATCTTGCCTTACCAGAGCATACCTTCAGAATAGCCTCCCTGGGCTGGCATTTGCTACCTGTCCTGGGCAAGTCTGCACCCTCTAAAGGCAGGAACTGCGGCTTCCTCATCTCTGGATTTCTCATGAGAGGGCTTAACACAGAATATGTGCTCAGCAAATGTAAAGCCCCACTTTCACCTTTTGGAAATAGCTCTGGGAAGGCAGTGCTGGGGACAAGATGGGGCAAGGGCAGGGGGTAGGGAGAGGGGAATTCCCTCAGTAAGTATGAGAGGATTGTGCAAAAAACATGATGCCTGGAATCAAATGACCTGGATTCAAACCTCTGCTCTATCACCTGCCAACTGAAGAATCTAGACAAGTTTCTATACCTCTATCTGAGCTGTTCCCATGTCGGTAAAAGGAGGACCACAATATCTACTTAGCACAGCACCTGGCACATACTGAGTACCAGTATGCTTTATGTCCCATGTGCTGTCCTAAATGTTTAAATGTACTGATTTATGTAAATCCCACTACAACTCTAGGAGGCAGATACTATCCTCATTGTACTGGCGCTGCAAATAAGGAAAATGAGGCCCAGGGAAATCCAGTGACTTCCCCAAGTTCATGGAGCTAATAAGATGCTCACTAAATGGCAGCAATTACTGTCCTCAGGTAGTAATGCAAAGGACACAATCTCAGTGACCCCAAGGACTCTGGGGTCCTGGCTGTGGGGTTTCTGCACCTGGACTAGCTCCATTCTCACTTCTTCAATTACAGCAAACAACGGAGACCAATCAGTGTTGTAAATAGAGTTAACATAATATATTTATTTTAAGTGCCATTCATGCATATCAGTTCTGGCAGCAACAATCCTAATGACACTTGGAATATTTCTTTACAGCACTAAACAGTTACAAATAATGGTTGCCGTTCATCATAGAGGCAAAATATGAAATCGTGCAATAGCAAAACTGTAGAAACATTAAAACACTGACTGTCCAACAGCAGTACAGAGAGCAGGTTGTATCTGCACAAAAAGCCAATGCATTTTCATCACATATATACAATATAGATATGTACACATCACCCTCTGAATGAACAATATCAAAATACTCTATTCCATTTGAAATTATCCCCGGATTGATTCCCTCCCACTTCAAAGGACATCTGAGCGACACGTATTTACAAGAACACACATGAATACATTTACATTTCAAAAACTGCCACAAATGCCAGTCGGATTATTCTCCTGAACAGAGTGTCCCCATTTGTTTACATGCATTTACTATTCTTTCCCCCTAAAGTCTTCAGTCAATTTAAGCCCAAGACAGAACTTGTTCTGCATTAGCAACTACCATACAAAATGGCCACTAGAGGGACTCTCTGCACCTCACCAGGTAACCCTGTCTGGCCAGGGCCCACAGAAAAGGCCTGTCCTGGGCTCCTGGACCACCTGGATCACAGGAGAGTGGGATGGGTCTGGGTGAAGGCTTTGCCTCCATGGCCATTCTTGCTAAGTTTAAATTCTCATAAAAATATTCATCACTGCAAATCAGTAAATGATTGCCAAATGGGAAATTCGCTTCACACAATTTATAAAATCATCATCAGTGGTTCTACTCAAATCACTCAGTATGAGACTGCATTCCAATATCCAAATTGTTTAAAGTGCACATTGCTACCCAAGCAATTAAAACAGTTTCAAAACAGCTATTTTGGTGTCTAGAAAACAGTGACTTAAGCAAACCATTGAAAATCACCCCTCTTTTTTCAAGCATTTACTCTGCAGGCTGCCATCTCATCTTGCCTCTGATCCTTCTAAGAGGCGCAAGTTGGCTGCCTTTCCAGAATCCTCTGATTTTCGTTGATCCAAGGGGCTGGAACTGAGCTTCCTTTTTCATGCCAAGTAGGGTCCAAACAACAGAGAAACATAAAGCTCTTCCTTTCTCCCCAACCTCACCAGCCCTTACCATGGCTGGCTTCCCAGTGATTCATTCAAGGCAACACTCCATTAAAACACACACACACACACGCGCGCGCACACTCTCACACACAGCACACACACACAGAAACAAAAGATGTTTGTTTAGTTCAAGTAGAGATTACTCAACCATAGAATCACTAAGGCTAATTAAAGTGATTTAGCATGGCTGATAAGACCAGAGATGCTAAAAAGCAACTAGTGAGCAGTTATTACTCTTTGACTTGATGGAATATATTTCCCCATTAGAACTGACACTTTTTGGGGGGTCTAAAGAATCAATTCAAAATCTATTCATTAAAAAAAAACCCTCATTTCTTCTAGTTTTATCATAAAACTAAGATAATCAGTCCATGCAAACTGTGATATGATATGAAACAAAACAAACCACCACCACTAAAAAACCCGTAAGAGGGGCTGCATTTCAAAGAAAGGGACCAAATGTCATGCATACACAGACATACAAGACAACAGAAACAGCAGGCCACATAATATCTACATTAAACACTGAAGCAAATAAAACTGTAAGTGGCTCTATCCTCCTTTCAAGACAACCTAGATGAGTGGGGAAACCTGCTTTAGAAACCCTGCCCTGCTGTTGTTGCCCAAATGAAATCTGATTCAAATTCCAGAAAAATCCGATTTAACTAATAAGTCTGAATCAGCAAGAATGCCAAGACAGAGAAATCTATTCACATGGTAAAAGGAGTGATGATAGAGAATGACACAATGTCTCTCTGAGTGTCTTATCTGTAAATTCTTATCAAGAAAAGTAACGCTGGGCCAGGCGCAGTGGCTCATGTCTGTAATCCCAGCACTCTAGGAGGCTGAGGCAGGCAGACTGCCTGAGCTCAAGAGTTTGCAACCAGCCCAGGCAACATGGTGAAACCCCATCTCTACTAAAATACAAAAAATCAGCCAGGCATGGCGGTGTGCACCTGCACTCCCAGCTACTCGGGAGGCTGAGGCAGGAGAATTGCTTGAACCCGGGAGGCGGAGGTTGCAGTGAGCCGAGATCGTGCCACTGCACTCCAGCCTGGGCAACAGGGCAAGACTCCATCTCAAAAAAAGAAAAAAATAATAATAGTTCTGTGCTTTCAGACACATTTCTCCTTAATGAACCCGACAGGAGCTAAGCATTCACAGAAGGTAGCAATAAATATTAAAATGACACTTTTGAATAATAAATACATAGGTGAATGTGGAAGCACTGATGTGTTTAAAGAGCCAAGCAATGCCCAATTTCTTACCAATCAACAAATTTTAGAGCTATTATAATGCAGATTTAGAAAAGCAGACATAAATACTCTATGATCCCCCAAGCATCAAAACCAATTTGGTCAGTTCTTCATGCTGCTCAGGAGCAACATGCCCCTTCGGATTGTTGGAGTGTGTCAAATTCTGGTTTCCTTGACTTATTAGATAGAATTCATTACCCACATTTCTAAAAAAGATTAAATAAGGGGAACTGGGTTTTGGAAAAAATCTATTTCCTTTCAGTTTCCTACATCAGTTAAAAGCATCCTGCAGAAAATAGCCTAACAAGGAATAAAAACTGACAATAACTTTCAAGACATAATAATCCAATTAGAAAAAACTGAAGCCTTTCAGTAATTTTTGTACATATATTTACACATATGTATCTTTATATAAACTGCTTGCAGCAAAATAGGCTCCGTCTGAAAAATCAGTCTGGCACTTGTGGTTAACATCAAACTGACACAAATATGCAAAAAGCCGTCCAAATCACACAACAGTTAGGAGCTACATAGGGCAGCTGGCAGGGAGACAAACATGTAGTACTTGCTTGGGTCAGATAAAAGCAGTAAGTTATCCAGCTAAAATCCTTCTGATTGTCTTCAAAAGTAATTTTGATAACATTGGTAAAGTGATTAGCAAGTTTGTTTTCTCAACTGGATTCTCTTAAACCTTTCCCTTCACTGCACAGAAAGGTAACGTTAGGGTCTGGTGTCTTGCAGAAACAAGCCCTACACAATTGAATCCCAATCAAAGTCATCCTGGATGTCATCTGGAGGCAGGGAACGCCGCATCTGGAAGGCTTGGGAAGGCATCATGTGCTGCTGGTTCATGGCTCTGTGATGGCCTGGAAGGAAAGAGGCAATAATAGCAGCGACTTGGGTAGAGAAGAAAGTAAGAAATAAACTAACCCCTACTGTGTACTTCCTATATGCCAGGCACACATTATCTCACTAATTCAACCATAAGCCTTCAAAAAGTGGCTCTTATGATCCTTATTTTATAGGTAAGGGGATACGGTTTAAGAGGATGAGTAAATTACCCAAAGTCACACAACCAGTAGGGGACAAAGATAGGATCTGAGGTCAGTTCACTTGATCCACACTCCTTCCATTATACCAGGCTGCAGTAAGGAAGACACGAGAAAAGTGCCAATGTAGCCACTGCTCTTACAGTCTGTTTTGCTCCAATACGTTGTTTCAGTAACATGAATTGGCTCCCATGAGAATGGTAAACAGGATAATGATGGCAGTGCACCAATGACGTCATACTGAATTTTCCCCAGCAAGCTAATTTCTGTGCCACCAAGTAATGTCAAGTGAACACAGAGGACATCAACAAGGGAACACAGGAAACCAGAAGGAACCACAGCTGAGTACAGAATGCCCACCTTCCCATGCTCTTCTTGTACCAGTTTGGCCATGTGCTGTTTATGCTCCCCAATTTTGATTCATTGGGTCTGTGTCTCCACCGTATCTTGACAGACCCCCCCCTTCTAAACCAGCTGCTTTTTAAAAGTAGAGGTTGATATTTACTTGTAGAATTCTTTCTTTTATTACAAATTATACATATCCTTTTAACTGTTGTGGAAGTTTTACTGGATTTTTTTTTAGTACTCTGATTACAAAATTTCAAGTAGTCTGCTACTCATTTTTCTCATATGCCCTGAAATATTTTCTTGTACAATTATTTAATGCTAAGGTTTTCAGTATATCACAATATAGGTAAAATGCCTCCATTTAAAAAAAACTTATAAGTTCCTTAATGTGGGTCAGGCACTAATTTACATGATTCTCATTCAATCCTAACAACTCGAGGACACAGGTAGTTTTATTAGCCCCTTTTACAAACAGGGAAGCTGAGGTAGGAGGGTTAGGTAGCTTGCCTAATATCACACAGCCATTAAGTGGCAAAGCATGAAGATTCAAACACAAGCAATCTGGCTCCAGAGCCTTACCACCTTATGGTGCCACTTACAAATTAGTAGTAAGCACTCACAACAGGTTAACATTCCTTCCCCCTTCAGCAAAGGACATATCACTTGATCCCAACTCCTTCCTCACTGCTGTCTGCCACACAGTTCTTCAAGGTTTTAAATCCACCCCCAACCCCATTACCTTTATGTCTTTTCCTCAAATAGCCTAAGTAAAGGATTGTGTGGTATGTGAGAAAAACAACGGACTCTGAATCCAGACACTGGGGCTTGAGTCTTGATCTGGCCACTCACTAAACTGGGTGGCCTGGGCAAGGCATTTCTCCTTCAGAGCCTCCATTATCCTAAGTGATCTTTAAGATACTTTCCAGCTCTAACAATGTGCCGTATTCCGCTGGCTAAATGAATCCTGCATTCAAGAACCCAGCGGGAAAAGTGTATGAACCACTTAACACCTAAAATTTACCTTCTCTACAAGGTACTTCCCTGGAAACTATAGCTGGGGGAACTCCATAGGAATGAATGAAGCAGAATCTACAGGAGCTAATAAAGTAGGTTCCTAAAACCTGCTAAAGTCCTGTCAAACACCCTCAACTATGACCCCAGGACTTCTTAGAGAGGCAAGACAATAAATAACTAGAATAAGTAGAATCATTGCATCTTGGGCTAATAAGGACTTCAGGTCCTACAGTCCAAACTCCAACTGATGCTTGAATCCCTTTGCTAGCACAAGTGCCAAGTGGCTGTCCAGACATTGTCCCCTAGCCCCTCTTAACAGGGAGTTCACTCCTTGAGGCAGCCTCATTCACCATCGGGAAAGCTAACGCTTCTCAATATTAAACTCTGGGTAACAACTGACACACACACATGCTTCTCAATATTAAACTCTGGGTAATAACTGACACACACACACACACTCTCTCTCTCACCTGCCATCGTTGTTCCTGGAGTGCTCACACACACACACACACACACACACACACTCACTCTCTCTCTCTCTCTTACCTGCCATCGTTGTTCCTGGAGTGCTGAGTGCCTGTGGGATATGAGGATAACCAGGGGGTGGCATCACTGAAGGAGGGAGATTTTGCCTAGAATCTATGTACAAATTTCCTAATCAGATTAAAAGCAGAAAGAGGGAAAACATGTTACCACAAATAAAACAAATGGAGCACTAAAATCTTAACAGAATTGTTACTCTGAAAGTAAATTAAGCAGGTAAAATAAGGAGAAAGGGGGAAGAAAATATTACTCCTTTCAGATGCTAAAATTGTGGTCTTGGCCTTTTGAACAGGGTGCCAGGCCGGGTGTGAACACACTGAACTAATGCTAGCGCTGCCACTAACTGTACGCTGGTAGGCAAGTTATGTCTATTATTGTTGCTATCACATACCTCATTACAATTCAAAAGTATTTTTGTATCCATTACTTCATCTGACCCTCCCACTAAGCCCCAAAGGAGGGTAAGACAGGGATTGTTACACCCATTTTACAGATGAGGCAACTGAAACTCAGAAAGGCTAACCTGACTTGCCCAAAGACACATTAGTTTGACAGTGCTAGGACTACAATCCAGATCTCCTAACTCATGGACTCTCTTTTTTGAGACAGGGTCTCACTCTGTCACCCAGGCTAGAATGCAGTGGCGCAATCTCGGCTCACTGCAACTTCTGCCTCCTGGGTTCGGGCGATTCTCCTGCCTCACCCTCCCAAGTAGCTGGGATTACAGGCGTGCACTACCACGCCTGGCTAATTTTTGTATTTTTAGTAGAGATGGGGTTTTACCATGTTGGCCAGGCTGATCTCAAACTCCTGACCTCAAGTGATCCACCTGTCTCAGCCTCCCAAAGTGCTGGGATTATAGGCATGAGCCACCGCACCCAGCCACTCATGGACTCTTTCTACATCACCACCTATTTCTCTACTTCCCTGATGTTCTCACCCTCGAAGCAGGCCTAACTATGTGTAACCATGTGTGCCCCTGTTAATTAACAAGTACCTGGGAAGCACAAAGTAACAATAAAGATCTGCACATGGTAAAAGAGCTACAACAAGCAATGATGATTAAAAACATTATTCTGGGCAAGGCATGGTGGCTCAGGTCTATAATCCCAGCACTTTGGGAGGCAGAGGCGGGCAGATCACCTGAGGTCACGAGTTCAAGATCAGACTGGCCAACACGGCAAAACCCTGTCTCTACTAAAAATACAAAGAATTAGCTGGGTGTGGTGGCATGAGCCTGTAGTCCCAGCTACTCAGACTTGAACCTGGGAGACGGAGGTTGCAGTGAACCGAGATTGTGCTACTACACTCCAGCCTGGTTAATAGAGTGAGACCCTGTCAAAAGAGAAGAGAGAGGAGAGCGGAGAGGGTGGAGCGGAGGGGGCGGGGCGGGGTGGGGGAGGGGAGGGGAGGGGAGGGGAGGGGAGGGGAGGGGAGGGGAGGGGAGGGGAGTATTATCCTAGAATGTGAGGATGGGGACCATGGATCTCATTCAAATTTTACTTCAGAAGGTTCTTAATATATTTTCATTAACAGGAGACATCAAGTGTTATCGCCTCCAAAATGTCAACTACGTTACATCACAATGCAAAAGAGAGAACAAACATGACCCCTCCTCCAATAACTCATGAGGAATGATTATAAAAGCGGTTCACATTGTAAGGAACATCTGGAATTCTGGAAAGGCTACTTCCCTAAGTTTATCTACTATTTCATGTAAATTACACTTGAATTCTAGTAATGTTGTAATGAAACTAAAAAATAGTAATCATTTTCCCAGAGGAAACTAAAAAGAGTAGAAAAAATCTTCCACTTCTATTAAGGTAAGGCATTCTGTATTTGGCTGCTCACAAGTCTTTACCCTCCAGTGGAAAGCCAGACTATCCAGGCTTGAGATGGCCTCAGAGATAATCTAATCTGACCTTACCTCTGTCCATGCAGATAGGGAAACAGGGACAGAGGAAATGAGACAGAACCAGGACCAGAATTCAAGACTTCTGACCCCCTGTCCCTGCCTCCCATGATAACATGCCTTTTATCAGTGAAGTTTATAGTCAGAACTGACCTCTTTGACTGACTGACCATACTGATGATTTAGAAAGAAAAAAGAGGAGAAAAGTTATACTAAACTACAGCTCTAATACTGGTACGAGTGACGTGGGGCGGAATCCTGTCTCCAAATGCTGATCGGTCTTCACATGCACGCCTAGTGTACTTTGTAAAGACTGCACCAAGCTGGAAGGGCCACACCACTCAGAGTAATAGGGTCACTCATATACCCACAACTTCCCTGTCTCTGTCCTTCAAAATCTTAGCTCTCACTCTACACATCTTTCGAGTTCATGTCATAATGAAAATGTAAAACTGATTTTTATTGGGAATTAATCTTTTACCACTTCTCTTTTATGGCTTCGTAATTCTTACCTTAAAGGCAGAGGGGAGAAAGAATTACAGGATTATGACAATAAACAAACATCTACATAAAAGTCTTAACTTTCTGTAATTCCATCATATGCGTAACACTTTTATTTTCATATAGAAATTCCCATTAATTCTCATTTTTTCCCATATTCTCAATATAGAGTCTGAATGAGTGTATTCCTGAATTTCCTATGTAAGAAATTAACTTCCAATGCAGTTTCCAAAGATTTCAGGCACTGCTCGAGGCACTATGGATACAGCAATGAAAAAACACAACTCTGCTTTTCGGGTGTGTATTCTTGGGCATGTTGGGTAGGGGCAAACAAAGTAAATTAAATAGTATGTAACATGCTATGGAAAAAAAGCAGAGAGAGAGAACAAGGACTGCTGAGTAGTGGTGCCATTTAAATAGGATGACCAAGGAAGGCATCCCCTGAGCAGGTGTTTTTTGAGGAAAAACAACGGAACAAGATGAGGAAATGAGTCATGTGTCTAACTGAGGGAAGACCACTCTGGACAAGAGGAAATAGCAAGTACAAAGGCCCTGTTTAGGTAGAGTGTGCTACCTAGTGTGTTCAAAGAACACCAGGGAGACCAGCAGTGTTGAAGCACAGGCGTGGAGGGGAGAAGGCAGAAGACAAGATCAGAAATAATCAGTGATCAGATTGTGTAGGCCATATAGGCCATAGTAACAACATTGGTCTTTACTGAGAAAGATGGAGGGTTTTGAGCAGAAAACAGACGTGACATGATCTGACCTCTCTGTCTTGCAAAATCCTACTTAACCTACAAAGTCCAGCTTAAATATGCTGTCTTCTAGAAAAATTTTCCATCTTTCCAAGAGAAGTATGCACCCCTTTCTCTGAATTCTTATTGCACTTAAACCCTATGGAGAAGTGTAGCCCTCAACATACTGAATTTTTTTTTTTTTTTTTTTTTTTGAGATGGAGTCTCGCTCTGTCGCCCAGGCTGGAGTGTGGTGGCGCGATCTTGGCTCACTGCAAGCTCTGCCTCCCTGGTTCATGCCATTCTCCTGCCTCAGCCTCCTGAGTAGCCGGGACTACAGGCGCCTGCCACCACGCCTGGCTAATTTTTTTGTATTTTTTTAGTAGAGACGGGGTTTCACCATGTTAACCAAGGTGGTCTCGATCTCCTGACCTCATGATCCGCCTGCCTCGGTCTCCCAAAGTGAACATACTGTATTTCTTGATGGATCTGTCTCAACCACTAGGTTGTGAACTCTTTTAGGTAAAAGCTACTACAGGGGTCATGTCTTTATTCTCAGTGCCCAATACAAAGCTAGACACAGAAAAGGTGTCTAGTGTGTGCTCAATGACTGCATTCCTACCTATATTTAATGATGACCTTTAAGCAACGCATCAAATTAGAATAGTAGAGCCAGAAGATATAAACAAATTATAACCACAGGTAAAAAGATTTAGGAAAAGATGTCATAGACTGTGTTCTATAACAACCTTCTCCCCTTCCCCCTTCCACACTAGCACACTACACCACTAATTTCTGGAGTCTACAGGAAGCTCATGGAGGTGTTTACCAAGCGGGTCCTTGAAGACAGGAATGACAGGAAAGGTTTAAGGAAATGGAGAGACTATATTCTGGGACTCAAGACCTACACCTAAATGAATTTTACAACATTGGGTAAGTCACTTTCTCCCCCTGGATTACAATGTCCTTATCTGTTAAATAAAGGGATAAAATTAACAGCTCTCTGAAAGTCTCCTCTTGACTATACTTCTAAGAAATTATGACAAAGAATTACTGGGGTGCAGAGATGAGGGAAGTAAAAGATCTGAATGGATGTGATACACAGGGATGTAAGACAGAGAAAAAAGGAATGACAGAAAGACACTGACACTTAAAACAAGAGGAAGCAGGCTGGACACGTAAAAAAAATCTGAATATTTGTGAACAGACATCAGCAGGCATGAAGTGATGAATACTTGGAGCACCATAATTGATGAGAGAACAACTGTTGTCAGAGGCCAAAACAGCTTGGCAGGCATGAGTCAGAAGGAAAATACAAAAGGGGAGTGAGAGTAGAAAGAATTGAATAAACACTGAAGAAAAACTATAGTTTTTCTACCTTTGATAGGCTGTGACTAGGGTAGCACTGAGAATCACGAAGGTGTCATCGGGACCCTAGAAAGGAGGAGGGCCCTAACAAAAGAGATGACAGAAAAAATTAACAGAATCACAGAACACCAGAACAAATAACCAAGGTCAAGGCTCAAGAATAGATGACTACAGAAGTTGAGGAACAAAGGGCTTCAGGAAAATAACTCAGGATCTCAGTCTAGAGAGAATCTAGAAGGAGTGCCTGGGTACTCTGACAGAGGACAGCAGCAGATAAAGTGTTTTTTCCATGACAAAACTACCAAGTTCCAAGACCAAAAGGTACACATAGACCTTTCTTACAGACTTAGGGCACAAAACTGAAATTCACCAACATGAGAGCTGCTGCCTAACATGTACACTGGCTTTTGAGATTGCCTTCTTCTTCTTCTTCTTTTGAGACGAAGTCTCCCTCTGTCACCCAGGCTGGAGTGCACTGGTGTGATCTCGGCTCACTACAACCTCCGCCTCCCAGGTTCCAGCGATTCCCCTGCCTCAACCTCCCGGGTGGCTGGGATTACAGGCATGTGCCACCAGGTCCGGCTAATTTTTGTATTTTTAGTAGAGACGGGGTTTCGCCATGTTGGCCAGGCTGGTCTCGAACTCTTGACTTCAGGTGATCAGCCCGCCTCGGCCTCCCAAAGTGCTGGGATTGCAGGCATGAGCCACCATGCCTGGCCGAGACTGCCTTCTTCTAACACTGACCCACATCATCTTCTACTTCTCCTGCCTACGGCAACAATCTATGAGCAACACAGGTACTTACCCCCAAACACACAAGACTAGTGATATATACATAAGCTATTTAATTTCACTTAGTACTTTTTGAGGCTGACTGAAATGGTTAGAGATGGAGTTAGCAAAGAAGTGAACAGCATGACAGCACTCAGAAGCAACAATTTTGGATGAACACAGAAAGAAAAGAGGAAAGGAGAAAAAAGGGACAAAAAACAGAGAGAGGTGGTACACCTGGTCTAAGGAGGACTTAAAGCAAGTTGGAAAAATTAAAGTGATATATCCTGAAAGGGACAAAGTATGGGCTTAGAACCCATGAGAGAAACAAAGAAGACACGCTGTCCATCTGCAAGAAAAGATTTTAAAAAAAGAAATGGAAGAAGGGCACATAAGTGAGGATACCTGAATTACAGAGATCTTGATGCTTAAAAATGAATATATATCAGAAAGATACCAAAAAGAACTAACAAAAGGAGAGAGAGAGAGAGACAAAGAAGCTATAAAGTTATCAAAAACTAAATTTTAGTGTCTGGCACAGAGGGCAATCAGCCAGGGACTGAACAAGGCCCTTGTGTGGATGTAATTTACTGAATGAATAGGTCACCAGAATCAAATAGTGACTGAAGGTTTCAGGCAAGGTAAGCTATTCAAAATAGCTTAGGAAAAGCTATTCAACGTGGAAGAAGAAAAGATAATAGATTTCCACTACATCAAAGGATACAGGAATAAAGATTTCATGAAAAGAAAGACACAGACTGATAAGCTTGACTTGAATAAACTCAAACCATGGGTGAACGAAAGATGTGAAGTAAGATAGAATAATGGTTAAAGGAAGCCACTCAGGATAGAGAAGAGAGAGCTTGTTGGCATAAAATGTAAAATCAATATAACATACAGAAAAGAAGTAAACTTGATGATAAGAGAAGGTAAGGAATTAAAATGAAGAAAGAAGTAACTTGGATATGAAATTCCTACAGAAAAATGTGCAATCAGAGTAGAAGACATGGCTGCAAGGGTAAAGAATGAAGGAAGAAAGCGAGATTTAAAAAATATACAGGAAAGATTTTGGGTCTAAAGTAAAACATCAGTGAGACTATTTTCCATTACGTCTACTCTTCAAACACTTCGAATTGTTCAATTTTAACATTCTTAGGAGATACACAAGACACGTTGATTTCCATTGCAGATCTGTACAAATTTAAATATAATTTCATAATTATGTTCCTATAAAAACGTAAGTATCTCCAATATATTTCTTGTTTGATAACTTAGTAAAAGGATAATGGTTACAACAGTTAACTGTAAATAATAAAGCAATCATATAAATCACAACAGAAAAACATAGTCTCATTACCTCAATTTTTCTAAGATATACCCTACATATAAATTATTTGCTTTCATTCATTTCTTATAAATAAAAATTTGTAAACAGATCACTGTCACCATTAGCAGCAAACCAAGTTGGTTAAGACAGTTACTAAATTTCGTACGAATGAGAAAATGAGAAAAATCAAGAAGATAACTAACCCCATACCTGTTCCAATGTGTTGGGAAGGTTTTGTTGGATGCATGGCACCATGACAAACATTTTGTTGAACATTACTCTGTGAATGTATAAGGCCAGTTTGTGTAAAGAACTGATTAAGAGAAGAACAAAGATCGGCAAACTGAACCTGGTCTAAAGACCAGTTCTTGAGATCTGCCTGTCTCATACTCTCCATCAGACCTATGAGGAAAGCATTAAAAATATGTTAGCACTGTTATGCAATAAACATTGCAAGGAAAATAGCAAGACATAATTTTTTTCAGCTCTCAAAATTTCCACTCACTCCACTTTATGGTAGTGATTTATCCACGCAATGAAGAATGACCTTTTTAAATTATTCAAAGCCCAATTATTTTAAATGTGGTCAAATTTCTTTCAGAACTTGTCTGTGACCCTCTGCTATACCAAGTGGCCAAAATTATTATGAATTTTACCAACTGCAAAAGAAATGCTATATAAGATGATGTTTATTTCTACTACAAAGAAAGTTATAATCTAGCAGAGAAACAGGATCATGTGTATTTGGTTATATGTCAAAAAGAACCAACACTCACCTTGAAACTGTGAAAGGTCTACATCTGACCAATTAACACTGCTGGCAATTCGACAGCTTTCTTTTAGCATATCAAGTGTCGCATACCAATCATTTGAAACACCTATAAAATATTGACAACAGTGTAATTCCTGGATGGTGAAAGGGTGAAGTGTGGTAAGGGAAAACGATGAGCTGCCCTTATTCCTGAAATTGGCTGATTCTTGTCCCGTCTTACAAGGGGATTTGTACCCATTATATCACGTGTTGGGCAATCTGCTCTGTGAGACAGGCAGAAAGGTATTATTTCTCTCCATTTTACAAATAAAAGAAACTGAACCAGAGAAGTGACATAACTTAGCAAGGTTATCATGATGAATCTAAGACTTGAACCCAGGTCTTCTAACCTCCAGTCTAGCAGTTTCCAAATTGCCACATCACCTAGTAATATCAAACTTGATACTGCTCTTTACATTACAGTACCAATAAATGAACAGATAGGAAATGCCACACAAATCTGTATTTTCCCCTATATAAAGTTCATTTTCCTGTCTTCTTATGACCTTAAAAAACTCAAGAGAGGCAGGTTCACATTTAGAGGCAACACATAGTACAATTTAATGCAATGACTTAACGCAGGTGGATTAGATCATATAGTAAGAGTAAATGCTTCTTCCAAGGCAACCTTAGGAGAAAAAAATTTAACATAGTCCCCCTGCCAAGGTAGCGAAGGAAGAAGGGTGAGATCTCTGCAAGAAATGCTGATGAATCCACGTCAGGGCATTTTTAGTCAGAAATGGTATCCTCTGGTATGACATCAGAAGAGTTTAAGACTCCATAATCTGTATGTCAGCAAACCAGTCATTAGTCAGAGGCCATGCAGCAAGAGTTACCTTCAATGAGACAGCAGTGCTGAATAGTGGAAGAAAATTCTTCATTTCAGTGACTGCTGTCAAGCCACTGTTTCTAGGACCTCCCCCGGATGGATGAAGATAAAGACCAATAAAAAGGGCTGGTTGGTTTGCTTTTGCTACATCAAGGCAACTCTTGGCTATATCAACTACTGGCTACTTGATTACAAAATTCTGCCAATAATGGATTTTTAAAATAAACAATCAACTAGAGACAACATGACCCTGCCATGAAGCAAGTCGTAACTTAGGAAGAAATTTGTTAGGTGGGAGGGGATTAAACTAATATCCAAATGAGCCACGAACATGCAAGTCTACCAGACTCAGATCCTTTAGTTCAAGAAGAACTTCATGGATAAGGAAACCAAGGTTCAAAGGAATTATATGATTTAAGTCACTTAGGTAATACAACAGCCAAAGCAGTACTAGAATCCAGATCTCTTGAGGTAAACACAACTCAGGTAGTCAAAAGGTCAGGGTAGGAAAAAGGTTAACTGAAATGAAATTATGAGCAGGAACCAGGACATTTGCCATGACTAATTTGTTGTTGTTGTTGTGGGTAAGAGGAAGAGGAGGCTCCTTTAATAAATAGTGACCTGGCAAATAAAAATAAAGCAAACTCTGCAGCGACTGGGTGAGCAAACCCTACCCACTTAGCAAATGTCTGCTAATTTTAGTTCTTTTAGAATAACTGGTGTTATAAGCTTTGAAGTCAGACATGTCAGAATATAAACCCCAGTTCTACCACTTACCACAGTATGATCTTAAGCAAATTACTTAAAATTCTTTTAGTTGCACTTTTCCTATATATAAAATGTGGTCATCTATACTTGATTTGGCAGGATAATGTAAGATAATGTATCTAAATTATAAACAAGAGTTAAAATAAAAACCTGCAAGGGTTGCTGGGTTTGCCTATGTTGCCACAATAAATTTTAATCAAGAAAGTCGCCAGGTCAGTCTATGAATTAAATGAGTTACAACTATAGGATTATAGCAAGGAAACAGATGTAAAGAGGTTTTGGTAGTAAATACTACATGAGCTCTAAATAACAAAGGACAGATCCTAATTCACAGTTAGCCAAACACAAACCAGGAGACAAAAACTTACCAGAATTACAGGATACCTGTTGTGGGGGTGGGGGTGCCTGATGTGTTAACGTCTGATGCTGATGGTTCGGATGGTGCTGTATGTGTTGATGTGGAGAGGGATGCTGGGGGTGAGGGGACTGGAGCTGGCTGTGTTGCTGTGGGTGTGGTGCTGGGTGTGGGGAACGCTGCGGATGCTGCGGTAAACCATGCGGTCGATGGGGAGGATGTGGAGATGGCTGTGTGTGCATCTGGGGGTGAGACAGTGAGACCTGTGCAACCGAATTACTGCCTGTGGTGTTGAGGCCACTGCCATGACTGTTGGACAGGCTGCTTTGGTTGCTGTGTGGGTGAGTGCTCACTGTACTGCTGGGAGAGTGCTGATAGGTACATGAAGTGTGGGACTGCTGGGAAGATTCAGAAGGGATGTTCATCAAACCTAAAAACAAAGCAAGATCATTTATGGTCAGATTTCAGTTGTATTTTATGACAAACATTTGTAAAATTATTAACATAACAAAAGCATATGATGCCAGGAAGCAACACTGGTTCAATTTAATAAGTGTTAATCCAACATCCACTGCACACTAGGCTCTGTGGTTATTGAGAAGAAATATAATGCCCCACCCTCAAGTGGAAGAGAAAGACAAGATTATGACCAACAATTTAAGTACTAAAGCTAAAGTATACAGAGGATTATGAAAACTGCTCCTTGTCTGTTCAGCTAGGAGAAGGCTGAAAATATAGAGAAGCCTTTCTTTTAAAGACAGTGCCTGAACTGAGTCTTGAAAGATAAGGAAATGTTCGGGGAAAAGTGGGAAAGGTGTGGGGGTCACACTCAGGATGGCTCTCTGTAGGCATAAAGACCAAGGCTTTGATAGAAGACCGCACAATCTAAACTAAATCTCGACTGGCTAATAGTTTAAAACTTTTCCAAATAGGTAAAAGTAATGGAAAGACAAAGGAAAAGAGGAAGTTGTTTATGCCAAATAGGGAAGGGGCATAGGCTGCAAGCTGGAACATGCCTGTGAGCACGTCCAGCACAAATATCTCAGTTAAGGTACAAGGACATAGAATGTACTACGTGCCTGTGAGCATGTTTAACAGCTACACAGGATAGGGCCCAACAAAAAGTTATTAGCATAAAGTAAGGAGGCTTAAAGGAAGTTAGTTTTTAAAAGAAACTATTATTTCTAACACTTATGATTTACTCTTTAACAAGAAGGGAAACTATGAAGAGGAACTTTTTACTTTCTACATAGTGAAGGTGTAAGCTGCAGGATGAGCTCTGTAAATGTTAGCTGCCATGATGATGATTAAGCCAAAAATGTTTAATGTTAAGGATAATTTATGTTTGTTCTCCAAGTAGTTAGATAACCTTACTGCAACATTTGGTTCTATGTAACTAGACTATTTTCAAATCCTAAAGGGTAGCCCATGCAATGTTATGCTGAACCAAACATAAAAATAATTTTATTGAATGAAAAAAAAAAACACAAGATAATATCAATCAATAAAAGAATCAAGCTTTTTAAAAAAGATAAAATTATTCTATTTGTCATTAGTAGTAAAACTGTATTTGTGTTCATTGCAAGATAATCTTAAAAGCTACCAAGTTTTACAGGCAGAAGAGTTAATAAAAGTTCTTGCCTTGGTCCTAGAAAATAGTCACATATAAGGAATCTATAGGGTTATTACTGTAAGATCAAAGAAAGCAGTAATTTATCAATTTTCAATAAAATCCTAGCATTTTACAAGGGAACCAAGGTCTGATCTGTATCAACATTTTCAATCTCAAATTATTTTTAAATAAAAGAAAGCAAAATATCTCTCCAGAAGCCCAATATATAAAACTGATAAGTATAATATAGTTTTTTTTTTTGAAGCTGGGGAAGGAAGCTTACTAGGTCTACCTCTGCATCTGCACAGTTCTCCTCCTGCAGTCCCTAAGATCTTTACAAAAGCCAAGGCCTCTGAAGAGAACAATCTGAAAATCACTGATCTAATCCAACCCTCTTTATTGTACAAATGGGGATACTGAGGTCCAGAGATGAGAAGTAAACTCAGTTGACTTAATGGCAGAACCTGGACTAGAACCCAGACTTCCTATCGATGTTCCTTTTTTTTTTTTTTTTAATAGTGTGATGGAATGGAATTATGGGCTTCAGAAATTGTCATCATTGTTATTTCAAAGCCCTTATTTTTCTATTGTGAATACCAAGGTTGGATTTGCTTAGCAAAGTCTTCCATTAGTTCTTTTTATACTTTTATAGATGAAAAATTTAAAAGTTGGAAAACATATGAATCTTACTTTAAACTCAAATACTAACCAGAAAAAGCCATTTCACACACACAACATCAGTATACATCAATATAAATAACAGTATATAACATTAACTGACAGTAAGTATTAAAATGCAAACAGTATAAAGACAAGGATTTCTGTTCATTTTTGTTCACTGCTGTGAACATGGAAACTTTCTGAGTTGGGGTGCCACAGTTTGAATGTATGTGTCCCTCCAAAATTCGTATGTTGGAACTTCAACCCCCAGGTGATGGTATTAAGAAGTGGGACCTTTAGGAGGTAATTAGGGATTAGGCCTTGCAAAAGGGGTTGAGAGAACTAGCTACTTTTTGCCCTTCCATGTCGTCTGCCACATGAGGACACAGCGTTCAGCTCCATGTGAGAATACCGCTAAAAGGCATCATTTATGATGTACAAGCCCTCGCCAGACACCATATCTGCTGGTTCCTTGATCTTGAACTTCCCAACCTCCCAAACTGTGAGAAATAAATTTCTGTTGTTTATAAATTACCCATTCTAAGGTATTTTGACACAGCAGCAGGAAAGGAATAAAACATGGGGTGTAAATAGTTAATGTGCCAAACAAACAAGTAATTAGGAAATGCTTCAACAGTAGAGTTCCCAACAATTTCTGACAATTCATCTCTGGGGAAAAGATACTGTGACATTTTTACCCTCTGATTAAAATTAAACCAGCAGCTAATGGGAAGAGAACACATTATAGCAAGAATCTACCATTTGGTCAAGATGCAACAGTGTATCTCAACTAAAGTCACTTTTAATATTAAAATCTGACTTAAGTATATCGTGTACAACAATGACCTAGCGTTTACTAGTAGCTGATGTATTCACTTCTAAGTGCCACACTCAAAATCACAAATTTGGCGCTACCACATTCCGATAGTTATCTCTTTTTGCTAATACCAGTCAGAACAAAAGCAAGGCACATCTATTCTTGTGGTGCAACATTCACCACTCAAACACTTCATATGCCAGATATCACTAATTAATTATAGTAGTGTTTCCCATATGGTATAGATGCAGTGTCAGAATTCTTTAACACAGTGTTCCTGGATGCCACTAGTAAACAAGTAAGTAGGCATGCAACATAAAATTTATCTGCCATTTTTGTGCTATGATATAAATAGAACACAGTAAAGGCACAAAGGGCAAAATACAATTACCTGATTCTTATTGTGATGATAATATTCTAAGATTAAGAGTATAACAGCTGCCATGTGAAATAATTTAAAAACCTTTTTCCAATAAAACTTTGTTATAAAAAAGATTTTAAGAAAACTCACCTTGTTGACTAAGTGACTGCTCAAAAACTGACTTATAAAGGCTCCGAAATGAGGCACTAAGATCTTCAAAATTATATTCTGAGAAAAGTAGTTGCTTGTCTCTTTCTGGAAGGTTGTACTGTGGTTGCTGCTGAGGAGTTAATGATTGAGAGACTGATTCTGGATGGCTTGTCACCTAACATTAAAAGAAAACACAACTAATTCAGCCTCTCTACTAATTACAATTGGCTTGTTATATAAAATATATAACTGAAAACAGTGTCAACATTGGAATTCAAAGAAAATAACTCTTCTGTCTTAGGCTTTCCCATCCTCTGTTAAAGCATAATGGACAGAAAGCAAAACAGCTAAACTGAATCTTGAAGAACTGTAGAAGTCTAACCCAACCTCCATACTTCACAGAAGGAAAGAATTCAAAGAAGTTAGATAACTTGCCTCAGATCATACAAATAAGTGATGAGTTAGGCCTAGAATCCTTCTAGCCTTTCTGTAGAATCTTCAATCTTGATTTCTACATAAGGTATTTTATCTCAAACTCCACTAAGCCATAAAACTACTAACATTTCTTTCATTTATTCAATTAACTTTTTAGTATACAAACCCAAATACTGTGATTACTATGAGTCAGATGTATGGCTCTGCCCAAAGCAACAAGGAGCTTAAATATGCCTAACTCTTCATTTCCAGGGAAAACTTATCTTTAAAAGCAGGAAAACTAGAAATAAAATCAATAAAAGATAATCATCTGTATTTCTTAAAGACTACGTACTACATGAAAGGGTGGTAAACTACCATTTGTTTAGTGTTTTGAAAAATTAAGGTATGAACATTGACTAGAAACTTACGCAGCCATTAAAAATAATGCTCATAAGGAGTCTGCAATAACGTGGAAAAATATGAATTTTTACATAGGAAAATGGCTCCGCCACTGGCACCCTAGTGTCCTTACACATCTCCACACAAACCATATAGGCAAGGCTCCATGGCAGGATGACCTAAACCTTGGTGGAACACCCTGTGATTATCCTGGAACAAGTGGTTTTGAGGCGAAAATTCTCATCTGCCCTTATGTCTTGTAGGAGATGGCCATGGGGCAGTTACTCATCTACCTTTCTATTTTGCCAGAGGTTGCCAAGAAACAGTTTCTCATCTACCTCCCTGGCTGAGTGAGGCATGGGACTTTCTGCCTTACTCCCTTAGGGTACAGCTGCAGGTTATAAAACTGCTTAGTTGCACTATGGAATTTGTTCCTCTATTACAGAGTGAGCTACTACTCGAGTAGTCTGTCATTTGGTCCTCTGTTTTGGTACTGTCACGTGGGATGTAGGGAGCTGACACCATGCTAACCTGGTTTATACTGTCTGTATAAGTAATAAAATTATCTCAATCCATGTGGGCTCATTGTGGCCTTACAGGATCAAACTATATAGATGTGATAAACCCAACCAGCAGCTGCCATTGCACTGTTGCTTAGGGACCGCTCGACCATTTGACACCTTGTTGTTGAAAGAAAGTAGCAGGGCCGGGTGCAGTGGCTCAACGCCTATAATCCCAGCACTTTAAGAGGCCGAGGCGGGCGGATCACCTGAAGTCAGAAGTTCGAGACCAGCCTGGCCAACATGGTGAAACCCTGCCTCAATTAAAAATACAAAAATTAGCTATGTGTGGTGGCTCACGCCTGCAATCCCAGCAACTTGAGAGGCTGAGGCAAGAGAATCGCTTGAATCTGGGAGGCAGAGGTTGCCATAAGCTGAGAACACACCATTGCACTTCAGTCTGGGCGACAGAGAGAGACTCCATCTCAAAAACAACAAAAAAAGCAGTCTACAAAGTCTAGCTTTAAACACGGCAGTTTAACCCTCTTACATTTATTGGCACAACGAACATGTTAGCTGTGTCTGTCATCTAGTTCTATACATGCTTCTTTAATTTGTCCTTTTATAATGTTTTGTGATACTGGACTGTGTGCTTTGCTTTCTTTTGGTCAAGATTTTTTACACTTAAATTACTTCAAAAAGCAACTTAAAATCATTATATCTTTGCTTAGTTTGCTTCAATGTTCCAACTGGTTGTTTTATAACTCCACTTTGTCATTATTATTTAATTTAATTAATCTTGATCACGGGTAAGTAATTTTTTTCAGGAAAGACACATGAAAACAAGGGCAGGATACTTTCTAATCTCTGCATATCAAGGAACGTCTTTCTCTTGCCTTCACATATGAATTAAAATTTGGGCATAATATTTGTTATTCCAAACCCATTCCCTCAAAACTCTGCATACAATGCTCCATTATCTTCTGGCATTTAGTAGCATCAAAGAGAAGCCTGAGGCCAGGCATGGTGGCTCATGCCTGTAATCCTAGCACTTTGGGAAGTCAACAGGGCAGGAGAATTGCTTAAGCCAGGAGTTCGAGACCAGTTTGGCCCACTTAGCAAGATCTTGTGTCTAAAAAAAGAGAGAAAAAAAGGGGGGGAGGTCTGATTTGTGTTTCTTTATATATAATTTACTCATTCTGTTAGAGTATTTTTATGGGTAACTACTTATGAAATTTTAAAATTTGCCATAATGTATCTAGATACAGCAGTCCTTTGGTATCCACGAGGGACTGGTTACAGGAACCCCAACCCACTAGGACACCAAAATCTGCACATGCTCAAGTCCCTTATACAAAATGCTGTAATATTTGCATATAACCTATCCTCCCATACACTTTAAATCACCTCTAGATGATTAATACCTAATACAATGTAAACAGTTGTTAAACTATATTTTTTTCTTTAAAAAAAAAAAAGAAAGAAAGAAAGAAATAACAGTCTCGCTCTATCGCCCAGGCTGGAGTGGAGTGACGTGATTACTCCTGGGTTCAAGTGATCCTCCCTTCTCAGCCTCCTAAGGTGCATGCCACAATGCCTGGCTGTTTCATTTTTTTAAGACAGGGTCTCACTATGTTGGCCAGGCTGATATCAAACTCCTGGCCTCAAGCAATCCTCTTGCCTCAGCCTCCCAAAGTACTGGGATTACAGGTATGAGCCACCTCATTCCAGCATGTATTTTTTATTGCTGTACCTTTTTTTTTTAATTGTTTTTTGTTGTTCAAATATTTTCAATCCAATGTTTGGTTAAGTCTGTGGATGTGGAACCTACAGATACGGAGGGCTGACTGCATAGATTTTTTCCCCATTAATTTCTTCTAGAACTCAGTAACCCTTTAAATCTCTATTTCTTCTGAAAACTGCTTCTATAACAACTTTTTCTTCTGCAGGGACAACTATAATTCTCAGTTCTCCACATTTATTGTCTTCTTTTACATAATTTTTATTCCATTTTCTTTCTTCTCCATTGTGGGATAATACTTTATTTTTTTTTACAGAGCAATAATAATTTTGCAGAGGCAACTTTTTCCCTACATTCAATGTGAATTTTAATTCTGCTACGTTTTTCTTTCCCGTGTGTTATTTTCTTTCGGGTCCCTCCCTTTATATCTTTGTCCCGTGTAAGTTTTTTCCTATTTACTCATCCTGGAACAACAGGGAGTGACCTGGTAAGATCAAATTTACACTGACAAACAATGTGGTGTGTAGCTCTTGGGCTCTATTATCTGCTCACTGAGGAAGACCAGTTGCCAGGTAGTTTGAAAAGAAATAACAGATAACCTAAGACTCATGTTCTTGTAATAGGTAACAAATTAGCATAGGAGCAAGAATACATACACACAGGTCCCTTTATAGCATGGCTTTTCCCCCCGTGGATCCAAACTGAAAATACATGAGTAGTTAACAATTGAGTGTACCAGGCCACCCTAACCTCTGGGGTTTACAGAATTCCCTTCTCAGATCTACAGCTGGAAACCATGTTGACACACACATCTTCTAAGCTCTAAGAAGTACAGAATATCACCAACTATTGCTCTACTAAACTAAAGTGCAATTTTTTTCCTGTTCCAATTGCTTTTCTCTTGGACACAGGACAGAATAAAGTAGACCAAAATCTGTTAACACTGCACAACCATTTTTTAAAAATCTAATATGGTACCAAATTAAAACACTAACAAGCTACAATCTCCTCTAATTTTGATCTACTTACTAAGTTAATAAATTTATTAGTGAGAAAAACATACCTTCATTTTTAAATTTGCATTTCAATTATGTTTGGTTTAGTTTTAAGTACTAAATGAATAACTATTAACATGTTAACTTCATCAAGACTTACCGGTGTATAACTATGCACACTTCCAACACTGTTCAAATTAACAGATGCCAAACTCTGGTCTGAGAGACTGTTGTTAAGGCTACTGCGTGGGCTATCACTACCATCCTGATCAGTGTTATACAATGTTACCTAAAATGAAAAAAGAAAAATGACAATTGAATATAAGGGTACTTCTTAAGCAACTCTGCAAAAATACAATTGAGCAGGCATATGGCAAGAAGAAAAAAATCTCAGTGGCCTTTCCCTAGGTGCTCACCCCAATTCCATGCCCCATATGGCTAAGTTCGTGTTCATCATAAAATAATTTTCTCAATACTCAAACTAAAGGACATGTCTTTCAGAGGTATAGAAATTTAATTTATAGCATAATTTACCAGGTATAATTAGCCCATAAACATTTAACAAGAGAGGAATATAACAGATTTTTACTTTATTAAATATTTCTATAATGCATAAATTTTTGCTCAGGCTTTAAGCAAAATTACTGTCTATCAGAATTTTAGAAATCAAAACGAAGCACATAAAAAAAAAAAGATTTTTTTTTTAAAATCACAGGCATCACAGTATTTTTAATACTGAAGATTGGAAACAACTGTTCAACACATTTATAAAATCATAATTATATGATCTAACTTTTAAAAAATAATATGCTAATATATGCATTAGATGTGAAAAACTGTCAAACTGTTGTTAATGGTTATCTAGAAGGGGCTGAGGATTCCTGAAGACTTTTACATTTGTGTATATTTTTACAGTGCTTGAGTTTGTCTATAAGTATTATAATTTTTAATTAGAAGCAAACAAACAAAAAAAGGTATTTTTGGAATAGAAAACTAGCCTATTTGCAGTGAGCCAAGATCACGCCACTGCACTCCAGCCTGGTGACAGAGCGAGACTCTGTCTCAAAAAAAAAAAAAAAAAAAAAAAGGCAAATATAAAGGAAGAAAAAAATAATACATATTATCACGAATAGGAGTTTTGACCTCATGGACTCTCTACAAAGGTCTCAGTTACCCAGGCATCCAGAAACCACACTTTGAGAACCACTGATACACTGTATGACCAGCACTCTAGAAGCTCATGTACTCTCCCATTCATCATGCACGTAAGTCATTATCCATCCATATCTCCTGTCCCAGGTAACCACTTCTATCACTACTGATTGGTTTTCCTATTTTTGAACTAAGTATAAATGGAATCACATAGTGTATATCCTTGTTACAAGGCCTTGTTTTCTATTGCATTAATATCTACTCTTTATATTTCCTTCTTTCCTTTTTAAAATTCATTTTTTTGTGCAACAGAGCTTTATTGTTTTATCATTTATGTATTTGGAAGTATAAATCCTCCATGTTTTATCCTTTTCTTCAATATTTTCTCTTTTTTTCTCTTTTTGAGACGGAGTCTCGCTTTGTCGCCTAGGCTGGAGTGCAATGGTGCGATCTCGGCTCACTGCAACCTCTGTCTCCTGGGTTCAAGCGATTCTCCTGCCTCAGCCTCCAAAGTAGTTGGGATTACAGATGCGCGCCACCATACCTGGCTAATTGTTGTTATTTTTAGTAGAGACGGGGTTTCACTATGTTGGTCATGCTGGTCTCGAACTCCTGACCTCGTGATCCACCCCACCTCAGCCTCCCAAAGGAGGCTTTGGGATTACAGGCATGAACCACCGCACCTGGCCTTCAATATTTCCTTTAGCTACCGTTGGTCATTTAGATTCTCATTTTTGTTTTACTATCAGCTTATTTTCTACCCACCTCCTCTCTCCCACAAAGAACATCTGGACTGGAATCACATTAAATTTGTATATCAACTTTGGAAAAACTGTCTTCTTTACAGTAGTCTTCTGCATGAACATTATATAATCTATGTCATTTTCTTTCAGTAATTTTTATAGTGTTCTGTGTAGAGTTCATCTTTCATTTAAGCCAAGGTATTTGATGTTTCTGAATGCTAACATAAGTGTTATCTTTTAAATTTTATTTTCAAGGCAGAAATAAAATTGATTTCTGAAGAGAATTCACTAAATTCACTTATTAATTCTAAGGCTTTATCCGTAGATTCTTTTCAATTTTCTGTGATCATCTGTGGCAACTTTATTTCTGTCCTTCCAAACTTTATGCTTTTTATTTCTTGTTTGTAACTTCTAACTGGCAAGGACCTCCAACACGATGTCAAATAAAAGTGCTGATGGCAAACATCTTTCTCTTCTTCCATACCTCAAAGAGAAAGTTTTCAGTATTTCACCATTTAATATAGCATTTGCTATATGCTTCTTTGTAGATATTCTTTACCACACTGAAAAAATTTCCACCTATTTACAGCTAAGAGTTTTATTAAGTCATGACCTCTGAGTATGCCTTTGTAATATTCCGTATAAAATGTGGAGTATACATGTAGCACTTCCAACTATGAACAGAAGAACAACAGCAGATTTCCTAGTGCTAGACCTAGCTTGCGTTTCTAGAATACAACTGTGTTTGTGATGTTATCTTTTTTATGTATTGCTGGGTTAAATTAGACAACATTTTGTTTAAGATTTTAATACCTATGCTCATGAGACTGGCTGAAAATTTCCTTTCTTGTAAAGTTTTTGTCAGGTTTTGCTACTTAGGTTATGATGGTTTCATAATATAAATTGGGACATGTTACCTCTTTTTTAAAATTCTCCTGAAGTGTTTATATACAATCAATATTATTTTTTCACTAAATATTTATAAGAATTCCTTGAAGCTTGCTGGGCCTGAAGTCTTCTATAAAGAAATATTTTTTAATTATGGGTTTAATATATACAAAAGTATTAACATTTTCTATTTATTCTTGCGCCAGTTTTGATAAGTCATTTTTTATGATTTTGTCTATTTCATCTAAAATTTCAACTTTATTTACATAAGATGTTCATATCTATCCTTCATCTTTTTAATTCTGTAGAATCCATATAGCTCCTTTTTTCATTCCAGATATCAGCAAATTGTATTTCTCTTTCATTAACTTTAATAGCACCTTTCTGTTTTTTCATTTTTGAAAGCTTTTTATTGCTGTATTTCCAAATTTACTAATCTTTCCTTCTGTTTAGTCTGTTATTAATCCCATCTAGTGTACTTTTCAATTCAGACACTGCAGTTTTTATCTCTAGGAGTTTGCTTTGGGTTTATATTCCATGTGTCTACACAGATTGTTTAATGTGTCTTTTAGCTTCTCCATAAAATATAGATAAAACTGCTTTAATGTCCTTTTCTAAGCTAATTCTATCATTTCTATCATTTCTGGGTCAGTTGTGACTTTTTCCTCACTATGGGTTGTTTACTGTAAAAAAAAAAAGTAAAGAACATTAGTGAGCTTTGGGGACAGTTTCAAGCAAACTAATAAACGTATAAGTTGCTGGTGGCAATCCGGATCTATGCAAAGGAATAAAGAATAGCAGAAATGGTTAACTATGTGGGTAAATGTAAAGCCATTTTTTTTCTGATTTAAATCTCTTGAAATGATAATTGATTGTTTAAAGCAAAAATAACAAATACGTATTGTAGGTTTCTATCACAAGGAGAAAAAAATGGGAGTGTACAGTAATAAAGTTCTTATACATGATATAGTACAGTATCTTCATATTTTTAGTATGAGATGGGTTTTTGCCATGTTGGCCAGGCTGGTCTTGAATACCTGGCCTCAAGTGATCCACCCACCTCAGCCTCCCAAAGTGCTGGTATTAAAGGGGTGAGCCACCACACCCAGTCCAAATATTGTATTTCTTTAAATGAGGTTGTTTGTTGTTTTGATTTGGTCTGCATATTCTATGAGTTACAGAAAGGCATGCTTAAATCTATTACCACGATCTTCTTTATTCCTTTTTCCTCTCCTCCTGCACACTAAAAACAACCTTGTGTGACCTTTTCCCCATGTCCCATTTACCTCTTAAGTTTTTCTGAATTTTCCACCCTTTTTTCTTTCTGTGCTTCCATCTGCACGTTTTCTACAGACCTATCTTCCAGTTCATTAAATTTCTCTGCTGATGTGTCTGATCTGCTATTAAATCCATCTACTGGGTTTATTCAAGTTTCCTCTTGATTCTTCCATATAAATTCCAATTCTCTGGTAAATTTTCTATAACTCATCTATTTTCTTGACCATATCAGTTATAGTTATTTTGCAATCAATATTCAATCACTTGTTTACATTGTCTTCCCCCAACTGCATGTTTAGTTATTCGAACTCTCTCTCCTAGCATGCCTGGAAATTTTGACTGAATGCTGCACCCTATACTTATGGAAAATTACAGAAGCTCTGGATGATGTTATCTTCCTCCAAAGAGAATTCCATTTTCTTTCGGCAGATAGAATATTAGCATACCACTCTAGTAACTGTTGAGGCTGATCTATTTTGGTTTGCTCTTACTCTCAGAACAAAATTTTTCTCAGATATCAAGTTGAAAGCCTAGGGTGTATTACCATGGCTCTCTCCTCCTTTGAAGACCATAAACTACAATATTTGTCCCTCCTATTCTGTGAGAGTGTTGAATTTTGGCTAGTGAAAAACTTTGTGTCTGAGCCCTAGCACACACAATTAGGAGTTAGCAAATGCCTTAAGTGGATACTACTTACAAAAAGTTGAACTCAGCCAGGTGTGGTGGCTCACACCTGTAATCCCAGCACTTTGGGAGGCCAAGGCGGACAGATCACCTGAGGTCAGGAGTTTGAGACCAGCCTGGCCAACATGGTGGAACCCCATCTCTACTAAAAACACAAAAATTAGCCAGGCGCAGTGGTGGGCACCTGTAATCCCAGCTACTTGGGAGGCTGAGGCAGGAGAATTGCTTGAACCCAGGAGGTGGAGGTTGCAGTGAGCTAAGATCACCGCACTGCACTCCAGTCTGGGCGACACAGTGAGATCCTGTCTCAAAAAAAAAAAAAAAAAGTTGGATTCACCCCTGATATTCCTCAGGATCTCGGCTCTGCAACCCCTGGCTCTTTGGTAACCCCAAACTCCAATTTTGTCTCCCTGGTTGAATGACTGCTCTAGGCTACTGCTCTCTGTGTAGCCCCTATGCCATGCACTGAGAATCGGGAAATGCACCAAAGGAAAATATACAAAGCTTATCTCAATGTGTTTAACTATTCTCTGGGCTCCTGACCCCTGAAGCCCTGGTTGTCTTAGTTTCCAATACCTCCCTCTTCTTTTTTTTCAATCAAGGAGGTGGGTGGGGAGGGGTGTGTGGCTATGTATGTCTGGTATTTTACACAGATAGGCAGAAAGGTTAATCTAATACCAGTATTCTGTCATATCTGGATGCAGAAAACCAAAATCTTCAGCTCCTTTGACATCCACATTATTTGGTCATAAAGTCCCATCATTACTACTTCCTAATTGTTTCCTAGTAACCACACTATCATCTATGTTTAGGTCTTCATCACCACTTAGACTACAGCACAGAGCAGTATTAGGTATTTCTGATTCTAACCCAACCACTTCACCAGAAATTCTCACCTAGCTGGTCACCATTAGAGATCATTTTTTAAAGGACGTATTTCTGGGCCCTATTCATGACACAGTAACTGATTTGGCAGAATTGCAATGGAATCCTGGGATTACCACCACTACCACCACCCCCCACCCCCCAACTGCCCCATAAACCCTCTCTCTAAGTGACTGTGATGTAATTATTCCAGAGACTGCCATGTGGGAAGAATCATTCCTCTATGCCTAGGCTACCAGTTTCCTTTCTGAACTAGAAATCTGAATATGTCACTCTGATTATAATCTGTCATCTGTTTAATCATTATCTTTCTACAAGTAAAAGGATCCTAGGAGTACCATATTAGTGCAATGATGTATGTGTATGTGTTCATATTTATGTGTGTGCATGAAGTGGAAGAATGAAAATGAGAGAGAGGGAGAGAAAAAAAGAGGGTGAAAGCTAGAGGGAGAAAATGAAAACAAGACTGAAAGAGAATCTAAGCATAAGTGTGAGAGATATATGGCTCTGGAGTACTCATGGTCTAGTAGGGAAGAAAACAGATGAACAAAACTGGATTCATGAACCTCCCAGAGTCTTTTTAGGGTTTTGAGATGTAAGATTAAGAAACTGTCTTATAAAGAAGAGACAGATATATACCTGTATCCCACTAGGTATATAATGACCCATCACAAAGTTGTGACTCAACCATCAAAATGTAGCAAACAACCATGTACTATTTCTGGCTATATTCCTAGACTTGAATATCATGAAAATAGGTAGACCACCATCCCAGTGAACTCTATGAGGCTGTCCAATTATTTATTTTACTAGATTCTGTTAACTCCCCAGAATTTGACAATCTTTTTTTCAACCACATATCTGGAGAGGTAATTAACAATTCTGAAACAAATTGACTCAATAAAATGCTGGCTCACAAATTCTATCAATGGGAACTGTGAGAGCCAAGAATTTTTAAACAAGTATAGAACTTCTCGGTAAGGACCTTCCAATCTCTCCTGAGAGATATTTTGTTCTAATTTGTGCATACCTCAAAACATTCTGAATTTAGCCTTCAAGCTACCATGCATAGGGTAGACAAATTTATATAATCTTTAAACTGAACCATATAGGATTCTATCATTATTACAAAGGCAAATTAAATGTACTACTCAATGACATTTCAATAATGTTTAAAAAAATGAAATTACTTTGTTAGTCACAGTGTTGATTGCCAGAGTTGGAGAGGCACTTCCCGAAATAATACACTCCATTCCCAAAGAATCTGAATCTATGCTATATGGAGTTGAGGCCTAAAATACAAGAACAAAATAAATAATTATTAGCTCATATATCCAGCAACTTTAACACAGTTTGAAGGGATCTCATCAAATTCTTGAACATCCAGTTTTGTGCTTTGTTTCTGAAAATGAATTTAAATCACTAGTGAAATCTCTTCTACTAAATTTTAGTATGCTACTGACTTGATATTACAAAGTCCTTTGGTATGGCTACTCTCTAACAACTCTTAATTTACTGCAGGATAGGCTGACAAAAATTACAAATAAACTTCTGTAGTGAAAATTGCTAATGATCCCCTAATATCCATTCTCCCCTCATCCCTTTCAGTAATAGATATTTACAGTATCTACTCATGTCTGCCCAGCCACAGACTACCTTTCTAGATTCCTGAGAAGCTGCCTGTGGCCATGTGACTACGGTGTGACCAACAGGATGTGAGCAGGAGTGATGTGTGCCACTTCTGGGTCATGTCTTTGAAAGAAACCTGCTTGCCCACCATTCATTCTTTCTCTCTTATTGCAGATTTAAGACAGATATGGTGGTGGTGATCTTGCTTAACCATAAATAGCTGAGGGTAATACCCTGGGAAAATACCGGAAAAACAGGATTAGAAGGAACCTCGACATCTGAATGACCCTGTGAAACAGAGCTGTTTATATCTCTGACCCACCCATGAGTTTGGGCTTCTACCTGACAGAGAAATAAATCTCTCTGGTTTAAGCCAGTTATAGATTTTTAAAACTTTTGCTATTTATTTTTATTGATACATATTAGATGTACATATTTTGAGTATACATGTGATAATTTAATACATTCATATAATCAAATGAAAAATGAGATATCCTCAAATTTTATCTTTTGTTTATACTAGGAATATTCAAATTATTCTCTTCTAAGCTATTTCAAAATATACAATCAATTAATGTTAACTACAGCCACCCTACTGATTTATCAGACATCAGGTCTTATTTCTTCTTCTTCTTCTTCTTGTTTTTTGGGATGGAGTCTCGCTCTGTTGCCCAGGCTGTAGTGCAGTGGTGCAATCTCGGCTCACTGCAACCTTCACCTCCCATGCTCAAGCGATTCTCTTGCCTCAGCCTCCCAAGTAGCTGGGATTACAGGTGTGTGTCACCACACCTGGCTAATTTTTGTACTTTTAGTAGAGACAGGGTTCACCATGTTGGCCAGGCTGGTCTTGAACTCCTGACCTAAAGTGACCCACCTGCCTCAGCCTCCAAAAGTGCTACTACAGGTGTTGAGTCATCATGCCCAGCCAGTTCTTATTTCTTCTAAGTGTATATTTACATCCATTAATCAACCTGTCTTCATATCCCTTCCCCCTACCCTTCCTGGCCTCTGATAATCACCAATCTACTTTCTATCTTCATGTAATCCACTTTTTTAGCTACCACATATGAGTGAGAATACGCAATATTTGTCTTTCTGTGAGTGTACATCAGTTATAGTTTTATTTTTCTTCCTTTGCTAGAGCAACTGAACGATCCCCTAAATATACCTCATATGTACTGTTTAGAGTTAACATGGGTGTTAAAAACAATACAGAAAGTTTTCTGCTATTAGAATTCTGAATATATACATTGTGATAACTCCTCTCTCTAAGAAACGGTTTTTATTGCTTTATTGAGCCTTCAAAAGTTCAACTTCAATGGTAAATGTTAAAGAGGGGCAAACAGAAGTAATTTATGATTATGATGCTAGCTACATATATATTCCCTCTCTGGCAAAAACTATTTGTCCCACACATGATCCTAATTGTACATGCATTTCTAAAAGATCATACCAGATGAGCGAGAGAGCAATTTCACCAAGACACATTTTTGAAATTAATCTATCCTTTAATCCCTCAGCATTTTTCTCATTCCAGATAATCTAATCAACCTTCGGGCAGAGAATAGGGATCTTGATTGAAAAAGACCAGAGCTACCCCTACAAGCTAGAATCCAGCACTTAGGTCCCAGGTACACATTGAGAGCAAGGTGAAATAGAAGAGCTATAAAAATAACTCTTATTTATGCCTCAGTTTTGGTGCCAGCCAACCAAGCTATAATTAAGTTAACACAGAAGATTACTTTAGAAAGGTACAAATCTCATATTCCCTTAATTCAACTCAGTCATCTCAGTCTGAACTATTGGTTCACTAATTCTCATTCTTCCCTTCTGGTAGGAAAAGGGAAACTTTTGTTATCTGATTTCATGTAAATTACTCGAACTTTATGCTTGTTTTCTCATCTATAAAAAGATGATTATGCTACTTCCTTTAGAGATCTGTTAAGAACATCAACACAGTATTTCATGTAAAGCGCTTAGCATGGTAACTGAAACACACAGTAAGTGCTGGCCACTATGATGACCACTAGAATATATCTGCTACTGATGTCAAGGATCTGCTGATACAAAGAAATACTCATCCCTCAACAAAATACTAGCAAATCATATTCAACAGTTCAGTAAAAGGATCATTCACCATGATCAAGTGGGATTTATCCCTGGGATGTAAGGCTGATTCAATATACATGCATTAATAAATGTGATTCACCATATTAAGAGAATCAAAGACTAAAAGAATGAAGGATCATCCCAAAGATACTTTAAAAAGCATTTGACAAAATTCAATATCCTTTCATGACAAAAACGCTCAACAAAAAAGGTATAGAAGGAACATTCCTCAACACAATAAAGGTCACATATAATAAGTCCATAGCTAACACCATACTCAATGGTGAAAAGTTAAAGGCTTTTCCTCTTAAGACCAGGAACAAGACAATGATACCCACTGTCACCATTTCTATTCAACATAGTACTGGATGGCCTAGCCAAAGCAATTAGGCAAGAGAAGGAACTAGAGATGCTCTTCGACTTATGATGGGGTTACGTCCCAATAAACCCATCATAAACTGAAACTACCATAAGTCAAAAATGCACTTAATGTACTTAACCTACTGAACATAACAGCTCAGCCTAACCTACCTTAAACACGTTCAGAACACTTACACATTAAGCCACACATGAGCAAAAGCATCTATTTTATAATAAAGTGTTAAATATCTCATGTAATTTATTGAATACTATATTGAAGGTGAAAAACAGAATGGTTGTATAGGTACTTGAAGTACTGTTGCTACTGAATATGTGTTGCTTTTGTACCATCAGAAAGCCAAAAAATTGTAAGCCAAAACATTCTCTAAGTCAGGTACTATCTACAAAAGGCGTCCAAATAGGAAGCAATGAAGTGAAATTGTCTCTGCTGACATGCTCTTATATAGACCAAATCCTAAAGACTTCAACAAAAACAGAACAGTATTCAGTAAAGTTGTAAACAAATTCAGTAACGTTGCGGGATACAAGATTAACCTATAAAAATCAGTAGCATTTCTATACACTAACAACAAACTATCTAAAAAAGCTATTAAGAAAACAATTCGTTTTTTCTTTCTCCAAGATGGTAGATTAAAGGGATTAACATGCCCCTCCCACTTGGAAAAATAAAATCATGTGTAGAGATTCATGCTGTGAACTTTTTTTCCTAGAAGCAACACAGGAACTTAACAGAAAAACTGAAAGAAAATGCAGACCTTTTGAAATAAGTGGCGGGCAGCAGCCTACACCATGAAACAGGTAGAAAACTGTGTCTCTAGAGCTTGAGTGGGAGAGAGACTTCCTCCATGACACATACTCCCACTAGGGAGTCAGGCCAGTGGGAAATGCCTTAACCCTACCCAGGTATAAAATTCCTTAACCCAATCCAGGCCACGGGGGAATGCCTTAATGCTACCCAGTGCTGGAGCTGACTTAATGAGCAGTGGGGAGAATATGAGGAGAAGCAGCATCACGACATGCTTTACATCCATTCCCAGACTCCAGCAGGCCCGGAGGGAAGCCATTCCTAATCCTATCTCAGGGAAGACTGCCAGCTAATTCAGGCAGAGGTCACAGGTTGAGAGACACTCCCAAATGAGACTTGTGATATAATCTTGAGTGCAGATGGAACCCCTTGGCCAGAACCAAGGGGCAAGTGAGAAGTGTGCTACAGCCACAGGTGCAGGAGCTGGGTGTCCCTGCTTTGCAGGCAGACCTGGAGGGATATGGCCTGAAAACTGTGGTTTCTGTCTTGGCTGGGAAGGCTTATAGCCTGGGGCAGTTTTGAGTTCTAAGTGCAGGCTGCCTACAACCCAACTAGCTGCTGCTAGCAAAACACTGGGTGTGAGACCTGTGTTGCCAAGTCCGTGGGAGCTGAGTGGGGCTTAATGCCATTTGCTACACCCGATGCCCCATGCAGATTATTTTATGCATCAGAGGCAGCTGTGCTCCACCCTGTAACACTATCCCAACAGCCACGGAACTGCCCTCTGACCCCCACTGGGGCCACTGCTTGCACCCACATGTGAAAAGCCAGAGTGCAGACTTGCTTGACCCGGCCCCCATCTGGCTTTGTCCCTTCACTCGCCCTGGTAGCATAACACAACAGACTGGGACTTTGGAAAGCTCCATGGCCCTGCCTATGGCCTGAGACACCAGAGTACCTTGGGTAACATAAGGCAAGCACAAATCCCACCACTACCACCATAGTTGGTGTTCTTTTGCAAGCATCACCTCTTGAAGCCAACCAGCACAGCCCATTACAACATCTGCAGGGACAATAACACCACTCTGAGGAAGGAGAAATTTTCTGCATGACCTCAGCTATCGTCATTGCCTGTATCACCCTGGCTAACCAGAAGGTCTTGAGTCTGTCCACGTGCCCAGTACATTACTACTACAGTTGGCATTTGAGAAAGCCAACACAAGCTGGCATTTGAGAAAGCCAACACAAATCTCAAGGAGATTTCCTTGAGATAACCAAGGAAATCTCATAGTCTACATAACTCCCTTCCCACCCCCATCAGAGCTGGTGCTGGTACCCGCTGCTGGGAGACTAGAGGACAGGTCACATCACTGAATCCCTTGCATACATTCCCCAGCACCAGCCTGGAGTGTGGCAACCCCACTGAGCAGCTACACCCAGAAGAGCAGCAAGCTCCACAATAGTCTGGCCCTCAGGGACTGCTACTCCCAAGGGAGGGGGTGGGGCGGGGAGTGTACATCATTAAGGGAGCACCTCATGAGACAAAAGAAGCCAGACTGCAGGCCTCAAGTCCTTTAACTTTCCACTTGTGGGGGAGTTTCTTTTATCAGAGAAACATGTGCAGTGCTAGGCTCAGTGGGGAAAGTTTGTTTGGCTCTACCCCAAAGTCAGGCGGCCCTGGTGCTCGTGAAGGGTCTTGAAGAAGATTGGGATTTCTTCTCCTCTTGCCCATCATTGTAGACACAGCTGGGGCCTCTCCCATGGAGCTTGGCATGGGTGCATCTGTAGATACTCTTCGTGGAACACTTTGGGGTAACTGCATCCTTAAAGGAGGTGTGCCCTCCAGATTCAGGCTTCCATGAGAGGTAGAGTCATAATCCCTCTTTACATGGAACATCACATTCCTGCAGATGAAATGAGATGCCTGTCTCATCTGAATAGCTGGAACATCTGGTCAGGAGTGTGACTGGGAGGTGACTGTTTTCCTGCTGGCCTGAAAGACAGCTTTGGTGGTTTCCTTCCTTCCCCTTGAGAAGACCTCAGTGCATTTCACCGAGAGCTTCCCTAGCAACCTCTGCCAAGGCTGGGAACTTTGCCCACCACTGGGGTATTGCCTTTACCACCTCCTTTGGCCATACCTGTGGATACCTCCTATCAGCCTGAAGCCTAAACTATTCAACTCAGTGAATAAAGTACTGGAGGAGAAAATTTTTAAATGCACGCCACTGGGGAACAAGATAAGCTTCAAGAGACCTCTGCCATTCCAGCTCCACTGGAGATAGTGAGCCTGCTCACACATCCAGCACAATGCTACTACAACCAGCATCTGAGAAAGCCACTACACAAAGATTCTCTGTAACCAAGAAACTCATATAGAGTTTTCACCAGGGAAAGCACCCAGAACCAAAGCTGGGTGACAATAAATTATAAACATTAAAGTTACATCCTGGAGTACTGGGGGTGAGGAGGGCCAGGGGAAGCTAAGAAATGAAAAGACACAGTTGAATCAAAAATAAATTAAAAAACAATTAGAAGTGTCTGGGCACAGTGGCTCACGCCTGTAATCCCAGCACTTTGGGAGGCAAAGGTGGGTGGATCATTTGAGGTCAGGAGTTCGAGACCAGCCTGGCCAACATGGTGAAACCCCATCTCTACTAAAAATACAAAATTTGGCTGGGCATGGTGGCACGTGCCTGCAGTCCCAGCTACTCAGGAGGCTGAGCCAGGAGAATGGCTTGAACCCAACAGGTGGAGGTTGAGCCAAGATGGTGCCACTGCACTCCAGCCTGGGTGACATAGCAAGACTCCATTTCAATAATAACATAATTCAAAAAGTTAATTGTGAGTTTACTCAAAGAAATACAAGGTGAAAATGCAACAGAAAAAATTTAAAAAAACAATTCAGGATATGAAGGAAAAATTTTCTAAAGAGACAAGTATTTTAAAGCAAAGCCAATCAGAACTTTGGAAATAAAAGACCTATTTAGAGAACTACAAAATGTGGTAGAAAGTTTTAACAACAGACTAGACCAGGTAGAAAAAAATAATTTCAGAGGTCGAAGACAAGGCTTTCAGGTTAACCTCATCAGATAAAAATAAAGAAAAAAAATGAAAAGAAATGAACAGTCTCCAAAATATATGGGATTATGTAAAAGAGCCAAACCTAAGAATCATAGGTGTTCCTAAGGGAGAAGAAAAAGTTAAAATTTGGAAAACCTATTTGAGGAAATAATTAAGGAAAATTTCCCTGGTCTTGCTAGAAATACAAGAAGCTCAAAGAACTTCTGGGAGATTCACTGCAAAAAGGACATCACCAAAGGCATGGAGTCATCAGATTATCTAAAGTCAAAGTGAAAGAAAGAAGTCTAAGAGCAGTTAGACAAAAGCATCAGGTAACCTATATAAGAAAACCTATCAGACTGACAGCAGACTTCTCAGCAGAAACCTTACAAGCCAGAGGGCTTGCGGTCCTACCTTTACTCCTTAACATAATAACTGTCAGCCAAGAATTTTGTATCTAGCAAAAAAAAAAAAAACAAAAAAAAAACTAAGTTTCATAAGTGAAGGAGAAATAAAGTCTCTCAGAAAAGGAAATGCTAAGGAAGCTTGTCAATAATAGGCCTGCCTACAAGAAATGCTAAAAGGAGTTCTTGAAACAAAAGGTTGATGCGCAAAAGAATAGAAACTCCTGAAAGTATAAATTTCACAGGGCTTGTGAAACAATAACACAAGGAAGAAAACAAAGTCACTATGTAACAATCAACAGCATGACTGGAACAGTCTCACATTTCAATATTAATGTTGAATGTACATGGTCTAAATGTTCCACTTGAAAGATATACACTGGCTGAATGGATTTAAAAAAAATCACAAACCAAGTATCTGCTGTCTTCAGAAGACATACCTAACATGTAAGGATTCTTAAAGACTCAAGATAAAGGAGTGAAAAAAGATATTTCTGGCAAATGGAAGCCAAAAGCAAGCAGGAGTAGCTATTCATATATCATATAAAAAAGACTGTAAAACAACAACAGTTAAAAAAAAAAAAAAGACACGATTATATAATGATAAAAGGACCAATTCAACAAGAAGATATAACAAACCTAAATATACATGCACCTAACTCCAATGCTCCCAGATTCATAAAATCACTAGTACTACAGCTAAGAAAAGAGACATGGTACACATACACAATGGAATATTATTCAGTCTTTAAAGAACAGGAAATTCTGTCTAGGGGGTATTATGCTAAGTGAAATAAGCCAGCCACAGATAGAAAATACTGTATAATTTCACTTACATGTGGATTCTAAAAAAAACCCCAAACTCATAAAAGCAGAGAATAGAATGGTGGTTACCAGAAGTGGGAACAGGCAAAGAGGAGACACTGGTCAATGGGTACAAAGTTCTGGTGTTCTATTGCACATCCCAATGACTACAGTTAATAATATATTGTATATTTCAAAATAGCTGAGAGGATTTTAAATGTTCTTACCACAAATGATATCTGAAGTGATAAACTAATTAGCCTAATTTGAACATTCTACAATGTATACATGTGCTGAAACATCACACTGTACCCCATAAATATATACAATTATTGTCAATTAAAAATAAAATAAAACAAAGTAAAAACAAAGGAATACTCAATGGTGACTAATAAGAAAGGTGACAGCTTTGGTATGAGGCACTGTACTCCCACATAGCTTCAACTATTACAAAACAGTAAATTAAACAAACAAAAAAAAAGCTTTTAATTATTTTTTCATGAATACTTCAGTTTCAATAGAGAGAGTAAAGGCACTCTCTTCACATACTCTGACATTCACTCAATAGCATGGTACATATTTTTATTTATAGGTGCACTGATTCTATATTCTTAATAGGCAAAAAGTAGTCTGATCGGTAAAGCCAATAGATCCAGGCATCCCAAAATGTATTTGGATAATTTATTACAGCAGCCATCAACCGAAATTCTGGACAAAGAAAGTATCGATGAATCTAATCTGGTGGCACCAGTTAGCTCAAGAAAGGTCCTTTCTGGAGTTCCCTAATCATACCCATTTGAGTTCCACTTCCTGTTTGGCAGTGTGATACCCCTATAGACCAACCTTCTGCTGATAACTATAAAGTATTATGGTGAGAAAAAAAATAGCTTTCTGAGCATTCCAAAGGGTAAATACAATAGGCAGGTTGGGAAGGTAAGTCAAAACTTGGGAAGAATGTGGGTGAATTTCCTGTTTTGCTGCAGCTTTGCCCCAAGATTAGGCAATAGATGTGGAGTGCAGACAGCTAAAGCTGTTCTTCCGTCAGGAGGAACTAGGGCAAAGACCCAAGGTAAACACAGCCAGCCACCAGAGAGAAAAGGCAATCCTGTAAGAGAGAAAGTTGAAAGACATAATACATAATCCTGTGTATAACACAGCACAAATGTGCCAGGCTGAGGCCTGAACCATGCATATACAGATCTGCATCAAAGTAGAGGCTTAAGGATCAAATTGAAATTGGAACCACTACTCACAAAAGGTGAAAGAGAAAGCTTACAGTGTAACACAGTTAAGCCAGCTAAAGTACAGATATCAATATTCTATAGATTATTATAGAACCCAGAGTCTATAAAAACATAATATTCACAATGTCTAGGACACAATCCAAAATTACCTGGCACACAAGTAACAGAAAATACAGCCCATTCTTGGCAGAAAGGGAAATCTACAGATGCCCACTCCAAAAAAGACTGAGTTGCTGGAATTATGAGACAAGGATTTTAAAACAGCTATTATAATTATTTATGCTCAATGAAATAAAGTTAAAAAAAACTTGAATGGAAATATAATAAAGGAAATCTCAAGAGAAAAATAAAAAAATCAAAATTTTAGAATGGAAAAATATCCAAAAGAAAAATATATCAATGGATGGCCTTAATATTGAAATGGAAATGAATAAGTAAAGAATCAGTAAACTTAAAGGCGGATCAGTAACCAATCTGAAGAATCAAAAGCTTATGAAAAAAAGAACAGAGCCTCAGAAAGCTGTGGGACAATCTCAAAAGGTCTAATGTATATCTGTGATTTCTGGAAGAATAAAGAGAGAAAAGGGCAGAAAAAAATAGAAGAAATAATGACTAAAATCTTTGAAAATTTAGTAAAAGACAAATTTAACAAATTCAATTAGCTCAGTAAACCCCAATAAAAATAAATGGAAGGAAAAACCACACTTAGATACATCATAATCAAATTCTTGAAAATAAAGATAGAAAAAAGCTAGAGAAAAACTACATATCACATGCAGGTAAACATCGACTAGGAAATGACTGTGGATTTCTCATCAGAAATGATGGAGGTCATAAGACAGTGAACATCTTTAAAGTGCTAAAATAAAACAGAATTATCAATCCAGACTGTATATCTAATAAAAAATACTCTTCAAAAATGAAGGCAGGCTGGGCGTGGTGGCTCACATACCTAGCACTTTGGGAGGTTGAGATGGGAGGATCACTTGAGGCCAAGAGTTTGAGACCAGCCTGGTCAACATAGTGAGACACCCATCTCTAAGGGGGAAAAAATTTATATAACATATCATATACATATATATGTGAAACAGAAAATTTTTTAAAAATGAAGGCAAAATAAATACATTTTCAGGGAAAGAAAAACTAAGTGAATTTGTTGCTAGGAGACCTGCACTATAAGAAAGTTCTTTAGGCAGGGGGAAATTATAGCAAAGAAAAAACCTGGACCTTCTGAAACAAATGAAAGCACCAGAAATGGTAGACACTGGCTAAATATAAAAGACTACTGTTGCCGGGCGCGGTGGCTCACGCCTGTAATCCCAGCACTTTGGGAGGCCGAGGCGGGCGGATCACGAGGTCAGGAGATCGAGACCATCCTGGCTAACACGGTGAAACCCCGTCTCTACTAAAAATACAAAAAATTAGCCGGGCGTGGTAGCGGGCGCCTGTAGTCCCAGCTACTCGGGAGGCTGAGGCAGGAGAATGGCGTGAACCCGGGAGGCGGAGCTTGCAGTGAGCCGAGATCGCGCCACTGCACTCCAGCCTGGGCGACAGAGCGAGACTCCGTCTCAAAAAAAAAAAAAAGACTACTGTTTTCCTCTTAAGTTTAAAAAGTCACATAAATTATTTAAGGCAAAAGTTATAACACTGTCTTATGAACATCTACAGATGTAACACATATTACAACTATGGGGTATAGCGAGGGAAAGAACAAAGAGGATCTACATGGTTGGAAGATTTTTACATTTACATGAAGTGATACACTAATAACTGAGTAGACTGCAAAAGGTTAAGGATGTACACTGAAATTCCTAGATATAAATAAATAAATAGGAATAGCTAAAAAGCCAACAGATAAATAAAAATGAGATACTAAAATATATCCAAAATAATCTAAAAGAAGGCAGGAAAAGGGAAAAGAGATGAAACTAAAAACAGAGGTCAAACAGAAAACAAAACATAAAGCCAAATCAGTCATATTAATGATTTCATTAAATGTTAAGTAAATGCTCCATGAAAAGGCAAAGACTTTCAGAGAGGCTAAAAAAGCAAGACTGATAAATGCTGTCTGCAAGAGCCACACCTTCAAATATATAGATCTGGGGTGGAGGGGAGGAGAGGAACAGGAAAACTGTCTCTATTTGCAGATGACACAATTACTTATGACAAATCGCAAGAGGCATCTTCAAATAACTATTAGAACAAGATAATAAAATACAAAGTTAATATACAAAAATTAATTATATTTTTATATACTAGCTACAAGCAATTGGAAAATGGATTTAAAAATACTCTGCAATGGGCTGGGTGCAGTGGCTCACTCCTGTAATCCCAGCACTTTGGGAGGCCGAGGGTGGCGGATCACAAGATCAAGAGATCAAGACCATCCTGGCCAACATGGCGAAACCCCATCTCTACTAAAAACACAAAACTTCGCTGGGCGTGGTGGCATGCGCCTGTAGTCCCAGCTACTCGGGAGGCTGAGGCAGAAGAATGGCTTGCACCCGGGAGGCAGAGGTTGCAGTGAGCCGAGATCGTGCCACTGCATTCCAGCCTGGCGACAGGGCAAGACTCCGCCTCAAAAAAAAAAAATCCTTACAATACCATTGAAAAACAAAATACTCCGGATTAAATCTAACTGGAAGCATCCATGTCTCTATGCTGAGAACCAAAAAACACTCCTCAGAGAAATTAAATTAGACCTAATGAATGGAGAAATACAACATTTTTATGGATTAGAATATTCAATATTGCTAGGATGTCAATTTTCTCCAGATCACTGCTTACCTGGGGACAAGAGTTGAGTGAATTTCTGGGGATGATGAAAATGTTAATGTGCCACTGTTGATAATTGCACAGTTGTATAGATCCCAAAACTCCTCAACTTATAAACTTTAAATACGCAGTTAACTGTACAACTATCCCTCAATAGTGTTGTAAAAAAACAAAAACCTACCCATTCATCACAATGATCTCTTATGAAACTTTTCATGATCTCCATCTCTAACCAGACAGGATTTCCACCATTTTTAACCCCCAGGAAATTCTACTTAGACATATATATTGGAGACAACATGCAGTGCTCCCACATAATGTACACTCAGTAGTTTTCCCAATTGAAATAAATATTTATTCAGTTCTACAGCTAAGAGTAGGCATGTAGATTGCAATTCTTCCTGTGCTCACTTACACCCTTTCCTTTAACTAAATCCTCACTCTTTCTCAGACTCCACCTCAGAGAGGGAAGGCACACAGTGAGGGAATCACTTAATCAACAAAACCACTCTGGTATTATAATTGAGAAACTGAATTACAAATAACAGCATGACAACAATTTCAGATACATGTCCAGATGGAGAGTATCCCACCTAGAAAAATGTTCTGTTTTCTATTTATCCATCTATCCTCCAGTTCTTTTACTGATTATACTTGTAATCACCTTCAGGTGATTGTAAACAACTTCAGGAAAAAGTAATGTGTATTTCTTCCATCTCTGTTCCAAAAAAAGCTGGATAATTGTAGATAATGTGTTGATTTTTCCGCAAGGGCCAATATGTTTAGGATAGTGAGTTGACAGATCTGGCCTCTTCTCCCTTATGTAACTTTTATAACAATGCATTATAAGATTTTAGGCAAAACTATCCACAGCAATTTCCTCCTAACTGATCTTTTGCCCTTGTTCCCTTACCACTTATATTCTACACAACAGCTAGAGTGACCGTGTTAAAATTTAAGTCACATCATGTCACTACTCTATTCATATCCCTCCAATGGCTTTCCACCTCCCTCAGAATAAAGATTGTCTTTAAAATGGCTTACAAAGCCCTGCACAATTTGCCTCCTGCTCCCACCCCTTACTTCTCAAATGTGAAGTCCTATCACTACTCCTCCCTCCTCAAACACTGTCCAGCCACAGTAGCCTCCTTGTTGTTTCTCACCATGCCAAATATATCTCTACCTCAGAGCCCTTGCACTTGCAGGACAGCAGATTCCCAGGCCTGTACAGCTGACAATCCACTTACATTTATATAAAGAAACTACAGCCAGAAAAATTAATACATATTCTAAGTTATAACATACAACTTTAAAACTAGGTCTCCAAACTTCCAGGTTAGTTCAGGAGTCCTCTCTTTTCCACAGTTTCACTTTCTGCAGTTTCAGTTTCCTGTGATCAACTATGGTCTAAAAATTTTAAAGAAAAAAATTCCCAAAATAACCAATTCATGTTTTAAATTGCATGTTATTCTGAGCAGGGTGATAAAATCTTGTGTCACCCCACTCTGTCCCACCTGGGACATGAATCATCCCTTGTCCATCATATCCACTTTGTATACACTACCAGCAGCCCTCTTGGTTATCAGATTGACTGTCGTGGTATCGCTTTATTATTATTGTTGTTAACCTCTTACTGTGCCTAATTTATAAATTAAACTTTATCATAGGTATGCCTGTTTAGGAAAAAAACATGGTATATATAGGGTTCAGTACTATCTGGTTTCAGGCAGCCACTGGGGGTCTTGGAACGTATACCCCTCAGGGAGGTCTACTGTACCATTTCCCATAAATCTTGTACCAAATAAAAATGATACCCTCATGACTTTATAACATAACTTGGCCTTGCGCTTACTATGTAAAAACATGGAAAAATAGTAACCTAAACAGAAACTTTAGGTCTTTAAATGATGCTAAAACACAAAGCAATCTAAAGTTTTGGGTGCCCAGCATGGGGGCTTATGCCTATAATCCTAGCACTTTGAGAGGCCAAGGCAGGAGGTCTCAGCCAGGTGTTTGACACAAAGAAAGACCTGTCTCTACAAAAATAAGAAAAACTAGCTGGGCATGTACCTATAGTCCCAGCTAATCAGGAAGCTAAACAGTTGAGGATAGCTTGAGCCCAGGAGGTCGAGACTGCAGTGAGCCATGGTCACAACACTGCATTGCAGCCTGGGCAACAGGCTGAGACTTTGTCTCCAACAAATAAAGTTTTGGAGTTTTCTTTTTAGAATTTCCATTTTCTACCACTGGCAACACCCCTATCCTCACTCCTAGCAGCTTTAAATGTTCAGACAGTTTACATTTCTAACAAGTGCATTATTTCCTAATTATAACTCTTTCAAAGTACCTTACCTGGGCTAAGCATACAACAGAAACACAGTAAATATCTGAAATCACTACCCATATGCAATAGTCACAGAGTTCCAACTTCTTCCATAAAAGTGTTGAATGCGTCACTTATATTTTTTAACTCTGAATATGGAACTTAGGCACACTAAGCAGTGACCAGGAAGAGACTATTTCAATTACACGAAACAATACACTCAAAAACATACACCGTGAGTCTACTAATTTAAGAGGAACAGTTGTGCACATACACACTTGAAAAGAGACAAAGTATGTTTTTAAAGGATTTCTTGGGCTAGGAATTGAAAATCCAGGAGGCTGCAAAGGGAAAAACAAAAACAAAGGGTCTGAAAACACACTCCACCAATAGAAAAAAAGTAAAGACATGGCAAAAACCATCCAAACCCTCCCATATCCCACCTACACTCTGAAGGTTGCTTACTACAAATAACAGCAACTTTCTCCTCGAGGGCTTTTTTTCTGATTGGGAAGCATGCTTTGGCTTCATGCAGGGCAAGCCAAAGGTGCTGAAAAGCTAAAGCCCCTAGAAGCATCACTCAATTAATGAGAAGGAAGAACCGATGGATAAACATCCCACTCGTTGGCCTGCAGTTCTAAACTGCCTCCCGGAGTCCCCAATGAGATCGAGCTCTAGGTGCTAACAGTTTTAACTGACTGGGTGATTTACCCTTATTGGCTTCATTCCCTTGTCCTATCTCCTTGCCCTACTTTGCAAGGATCATCCCTCAAACTACCTGTGCTCAATTTCTTGTCTGCTTCTGAGGAAACCCAAACCATGGCAGACATCTTTTCCTTTTCTCAAAAGGAAAGTCTCCTAGGATAGATACAAAATCTTTCTTTAATGCAATAGTTCTCAAATTTTTAGTCTCAGGACAATAATCATTAATTCATTTAAAACCAACAAGAATAAACATACATGTTAACATAATATTATTTTGCATAAAACATTCTCCAAAACAAAAATATTTAGAAGAATGGCATTAATTTACGTATTTTTAATTGCTTTAATGCTTGCCATTATAGAAGACACATCTGCCTCAGCATTCAATCTATGGCAAAATCACATGTCATGTAGTCTCTAGAAAAGGTGTGAGTGAGCGATAATGAATGAAAAAAGCAAAGAACATCTGAGTTTTATTATGAACACAGTTCTGACCTCATGTGCTCCCTGAAACAGCCTCACACACAGAGAACTACTGAGACAGCATCATAAGTTTCTATAAGCAAAGAATAACATTAGAAAATAGCCAAGACAAAAGATTTAAGTTAAAAAGGGGGTTGGGGGGATCAAAGAATGAATAGACAAGAATATGATTTCTTGATTATCAAGATGATAAAAGTAACTTGGAGCACTCACTGTTTTGAGGCATTTCTTTCTTTTATTGAGAAAGGGTCTTGCTCTGTTGCTCAGGCTGGAGTATAGTGGCACAATCATGGCTCACTGCAACCTCAAACTCCTGGGCTCACGCAATCCTCTGGCCTCAGCCTCCCCAGTAGCTGGGACTAGAGGCAGGTGCCACCACACCCACTATTTTTTTTTTCTTTTGGTAGAGATGGAGAGGTGGGTCTTATCTTGCTGCCCAGGACTCTCAAAGTACTGCGATTACAGGCATGATCCACTGCTAAAAAACTACCTAAGATATATGTTCCCTCTTCTACTCCTTGACACTAGTTTCCTTGGAATAGTTTAATTGCTTGCAAGCCCAAATTAAAAAGCAAAATGCAAAAAGGTCAGGAAACTGGCCAAACACAGGTGGCTCACACCTTAATCCCAGTACTTTGGGGGGCCAAGGCAAGAGAACTGCTTGAGCCCAGGAGTTTGAGACCAGCCTGGGAAATGTAGCAAGACCCTGTCTCTATTAAAAAAAAAAAAAAAAGAAGAAGGGGGAGGGGGAGGGGGAGGGGGAGGGGGAGGAGGAGGAGAAGGAGAAGGGGGAGGGGGAGGAGAAGGAGAAGGAGAAGAAGAAGAAGAAGAAGAAGAAGAAGAAGAAGAAGAAGAAGAAGAAGAAGAAGAAGAAGAAATAAAAAGTTGAAAAATAAGGAATTACTGTCTTTCTTGGATTCCATGCTCAGTCAACCATACTGACCTGTCTTGCGCTTTGAGGGCATTCCTTTTTACAACCAGTTTTTCACCTTCCAAATCCCACTAATCTGCCCTATTTCAGTTCATCCATCAGGCCTCCAATTAACGTCACTTCTTCAAGAAAACCTTCCCTGATTATTAGATTGTTATGCCTCTCTGCTACATGGCCCCACAGTTCTCAAAAACCCTTATCTTTCTGTGACCACATAATTTATCATCCACAAGCTATTTGGAGAATGAATGCAGAACTAGTAGTTATGCTGAGACAATAAGCAACACCAGGAATGTACATTCATCCTACCTTATCAGTTTATCTTCCCTGCTTGAGTGAGGAGAGGGTATGACTGTCTTGTTTACCAACTGTTCCCTCAACACTTAGTGCTTAGAATACAAAAGGTGTGGTCTGATAAGCATGAATTTTTATAATGCAAATTAACTTCAAAAAGGAAAATCTTATCCAGACAAAATTAACTACTGTGTTCCCACTCAAATCCTAATACTTTTCTACCCAATACCTTTAATAAAGACCTCTTATCTTGTGTTTACTCCTACCTTTCTCACTCTAAATTCCCTCCCCTCAATCAGAACATAAACTTCATGAGGACAGGAAGTAGGTTTTGTGTTTTGTTCATTGCTGTTTCCTCAGGATCTAGAACAATACCTTTTAATGATAGACACTTAACCCTCATTTATTAGACATATACCCTGAATGGTATTCTCTCTACTTTGCTCTGCCTATCACCACCTGAAAGCTAAGCCACATAACCTATGAAGCCTTCTCAGACAGTACTAGTAAGAAATAATCTCTCCTTCCTCTGCACACAATAGTTTATCTTTCTTAAAATACCTTCTATACTTTACCCTTGTCCTAAAATTATGTGTCTTACGTCTTATTCTTCTTGGTATGCACCACAGTACCCTAGTACAATGCCTGGCACACAGTATCTACAGAATAAAGATCTGTCAAACTGATAAAATGACACTACATATAATTACAGGTATATACAGCATTCAGAAAGCATGCTAGTTTTCCAGAGAACCTCATTTATGTATATATCCCTAGCTCAGGCCATTACTATTGCAACACCATCTGTATCTACTCAGCATCTTCCTCTTGCAATGGGTTATGTGAAGACTATGTACCTTAACTGTTTTGATTCACTTCTCAACACTATGGGCTGTCAAATCAAAGTAAAAGTCCTGATCTCATAACTTTAGTTTATCTAACCAAATCTGTCCACCCCTTATCTAAATATCCACACTCCAGCCTAAGTTCTTCACAATAATTTAAACGGTCTTCAATTATGCCCACCTGTACTTCTTACCTACTAGTCAATCATGCATGCTGTGTCTCCAAGTGGAACATCCTTTAGCATTTTCTACGCAAAAACAGCTCCACTTTCGCACCAAAATTACTAGTCTCAAAGTCTCATTCCTCTTCCTTAGAGGCCTTCCCAGACAGCATTATGTATTCTGAATCACTTCAGTTGGTCTACCAAATTCATTACTTAATATTTGCTCTGTCATTTATAATCACATTTATGTTACTTAATTATATATGTTTGAATTAATGGAGGGAATTCTGCTTTAAATCAAGGATGATGAGCTCACAACAGAATATGCATCTGTAAAAAGAATTTTGATTCAGTGTTGTAGTCTTCAGCATAACAAATACCAGTGGAAGAATAATGTAGTTGTAGACAGCACAAACTGTGAAGGCAAGACTATCTGAGTTCAAATTCTGGCTTTGGTATTTTTTAGTACCTTGGATAACTCACTTAACATCCATGTTCATCAGCTTCATCAGAGTTATTTTAAAAATTACATGAGTTAATACACATAAAATCCTTTAAAAAGCATTTGACACATAAATTCAGCATAATCTTCTATTGTTTTGACTTTTAGCCTCTTACTTATAGCTGAGAATACTGAAGTGCAAAGAATTTAACAACTTGCCAAAAGTCACAGGAACTAGTAAGTTGTGAAGTCAGAAAAGAAATATGAGATTCCTACTAGAGTCTGTCCATTTTATTCAGTATCTTTTCAATAAACTGAAATTTTATTCAATTTGTTTAAGGTCTTCAGGACCATTATATGATTAAAAAATGATAAGATGAAATAAATTTTTAAAAGGAAAAGGAGATTTATAAACTAACTCATGGATTAAGAAAAGAAGAAATATAATAATAACAGAACAGAGAGCACACACAGGCTTATGCTCATGTAAATGGAGGGGACAGGTAAGTATTCCAGAGAACTGGGTTAAGCATATTAGGATGGAGCCAGCCTGGCCAACATGATGAAACCCCATCTCTACTAAAAATACAAAAATTAGTTGGGCGTGGTGGTGAACGCCTGTAATCCTAGCTACTCGGAGGGGCTAAGGCAGAAGAATCACTTGAACCCAGGAGGCAGAGGTTGCAGTGAGCCAAGATTGCACCACTGCACTCCAGCCTGGGTGTCTTTTGAGACTCTGTCTCAAAAGAAAAAATAAATAAATAAAAATAAGAAAGAAAAAATAATATTAGGATGGAGGTAACTGTCAAGCTTTATCTTCCGTTTAAGACATAAAGATGCTCTTGCTTGCATTTTTTAAAATCACTTCTCTTTAGCAGTTTAGAAGTCTTTTTTCAGCTGGGCCCAGTGGCTCACATCTATAATCCCAGCACTTTGGGAGGCTGAAGTGGGTGGACTGCTTGAGCCCAGGAGTTTGAGACCAGCCTCGGCAACATGGCAAGACCCCATCTCTACAAAAAATTTTAAAATTAGCTGGGCGTGGTGGTAGTCCCAGCTACTCAGGAGGCTGAGGCAGGAGGATCAACCTGGGCCCGGGAGGTAGAGGCTGCAGTAAGCCAGCAGCACCACTGCACTCTAGCCTGGGTGACAGAGTGAAATCCAGACTCCCCTCAAAAAAAAAAAAGGAAAGAAAGCCTTCTCTGTTCCATCAAAAGCTCATCACTTCAAAATTAAAAATGTGTGAAATAATTTTTATTTTTTTCACACAGAATTTCAATGTTTACATGTGGACAAAGGAATCACAAATTTCAGAAATTTAATACGGAACTTAGAGGGGTATCAATTTATTTACCATCTACATTTAACTTTTATCCTTTAAATGTCTGAAGGTCATGTTCAGGACCATCACTATTTGCCCTAGGCATTTTCTTAGATAAAACCCAATGGTTACTTAAAATATAAACTCTGTCCTAACAAAAATACTATATATTATATAACCTCTCACTTCCCACTCTAAAAAAAACTCTAAAGGAAAAATACAGGTAATTCAGTTTATCAGGGCAGGAAATTATGTTCCATAAGAACACTATATTTTAGTATATTTGTTAAATAATATCTGTCCCCCTAATTATATGCCCTTTGCTTACAGCTAATCTCTTTGTATGCTCCTACAGGGGCAACCAATATCCAGCTTAGGCCAAAATGAATATCAGTATTAGTAATCGAAAGGCCCTGGTATGTTTATGAATACTTTGTGAAAATATACCACAAAAGTAAATTTCTGAATATTTTACATTTTAAACTTAAAGTGATGATCAAAAAGCAGTAGAAAATGAATACAGAAAATATATGTCCAAAATGTACATTCAATAACACATGTTTTTGTAACCTGAATCCTGTATTTCTTTAGGCCTCCACTATAAAACTGCCAATACAGTCTCAGAAAAAAAAGGAAGACTCTCAAAAATAGGGAGGGATTGCTTTAATAAAACAAGGTAACAAGAATAAAAGGCAAGCTTAATATCCAAAAGACACGGACAGTTGTTCGCCCAATTCCAACTTCCAAAAATAACTGAAATTCCAGGAACTTCAGAAGAAAAAAGCAAATAGAGAAGAACGCAATTCTTCAGCTCTTCAATCTTTTCCAAATTGTTTAACAATGCTATGTGTTTTTTAAAATGTGAATTTTTCTCCCCTTCCTTCAAATTCTGGCAACAGATGCTAAATGTTTTATACTCCACACATTCATATAATGTCCATGCATTAAGCCTACTTTAAAAGGCAAAGGCTAGGTATAAGCTGAGAGGAGTGCTTAAAAAAAAAAAAAAGGCAAAGGCAAGAGAGCAGAAACTGATGTTCGTTCCTTCTCAAATGATAACATACTGAGCTTATCAACATCTCTTGTAAAATTGTCTAGCTCTGGCCGGGCACGGCGGGTCACGCCTGTAGTACCAGCACTTTGAGAGGCCAAGGTGGGTGGATCACCTGAGGTCAGGAGTTCGAAACAAGCCTGGCCAACATGGCAAAACCCTGTCTCTACTAAAAATATAAAAATTAGCCGGGCACAGTGGGTGCCTGTAATCCCAGCTACTTGGGAGGCTGAGTCAGGAGAATGGCTTGAACACAGGAGGTGGGGTTGCAGTGAGCTGAGATCATGCCATTGCACTCTAGCCTGGGTGACAGAGCGAGACTCCATCTCAAAAAAAAAAAAATTTTGTCTAGCTCTGTTACCAGAAGACCATGTCACCAATACTAAACTTTAACTTCTTAAACTCTGGTTTGTGTAAAGTCAAAAGTTGTTCTGGCCTAAGAATTCATTTTATATATCTTGATAACTGGCTTACTGAATTCCCTCTGCTGAATCCAATAAATCTTCCTTACTAAATCTCATTGCTGCTGTACCTCATGAACTCATGTGATCCCAACCTAATCCCAGTTTGAGATCTTTATCTTTGAGGCTCAAAAGTTTTAACCCTTTACTGGGAATGGGCACAGAACAAATTTATTTGACAAGCATTTACTCCATTTCTTCCATCTTATCCTATTCTCTTTGCCCTGATTCATGCTGCAAACATTTACTAGTATCTATTATAAGCTGTGAAAAATGGTAACACTGGAGATACAAATGAAAGGTATTTTCTCTGCCCTTAAGGGGCACATATTCCAGTAGAGGAGACAAATATAAAAACAAATAATTTCTACAAAGTGTAAGAAATTCCATAAAAGAGTTTTATAAAAATTCTACAAGAACAAAAATGGAAGAGAGTAAGCGAAGCTTCACAAAGCAGTTAACATTAGAAATGGGTCTTGAAGAACAGTAAGGTAGGATGGATATGTGTTTGTATGTTTTAGTTGAGATGCTGGAAATGCAGAAAGGATAAGGAAAGCTGACGGCAGTCAAAGTGCTGACTAAAAATATGTTAAAATAGACAACTTAGGATATTAACTATAGTTCCTTTTTACTTTCACTCTTGCAAATTAATTTTAACCATTAATTCACAAGTAAGAATTATCTTACAAGCAATACACACGCACCCAACTTAGAAATGTTGTGTACAAAGTGACTATTAAATGGACAGAACCAGGAAAAGGTATTTTGAGGACAATGGGGAAAATTCAATGCAACCAAACTGATCCTCTATAATAGAAGGGAATAGTTGTGTTACATAAAACTATTCCTAAATGTTGTAGAGAAAAGAATACCAAATTAAAACTCAAGAGAGCTGGATTCAAGTCTCAAACGACACCTGCGCCCTAATTATGACAAAACCTTTTACTTAATTCCTAAACTGTCCCTCAGAGTTAAGATCAAATAAAATGAGTCTGAAAAGTGTTCTGAAAAATGTAAAATGCTACACAAATAAAATCTTACCATCATTATAGTTACATGTGCTAGACTGGAAAAGAACTTTCAAAATCTGTATTTCAGACATATTCAATGCATTACACTAAATTTATGATAAAGAGCCTTTACCCGTTCTACAGATCGTGCCCTCTTCTTTGGCCGAGTAGGCAGCACATCTTCCTTCGGATTGGTGTCTATTGCCCAGTAGGACCCCTAGAGGTAAAGAAATTATATTAACAGTATATTACAGCAAACCTATGATATTAAAATGGATTTTTATAATCCTTTGCATCAAAAGCAAACATTCTGCAAATACAATGGAAAAATAGCACAAGAAACACTTGTTTTGAACTGAGAAAAAGATTATATAAGAAAATATATCCACTTATAATTACATTATTAAAAGAAAACTTTCATAAACTGAAGAATCCAAATCCAAGAACTTCTGCCACACCAAAATTTAGAAAGAAAATGATCAACAAAACACATTTTTTATAGTAATTCTCAATTGAACAGATGATAATTATATGACAATAAAAGAATTTAATGTATAAAGATACTGTAGTTTCTATAGCCCAGGACCTCACAAATCTACATGGTTAGTGAAACATTTTTAAAGACAAACTGCTTGAACACATTTTATATAGTAAGTGTTCCTGAGAAGCAATGATACGTACATAAACTTTTTACTGCTTACTCTGTCGTGACTTAACTATTCTCTCTTACTTTTTGAGACAAGTTATCACAGCATTCATTTGAAAATATGTATGGAGCACCTACTGTGTTCCAGGTACTCAGAAACTGTGACTCTCCAAAAAAAAAAAAAAAACTTTGGAAAAGCATAGATCCATAGATAATATAAGTTTGCAAATATTATACAAACAAGAAGAGCAAAACACAGAAAGATAAAGTGGCTTTCCCATTCAAAGTTGTGAGAACCAGGAACAAAAACAAACAGAAACAAAGTCTGGATTTTTAGCTCTTTTTCCCTCAATTATCCTGCCTCTATACACACACACATGGGGGAGGAAAGCATGAAAGAGGGGAGTTCAAGAAAGGGAAAGAGGGAAGGGAGGAAGATATGCATTTCAGAAACAGAAACACAATGTATATCCTAGTTTTACAATTAATCCCAGTGATCATATCCAAATTTAGTCTTCACCTCTACTATCTCATTAATCTTCCTAGGCCGTTTTTTAAGGCAACGCTTAACAATGAGGGGAAATACAACCCTCACCTATCAATCCTCACACTTTATGCCCAACACGAATCATCTCCTTATACTTTCTTGAACATACCATGTTGTTTATCTGTTCCTGTCCTACACGCTGACCTCACTACTTGTAATACCTACCATACCAATGACAAACTCATATTCCACCTTCAAATTTTACCTCGGATTATCCAAAGGAATCCTTTTCTGACCGTCCTGCCATACCCAAGAATTCATCACTCTCTCCCTCTGCAAGATCTCTACACTTTTTACACATTTAGACCATTGTTTGCAAATTAACATTCAATTCTGTTTACAGGTCTGTATCCCCTTCTAGGCTATAAATTCCTTATGGATAGGGACTATTTTACTCGTTTCTATATCCACAGTGCCAGTCACAATGTCAGACACAAAGCAAGTACTCAATTAACATCTGTCGAAATGAGAAGGGAAAAAAAGCTGTTTAACAAACTGCACCAAGAATATCAGTGTACAGGGTACTACTATGTACATGTCAGTGTACACTGTTGGGGTACAAGGTAGGTGTGTACGTCTCAGATTCTGGTCTATGTAGGTACCTGAGCTTAATGTTCATTTCATCGCCCAGCTACTGCTGGGGTATTTCTATGTTATCTTTTCAAAACGGTCACTACATTTCAGCTAAGGAGTCTACCAGATGTGGTAAGAACCTGCTAGGTAGGAACTACAAACTTGCCAAGAACCCTATAAAATGCAGATGCTACAAAAAGCACTAAAAATGGGAAAACAATGATTTTGGGAATAGGTTTGGCTAGCAAGTTTCAGAATAAATGCAAGGGGGAAAAATTTTATACTGAGTTCTTATAAAAATTAAAAATAAAGTAGCAGAGAAAATACCAAAACTCATTGGACAATAGTTTAAAAACCACTTTTCATAGAAATGACAAATTCCAGCATTTAGTTTTGTTTTGGATGGGTGTGTATATGTGTATTAATCTGGGGAAACCATTCAATGTCCAAACTTGACCCTGATTTGTTAGTAAACCTTTCAATAAAATTACAAAAACAAATAGATAACTCTTCTTCCACACAAAATACGAATGGTTGTGGCTTGTCACAAATAAATCAACAAAAGGGAAAAAATTTGCCCATAGCCTACCTATCCACTAGGTATTCATAAAATCCTGAACGCCTAAATGCAAATTCTAATAATTAAAAAGATTCACAAAACTAATTGTGAAATCTTCCACCAAACAGTTCAGGCTAACACAGTATTTGAGTTTGATCTCTGAAATCACAGGTTTGAATAAAGAGACCTTAAAATTCCTCTTCACATATCAAAACCATAGTAAGATAACACTTTATACCCACTAGCATGTCTATGATCAAAAAAAACAGAAAATAGCAGGTACAGGCTAAGTATCCCTTATCCAAAATGCTTGAAATCAGAAGTCTTTTGGATATCAGATTTTTTCAGATTTTGGAATACCTGCATATACCTAATGAGAGATCCTGTGGATGGGACCCAAGTCTAAAGCTCAAAATTAATTTATGTTTCATATAAATGTTTATACACATAGTTTGAAGGTAATTTTTTGTAATAATTTTAATAATTTTCTGCATGAAAACAAAACGTTGACTGTAATCCATCATATGAGGTCAGGCATGGAATTTTCCACTAGTGGCATCATGTTGGCGCTCAACAAGTTTTGGATTTTATAGCATTTGTATTTCAAATTTTCAGATTAAGGATGCTCAACCTGTATTGGCAAGCACATAGAGAAACTGAAACTCTTATGCACTACTGATAGAAATGTGTGACGGTGTAACCACTGTAGAAAATATGGCAATTCCTAAAAAAATTAAACAGAATTACCAAATCATCCAGCAATTCCACTTTTGGATATATATCCAAAAGATACGAAAGCAGGAACTCAAGTATTTTAACACCCATGTTCATAGTAATATTACTCACAACAGCCAAAAGGTAAAGCAGTCCAAGTGTGCATTGAAGGATAAATGGATAAACAAATATGCCACATACATACAATGGAGTATTACTCAACCTTAAAAAGGAGGGATATTCTGGCCAGGCGCCGTGGCTCACGCCTGTAATCCCAACACTTTGGGAGGCCAAGGCAGGCGGATCACAAGGTCAGGAGATCCAGACCATCCTGGCTAACACAGTGAAACCCCCGTCTCTACTTAAAAAAAAAAAAAAATACAAAAAATTAGCAGGGCATGATGGCAGGTGCCTGTAGTCCCAGCTACTCGGGAGGCTGAGGCAGGAGAATGGCGTGAACCCAGAAGGCAGAGCTCGCAGTGAGCCGAGATCACGCCACTGCACTCTAGCCTGGGTGACAGAGCGAGACTCCATCTCCAAAAAAGAAACCAAACAAACAAAAAAAACGAGGGATACTCTGACACATAAGCCAGTCACAGAAGGACAAATATTGTATGATTCCACTTATAAGTACTAAAATTCTTAGAGACAAAGAGTAAAATGATGGTTGGTAGGGGATAAGGGGAAGGGAATGTAGGTACTTATTGTTTAATGAGTGAAGAATTTAAGTGTGGGAAGATGAAAACGTTCTCGAGATGGATGGTAATGATAACTGCACAAGAATGTGAATGAACTTAATATTACTGAACTGTACACCTAAAATGATTCAAATGGTAAGAATTATGTTATGTATATTTTACCACCAAAAAGTACCTCTCAGCCGTTTCTATTTTTATTTTTTTTAAATACAGTGGCACGACCATGGCGTAATGCAGCCTTGACCTCCAAAGCTGAAGTGATCCCGAGCCCCACAAGTAGCTGAGACCACAGGTCCACACCCCACCCCCACGCCTGTTTTTGTTTTGTTTTATACTTTAAGTTTTAGGGGACATGTGCACAACGTGCATGTTACATATGTATACATGTGCCATGTTGGTGTGCTGCACCCATTAACTCGTCATTTAACATTAGGTATATCTCCTAATGCTATCCTTCCCCCCTACCCCCACCCCACAACAGGCCCCGGTGTGTGATGTTCTCCTTCCTGTGTCCATGTGTTCTCACTGTTCAATTCCCACCTATGAGTGAGAACATGCGGTGTTTGGTTTTTTGTCCTTGCGATAGTTTGCTGAGAATGATGGTTTCCAGCCTCATCCATGTCCCTAAAAAGGACATGAACTCATCATTTTTATGGCTGCATAGTATTCCATGGTGTATATGTGCCACATTTTCTTAATCCAGTCTATCATTGTTGGACATTTGGGTTGGTTCCAAGTCCTTGCTATTGTGAATAGTGCTGCAATAAACATACGTGTGCATGTGTCTTTATAGCAGCATGATTTACAATCCTTTCGGTATATACCCAGTAATGGGATGGCTGGGTCAAATGGTATTTCTAGTTCTAGATCCCTGAGGAATCGCCACACTGACTTCCACAATGGTTGAACTAGTTTACAGTCCCACCAATAGTGTAAAAGTGTTCCTATTTCTCCACATCCTCTCCAGCACCTGTTGTTTCCTGACTTTTTAATGATTGCCATTCTAACTGGTGTGAGATGGTATCTCATTGTGGTTTTGATTTGCATTTCTCTGATGGCCAGTGATGATGAGCATTTTTTCATGTGTCTTTTGGCTGCATAAATGTCTTCTTTTGAGAAGTGTCTGTTCATATCCTTCGCCCACTTTTTGATGGGGCTGTTTTTTTCTTGTAAATTTGTTTGAGTTCTTTGTAGATTCTGGACATTAGCCCTTTGTCAGATGAGTAGATTGCAAAAATTTTCTCCCATTCTGTAGGCTGCCTGTTCACTCTGATGGTAGTTTCTTTGGCTGTGTGGAAGCTCTTTAGTTTAATTAGATCCCATTTGTCAATTTTGGCTTTTGTTGTCATTGCTTTTGGTGTTTTAGACATGAAGCCTTTGCCCATGCCAATGTCCTGAATGGTAATGCCTAGGTTTTCTTCTAGGGTTTTTATGGTTTTAGGTCTAACATATAAGTCTTTAATCCATCTGGAATTAATTTTTGTATAAGGTGTAAGGAAGGGATCCAGTTTCAGCTTTCTACATATGGCTAGCCAGTTTTCCCAGCACCATTTATTAAATAGGGAATCCTTTCCCCATTGCTTATTTTTCTCAGGTTTGTCAAAATCAGATGGTTGTAGATATGCGGCATTATTTCTGAGGGCTCTGTTCTGTCCCATTGATCTATATCTCTGTTTTGGTACCAGTACCATGCTGTTTTGGTTACTGTAGCCTTGTAGTATAGTTTGAAGTCAGGTAGCACGATGCCTCCAGCTTTGTTCTTCTGGCTTAGGATTGATTTGGCAACACGGGCTCTTTTTTGGTTCCATATGAACTTTAAAGTAGTTTTTTCCAATTCTGTGAGGAAAGTCATTGGTAGCTCGATGGGGATGGCATTGAATCTATAAATTACCTTGGGCAGTATGGCCATTTTCACGATATTGATTCTTCCTACCCATGAGCATGGAATGTTCTTCCATTTGTTTGTATCCTCTTTTATTTCATTGAGCAGTGGTTTGTAGTTCTCCTTGAAGAGGTCCTTCACATCCCTTGTAAGTTGGATTCCTAGGTATTTTATTCTCTTTGAAGCAATTGTGAATGGGAGTTCACTCATGATTTGGCTCTATGTTTGTCTGTTATTGGTGTATAAGAATGCTTGTGATTTTTGTACATTGATTTTGTATCCTGAGACTTTGCTGAAGTTGCTTATCAGCTTAAGGAGATTTTGGGCTGAGATGATGGGATTTTCTAGATATATAATCATGTCATCTGCAAACAGGGACAATTTGACTTCCTCTTTTCCTAATTGAATACCCTTTATTTCCTTCTCCTGCCTCATTGCCCTGGCCAGAACTTCCAACACTATGTTGAATAGGAGTGGTGAGAGAGGGCATCCCTGTCTTGTGCCAGTTTTCAAAGGGAATGCTTCCAGTTTTTGCCCATTCAGTATGATACTGGCTGTGGGTTTGTCATAGACAGCTCTTATTATTTTGAGATATGTACCATCAATACCTAATTTATTGAGAGTTTTTAGCATGAATGGTTGTTGAATTTTGTCACAGGCCTTTTCTGCATCTGATATAGATTTGGTCTTTTCACATAGTCCCATATTTCTTGGAGACTTTGTTCGTTTCTTTTTATTCTTTTTTCTCTAAACTTCTCTTCTCACTTCATTTCATTCATTTGATCTTCCATCACTGATACCCTTTCTTCCAGTTAATCAAATTGGCTACTGAGTCTTGCGCATTTGTCACATAGTTCTCATGCCTTGGTTTTCAGCTCCATCAGGTCTTTTAAGGACTTCTCTGCATTGGTTATTCTAGTTAGCCATTTGTTTAATTTTTTTTTCAAGGTTTTTAACTTCTTTGCCATGGGTTCGAGCTTCCTCCTTTAGCTCGGAGTAGTTTGATCGTCTGAAGCCTTCTTCTCTCAGCTCGTCAAAGTCATTCTCCGTCCAGCTTTGTTCCGTTGCTGGTGAGGAGCTGTGTTCCTCTGGAGGAGGAGAGGCGCTCTGATTTTTAGAGTTTCCAGTTTTTCTCCTCTGTCTTTTCCCCATCTTTGTGGTTTTGTCTACCTTTGGTCTTTGATGATGGTGACGTACAGATGGGGTTTTGGTGTGGATGTCCTTTCTGTTTGTTAGTTTTCCTTCTAACAGTCAGGACCCTCAGCTGCAGGTCTGTTAGAGTTTGCTGGAGGTCCACTCCAGACCGTTTGCCTGGGTATCAGCAGCAGAGGTTGCAGAACAGCAGATATTGGCAAGCAGCAAATGTTGCTGCCTGACCGTTCCTCTGGAAGTTTTGTCTCAGAGGAGTACCTGGCCGTGTGAGGTGTCAGTGTGCTCCTACTGGGGGGTGCCTCCCAGTTAGGCTACTCGGTGCCTCCAGTTAGGCTACAATTGAGGAGGCTGTCTGTCCGTTCTCAGATCTCCAGCTGCATGCTGGGAGAACCACTACTCTCTTCAAAGCTGTAAGACAGGGACATTTAAGTCTGCAGAGGATTCTGCTGCCATTTGTTTGGCTATGCCCTGCCCCCAGAGGTGGAGTCTACAGAGTAAGGCAGGCCTCCTTGAGCTGTGGTGGGCTCCACCCAGTTGGAGCTTCCTGGCCGCTTTGTTTACCTACTCAAGCCTAGGCAATAACGGGCGCCCCTCCCACAGCCTTGCTGCCGCCTTGCAGTTTGATCTCAGACTGCTGTGCTAGCAATGAGCAAGGCTCCGTGGGCGTAGGACCCTCCGAGCCAGGCACGGGATATAATCTCCTGGTGTGCCGTTTGCTAAGACTGTTGGAAAAGTGCAGTATTAGGGTGGGAGTGACCCAATTTTCCAGGTGCTGTCTGTCATCCCTTTCTTTGACTAGGAAAGGGAATTCCCTGACCCCTTGCGTTTTTCGGGTGAGGTAATGCCTCGCCCTGCTTCGGCTCACGCTCGGTGCGCTGCACCCACTGTCCTGCACCCACTTTCTGACACTCCCCAGTGAGATGAACCCAGTACCTCAGTTGGAAATGCAGAAATCACCCATCTTCTGCATCGCTCACTCTAGGAGCTGTAGACTGGAGCTGTTCCTATTCGGCCATCTTGGCTCCACCCGTTTTTTTTTGTGTTTTTTTGTTTTTTTTTTGAGACAGAATCTCACTCTGTCAGCCATGCTGGAGTGCAGTGGCGCAACCTCGGCTCACTGCAACCTCTGCCTCCTGGGGTCAAGCAAGTCTCCTGCCTTAGCCTCCCAGGTAGCTGGGATTACAGGCGCCCGCCACCACACCCGGATAATTTTCGTATTTTTAGTTGAGACGAGGTTTCACCATGTTGGCTAGGCTGATTTCGAACTCCTGACCTCAGGTGATCTGCCTCCCAAGTGCTGGCATTACAGGTGTGAGCCACTGCACCAGGCCTAGTTTTCTGATTTTTTGTAGAAATGGGGTCTCATCATGTTGCCCAGGTTGGTCTCAAACTCTTGGGCTCAAATGATCCTCCTGCCTTGGGCATCCCAAAATGCTGGGGTTACAGGTGTGAGCTACCACACCCGGCCATCTAAGAAGCAGTTACCTTTGCTCTTCCTTGTTAGACAATATAGAAATCTCACAAAAACTGAACTGCCATTTTAGACAGTCAATCAACGAACACAGGATCAGTCCAATTTCCTCCCAGAGTAGGATCTACACCACTAGACTCATGTGGAGCAAGTAGGAAACAGGAGGTTTTTGTTTAAGTGGTTTTGGTTTTGTTTTTTGGCAAGGAAAGGGTGTTGAGGCAAGGTCTTGCTTTGGTGCCAACACTGGAACACAGTGGCACACAATCATAGATCAATGCAACCTCAAACTCCTGGGCTTAATCAATACTCCTTCCTCAGCCTCCTGAATAGGTAGGACTATAAGTTCCTGTCACCAGGCACAGCTAATATTTTCCTTTATCTTTTTGTAGAGACAGGGTCTTGCTACGTTGCCCAAGCTCATCTTGAACTTCCGGCCTCTAAGTATCTTCCCACCTAGGCATCCCAAGCACTAGGATTACAGGCATGAGCCATCACACTCAATCTAGTTTTATTTTTAAAATCAACTTTGCCGAAGTATATTTAAATAAAAATAAAATGCACGCATTTTAAGTGTGCAATTTAAGAAATTTTGACAACTGTATACCTTCATGTAACTAACACTAAAAATACAGAACACTAAAAATCTCCTTTGCGTGACTCAGGAAGCAATTCCCTTTCCTTAGCCTTCTCTCATCCCATACAACCACTGATTCCTATCATTGTGCATTTTCTAGCATTTCATACAAGTGAACTCAAACTGTGAAACTATTTTCCACTCTCGACAGCAGTGTATGACAATACAGCTTTTCCGTCCTTGCCAACACTTGGTATTTTAAGCCTTTTCAATTATACCCTCTCTACTGATGTGTGGTTGTGCCTCAGTGATTTGCAAGTGCATTTCTCTAACAAAGATGCTGTACATCTTTGCATGTACTTATTTGCCACCCATATATTATCCTTTGTAAAGTGTCTATTGATATCTTTTGCCCATGTTTTATTCGGATTATAAGAATATAGGCTATTTCTGTTATTAGACTTTTTAGTATTCCAAATATCTTTTGCCCATGTTTTATTTGGATTATAAGAATATAGGCTATTTCTGGGCCAGGCGTGGTGACTCACACCTGTAATCCCAGCACTCTCGGAGGCCGAGGGGGGTGGATCACGAGGTAAGGAGATCGAGACCATCCTGGCTAACACGGTAAAACCCCGTCTCTACCAAAAATACCAAAAATTAGCTGGGCATGGTGGCAGGCACCTGTAGTCCCAGCTACTCTGGAGGCTGAGGCAGGAGAATGGCTTGAACCCGGGAGGCGGTGCTTGCAGTGAGCAGAGATCATGCCACTGCACTCCAGCCTGGGCAACAGGGCAAGACTCCATCTCAAAAAATATATATATATACATACATACATACATATATATATATATATATATATACATACATACATATATATATATACACATACATACATATACATATATATGTATATATATATATATGGGCTATTTCTGTTATTAGACTTTTTAATATTCCGAATAACGAGTCATTTCTATGTGAATATGTACTGTATTTTCTCACAATCTGTGGTTATCTGTTTTCATAATGGAACCTTGTAAGGAGCAAAAAGCTTTTCATTCAATAAAGTCCAATTTATCAAATTTTCATTTTACGATATGTGCTTTATATCTTTTTTTTTAAATTTGCCTACTCCAAGATAGCAAATATATTCTCCATTGTTTTCTTCCGGAAGTTTTATAGTCTTAACTTCCATGTTTAGGTCTCTGGTACACATAGGGTTAATTTTCTGTATAAGTGTGTGATAAGGAGCAATATTAATTTTTTGTTCACTCAGATATACAGCATCATTTAAAATATTGTAACATTTCCCTACTGAATTACATTGGTACCTCTATCAAAATACACACACACACACACACACACACACACATATATATAGACACACACACATATATATATGACAGTCTATTTCTAAACTCTATTCTATTGATCTACATGTCTATCCTTATGCCAATACCATTTTTTATTTTTTTACTTTTTGAGACGGGAGTCTCACTCTGTCACCCAGGCTGGAGTGGAGTGCTGTGATCTCACTCACTGCAACCTCCACCTCCCAGATTCAAGCAATTCTCCCACCTCAGCCTCCCAAGTAGCTGGGAATATAGGTGTGCACCACCATGCCTGGTTAATTTTTCTATATTTTTAGTAGAGATGGGATTTCACCACATTGGCCAGGCTGCTCTCAAACTCCTGACCTCAAGTGATCCGCCCACCTCAGTCTCCAAAGTGCTGTGATTATGGCATGGCCACCATGCCCAGCCGCCAATACCATTTTATCTTAATTATTGTTAACTGTATAAAAATCAGAAATCAGGCAGTATATATCCTACAACTTTGGTTCCCCACCACCACGGCAAGCTGACCTGCGGGCTGGCAGTGGTTTGCCCAACTTCAGTTTTTTCCAACATTATTTTGCCTATTTTAGGCCCTTTGCATTTCCACATAAATAAGAGGACCAGCACGCCAATTTCTAAAAATGAAACCTATGAGGAATTATTTTTTCCCTTTTTGAGATAGGGTCTCTGTCACCCTGGCTGGAGTGCAATGGCACAATCATGGCTCACTGCAGCCTCAACCTCCCAGGCCCAAGAGATCCTCCCACCTCAGCCTCCCACGTAGCTGGGAACACAGGCATGCACAACCATACCTGGCAAATTTGTCTTCTTCTTTGTATGTTGCCCAGGCTGGTCTTGAACTCCTGAACTCAAGCTATCCTCCTGTCTCAGCCTCCCAAAGCACTGGAATTACAGGTGTGAGCCACCGCACCCAGCCTAGGATTTTTTTTATTGGGTTTACATTAACTCTATAAATCTACCTGGGGAGGACTGGTATCTAACATTGAGTCTTCCACTCCACAAACATACTATACATGTCTCCATTCATGTAGATCTGCCCTTATTTCTCTTGGTAATGTTTTGCAGTTTTCAGTGAACAGGTCAACATGTATTTTGTTAAAATGTATCCCTAAAGTATTTCATTATTTTGCTTTTGTTAACTTCATTTTCCAAGCATTCCTTCCTAGTACAGAAAAAAATATATATTGATCTTGTATCCTGTAACCTTGCTAAACTCACATATTATTTCTAGTAGTTTTTCCCATAGATTCCTTAGGATCTAATGTTTGCAAATAAAGACAAGCTTACATTATTCTTTTTCAATCTGGATGCCTTTTATTTCTTTTTCTTGCCTTACTCCATTGGCTAGGACCTCTAACAGGATTTTGAATAAAAGTGGTTGAATGTAAACATCCTTGCTTTGTTCTCAATCTCAGAGTATAATATAAACTGTAGATTTTTCATAAATGCGTCTCATCAAGTTAAGGAAATTCTCTTTTTATTGGTGGTTTGCTGGATGAGTGTTAACCTTGGTCAAATATTTTTTCTATACCTGACATGGTATGATTTTTTTTAGCTATCTTCTACTCACTTGATGAGTTACTTAAATCTCCCTGGTTTTAAAGGTATATGTACCAAAATGGACAACATCTTTTGAATGTAACTAACTACTCATCAATTGTCACACATAAAACTAAAACAAAAGTACCTATCTTGTAAACACTGATTCCAGATTTCAAATACAACTCTAATAGATTCTAGAGTATTATTACTCTGGCTTTTGTATTTACATTTTCAAAATGCCAGACTTATGAAGTATTTGATGGCCTATAATTTTGTTGAAGGATAGTCATCTCTGCTCCACAATCGCAAAAAATATTCTCCTGTTTAGATTTATAAATTCCAAGTAGAATGATGAATCCAACCAACTATTTCATTTTTTTATCATCTATTCCCTTGCAAGCTAAATGAAAACACAAATCTTTTGGGGTTAGCCAAATTACCTTTCCCAGGCATAACTCTCTTTAGTAATTATTCTCCACAATAATTATATAAAAGTTGTAGTAGATGATTTTAAAGGTCCTTTTCTGCCCTTAAGATTTAGGATTTGCCAAATATTTGTGTGTTTGCTCTTTCACAGAAATTGTAGGAGGTAAGAAAGAAGAATATCTTAAGATTAACACAAAACAATATAAGGTCAGATATTGGAGGAGGGAATACTTTGATATATATTTTGCTTAACACTCAATATACTATTTGGGTCCACTGAACTAAATTTAGTTTTTTGTTTGTTTTTATAGAGGTAGGGTCTTGCTCATCAGCTTTTTAAAGACATCATGTGTTCACAGATGGAAGATTTAATGTTAAGATGGCGACACTCCCCAAATCAATGTATAGATTCAATGTAAGTCCTATCAAAATCCCAGCTGGCTTTTTTGCAGATATTGACAAGATAATCCTAAAATATATATTGTAATGTCAAGGAACCCAGAATAGCCAAAATAATCTTGAAAAAGAAGAACTTGGAGGATTCACATTCTCAGACTTCAAAACTTATTATAAAGTTGTAGTAATCAGAACAGTGTGATGCTGGCATAGGAGCAGACATACAGATCAATGGAACTGATCCGACAGTCTAGAAGTAAATCCATGTATTATATATTTATGGTCAAATTGTTTTCCACAGACTACCAAGACAATTCAACAGGGAAATTGTCTTTTCAACAACTGGTGCCAGGAAAATGGTCCACATGCAAAAGAATGAAACTGGGTCTCCTAACTCACACCACACGTAAAAAATAATCAAAATGGATCAAAGATCTAAATGGAAGGGATAAAACTGTGAAACTTTTAGAAAAGATAAATGTAAATCTTTGTAACCTTGGATTAGGAAATCTTTTCTTAGCTATGACATCAAAAGTGCAAGCAACCCAAAGAAAATTGAAGAATTTATCAAAATTGCAAACTTGTTTTGTCAACAGACACTATTAAGAAAGTGAAAACAGATCTGATACTTGGCACCTGCACTTAGAAAAACCAAATAGCAAGCAGATAATCACATTTCAAACATAGCATCTAAGACAGAACACTAGAATTTAACAAAGAAGTAACAGGAAACACCTGAGGCAGGGAAGGAGGCGAGGGAAGCAGGCTGCCAGCTCAGCTGGAATCTTGGAGAGGCTGCCCACTGTGGGAAAAGGATAAGTGAGTGATTCCCAGAGGTCCACATTCTCATTATGAACATTTGCAACCCTAACCACAGAAGAATCCCTACGAGGGCCCTGAGACTAGCATAGGGAGCTTCCTGACAGCTCCACCAGGGTCTGAAGCACACACTCTCTGAAGCCTAAGAACTGCCTGCAGCTGCAGCCACTGACAACTCTGCCACCCCTAGCAGCATAGCCACAGCATACTTGTACACGCCTTGAGGACAGACTTCCCCAGCCCACCCCAAACACCGCTCCAGCTACCTGAGCACACTGCCAAAGTGCCTGGGGATCACCCCCACTTTGCCCACCAAAGCTAGTGCCCAAGTACACCTAAGGACAAGCCACTCTGGCTGGAAACTTCCCCTCCAAGTGCCAAAGCACACTGCCTAGGGGACCAGGGATTGCCCCACCCACCATGGCTGGCATCTGTACATACTTCCTGGGGCCCTGAGGACAAACCCACCCAGCTTGCCACTACCACAACCACCAGCCACCTATGAGTGATACATGAGGTCTGGGGAATGGCCCTCCCACACATCACAGCCACTGATAACATCAATGCATACCACTTCGGATCCCAAGGGTTGTCCCACCACCATTACTGCCATCACCCATGCTGTCCAGGGGAATGAGGACACACCACCTGTACAGCCCACTGCTGCCACTGTCGGCAACCAGCCAAGCTGCCTTGAGGCCGAATGGCCCAATTGGACCCACTAACACCACCGTCACACTACCCAGGGTCTCAAGGACAGTAACATCCAACCCACCACTACCACCACCAGGGCCCAAGAACTGGCCTACTGAGCATCCACATCCTTAGCACAGCCTCGCCACAGCCTCCACTAATGACTATAGCCCAAGTCACTGAGAAAAACACAAAAATCACTGATGCCATTTACAACTGAAGAAATCATATGGAGACTACACTGCTACATACACCCAGAATCAAAGTTAAAGTGTTCTATGTGACAGACGTCTCATAGATACATCTTCAGGAAAAAGTCTTACCCTAGGAAATTCAATCTAAAAATGGAAGAAGTAACTGCTACATTAGATGCACAGACAACATAAAAACACAAGAAATGTGAAAAAAAAAATACAACACCTCCAAAGAACACAGTAATTCTCCAACAATAGATTCCAATGAAAACGAAACTTATTAAATACCAGAAAAGAAATTTGAAATAATAATATTAAAGAAGCTCAGTGAGATACAAGAGAACACAAATAAACAGTACAAAGAAACCAGAAAAACAACTGAGGATACAAATGAGAAATTCACCAGGGACAGATATCATTAAAAAGAACCAAAAACAGATCCTGGAATGAAATAATTCAATCAATGAAATTCTAAAAATTCATTTGAGAGCTTCGACAATAGACTAGATCAAGCAGAAAGAAGAATCTCAGAACTTGATGAGAGATCTTTAGAAATAACTCAATAAGACCAAAAAAAAAAAAAAAAGAATGAAAGAGGGCTCTCCTGCCACCACTACTGCCATCATTCATGCCACACATGCTGCCCAGGTGACCAAGGACACGGCAATCTACCCGGCCCACTGCTGCATATGTGACATATGGGACACCATAAAGGGACCAAAGTAGACAAATTCTGGGTGTTCCAGAAACTGAAGATGAAAGGCATAGGAAGTTTATTTAACAAAGTAACAGCAGAAAACTTACCAATCTATTATAGCAAGAGATTTAGACATCCAGATACAGGAAGCTCAGAGATCCCCCAATAGATATAATCCAAAAAGGTTTTCTTTGTGATACATTATACTCAAACTGGCAAAAGTCAAACACAAAGTTCTAAAAAAGCAAGAAAAAAACTAGTCTATTATAAGACAACCTTCATCAGACTAACAGTGGATTTCTCAGCAGAAACCTTACAGACCAGGAGAGAATGGGATGATATATTCAAGTGCTGGAAGAACACAGCATGTAGGTAAAAAATACTGTTCCCAGGAAAGTTACCCTGAAGCAAAATAAAGTCTTTCCCAGAAATACAAAAACTGAAGGAATTCATGACCATTAGACAAACCCTACAAAGAAAGGGCTTATGGGAGTCCTACATCCATGAGCAAAAGGATGGTATTTACCATCAAGAAAACACGGAGAAGTATAAAAACTCACTGGTAGAACGAACATACAAATGAAGAAGAGAAAAAACTCAAATGTTACCACTACAGAAAACCACCAAATTGCAATAATAAGCAACAAGAAAGAAAGGAAAGCAAGATATAAAACAACCAGAAAATAATTAACAGAATGACAGAAATAAATCCTCACATATCCATAACAACCTTGAATGTAAACAGATTAAATTTTCCACTTAAAAGGTACAGACTACCTGAATGGATTTAAACAAAAAACAAAAACCATGACCCAACTATATGCTGCCTACAAGAAACTTGCTTCACCTGTAAGGAAACGTAGACTGAAAGTAAAGGAATGGAGAAAGATATTCCACACAAACAGTAACCAAGATAAGTAGAGACAGTTGCATTAGATTAAAACAGACTTTAAGTCAAAAACAACAAAAAGAGACAAAGACAGTCATCATATAATAATAAAGGGATCAATTCACCAAGAAGATACAAAAACTCTAAATATATATGCATCCAACACTGGAGCAACCAGATACGTATAACAAGTATCAAACAAAGAAACACTGGATTTAAACTGCACTTAGAACAAAAGGACCTAAAAAACGTCTACCGAATATTTTATCCAACAGCTGCAGAATACCCGTTGTTCCCATCAGTACATGGAATATTCCCCAGGATAGACCATTTGTGAGGTCCCAAAAAAGTCTCAAAAAAATTTTAAAATCAAAATTATGCCAAGTATAGTCTCAGACAACATGGACTAAAACTAGAAAGCAACAACAAGAGGAACTTTGGAAACTCTACAAATACATGGAAAGTAAACAAGATGCTCCTGAATGACTATTGGCTCAATAAAGAAATTAAGAAGGAAATAAAAAACTTTCTTGAAATAAATGAAAATGAAAACACAACATACCAAAACCTATGGAGTATAGCAAAAGCAAAAGTAGAGCTAAAGGAAAGTTTATAACAATAAATGCCTACATCAAAAAAAGCAGACAGATTTCAAATAAACATCTAACAATGCACTTCAAGAACCTGAAAAACAAGAACAAACCAAACACAAAATTAATAGAAGAAAAGAAATAATGCAGCCTGGGAAATGGGCTGATCTCATCTCTAAAAGAATATTTAAAAATTAGCCTGGCATGGTGACATCTGCCTATAGTCCCAGCTACTCAAGAGACTGAGGTGACAGGTATCCTGTTAGTCCTGGAGTTCATGGCTGCAATGAGCTAGGATCGTGTCACTTCCCTCCAGACTGGGCAATACAGCAAGACCTTGAATCTAAAAAAATTAAGAAAACAGAATAAAGGTCAGAGCAAAACTAAACAAAAGAGGTTTAAAAAATACAAACTGTCAACTAAAAGTTGGTTTTTTGAAAACATTAAGAAAAATCAATACACTGACAGCCACACTAATCAAGAAAAAAAAAAAGAGAGAAGACCCAAATAAAATCAGAAACAAAAAAAGAAGATGTAACAACTGACATCACAGAAATACAGATCATCAGACTATTATGAACAACTAGATGCTACCAAACTGTAAAACTGAGAGGAAATGAATAAATTCATGGACACATACAAGCTACTAATACTGAATCAAGAAGAAACAGAAAATCTGAACAAACCAGTAACAAGCAATAAGATTGAATCAGTAATTAAAAGTCTTGGCCAGGCGCGGTGGCTCACACCTGTAATCCAAGCACCTTGGGAGGCCGAGGCGGGCAGATCATGAGGTCAGGAGTTCGAGACCAGCCTGACCAATATGGTGAAACCCCGTCTCTACTAAAAGTACAAACATTAGCTGGGCATGGTGGCGTGCGCCTGTAATCCCAGCTACTCAGAAGGTTGAGGCAGGAGAATCGCTTGAACCCAGGAGGCGAAGGTTGCAGTGAGCCAAGATTGCACTACTGCACTCCAGCCTGAGACTCGTCTCAAAAAAAAAAAAAAAAAAACAAGTCTCCCAACAAAGAAAAGCCCAAGATTACAAAGCCTTCACTGCCGAATTCTGCCAAACTTATAAAGAACTAACCCAATTCCCAAACTGTTCCCAAAAATTAAAGAGGAAGGAATTCTCCTTTATTCATTCTATGAGGCCTGCATTACCCTGATACCAAAACCAAACAAGGACACCACAAAAAAGAACTGCAGGCCAATTATCTCTGATGTTCACAGACACAAATATCCTCAACAAAATATTAGCAAACCAAATCTGACTGCACATCTAAAAGATAATACACCATGCCCAAGTGGAATTTACCCCAGGGATAGAAGAATGGTTCAACATAGGCATATCAATAAACCTAACACATCACATCAACAGAATGAAAGACAAAAATCATATGATCATTTCAAGAGATACGGAAAAAGCATTTGATAAAATTCAACGTCATTTCATAAGAATTCTCATGAAATCAGGCATAACAAAAACACACCTCAACATAATAAAGGCCATTTATGACAAACCCACAGCTAACATCATACCAAACTGAAAAGCTGGAACTTTTTCCTCTAAAAGCTGGTCAAGACAAGGATGTCCACTTTCACTACTACTATTCAATATAGTACTGAAGTCCTAGTCAGCACAGTCAGGCAAGAAAAGGAAACAAAAGGCATCTAAACTGGAAAAGAGGAAGGCAAATTGTCCCTCTTTGCACATGACATGACCTTACATCTAGAAAATCCTAAAGACTCCCCCAAAAAACTCAATGGTCCTAGGAAAAGTGAATGTCCATAGGCAGAAGAATGCTCCTATATCTCACCATAAACAAAATTCAACTCGAAATGGATTAAAGACCTAAATGAAAGACTCAAAACTAAAAAAACTACTAGAAGAAACACAGGGGAAATACTTCAGGACATTGAGTAGACAAAGATTTTACGACTAAGACCTCAAAAGCACAGGCAACAAAACAAAAATAAACAAATGAGATTATATTAAACTAAAAGACTTCTGCATAGCAAAGTAAATAATCAACGGAGTGAGGAGACAATCTGTTGGGTAGCAGAAAATATTTGCAAACCATTCATCTGACAAGAGACTAATATTCAGAATATACAAGGAACTCAACTTCAATAATTATTTACATGCACATACACATACACACACACACGTACCCATTAAAAAGTGGGCAAAAAAACATGAATGGGCATTTCTCATAGGAAGGCATACAAATGGCCAAGAGGTATATGAAAAAAATGTTCAACATCAATAATCATTAAGGAAATGCAAATCAAAACCAGAAGGTGATATCCTCTTACAGCAGTTAGAATAGCTGTGATTAAAAAGACAAAAAAATAACAGACACTGAAGAGGATGTGGAAAAAAGGGAGCTCTCATATACTTTTGGTGGGAATGTAAATTAGTACAGCCATTTATGGAAAACAGTATGTTGCTTTCTAAAAAAAAAAAAACACTAAAAATAGAACTACCATATTAAGCAGCAATTCCACTACTAGGTATTTACCCAAAGGAAAAGAAATCATTATATCAAAGGGATACCTGCAACCCCATGTTTACTGCAACATTATTCACAAAAGCAAAGATATAGAATCAAACTGAATATCCATCAATGGCTGAATGGGATAAAGAACATATGGTATATATACACAATGAAATACTATCATAAAAAAGAATGAAAGCCTGTCATTTGTAGCAACATGGATGGAACTGAAAGTATGTTAAGCCAGGCACAGAAATACAAATATCATATAGTATCATTCATATGTGGGAGGTAAAAAAGTTAATCTCATGGAGGTAAAGAGCAGAATGACAGTCCCCAGAGGATGGGAAGAGTGTAGCAGTGCTGGGTGAAAATAAGTTTATTAATGGGTATAAACACACAGATAGAAGAAATAAGTTCCAAAGCAGGGTAGACTGGCTATAATTATCAACAATGTATTGTTTATTTCAAAATAAACAGAAGAAAGTACTTGAAGTATTCCCAATACATTAAAATGATAAATACTTAAGGTGATATATTCCCTAATTACCCTGAGTTGATCATTACACATTCTATGTATGTAACAAAATACAAGTACCCCATAAAAATGCACAAATAATATGTATCAATTAAAAAGTTTTAAAAAAATTTTTAAGAAGGTAAAAAAATACAACCACACAATAAAAGGAAATACTTGCAAATTATATTAGCAATACAGGATCTGTATCTAAAATATATAAAGAACTCTTACAACTGAGTTATAAGGGAGAAATAATTCCATTTAAAATGGGCACATAATCTAAATAAACATTTCTCCAAAGGAGATGTACAAATGGTCAACAGGCACATCAAAATTTGATCACCATCAATTGCCATTAATCCAATGAAAATCAAAACCATTACAAAATGAGGTATCATTTTATACCCGCAAGGATGACCATAATAAAAAAGACATTTAATAACTACTATTGGCAAGGATGTGAAAAACTGCAACCTCAAAACTGTGCGAATGTAAACGGTAAAGCTGGCTGTTCCTCAAAAGATTAAACATATGACCCAGCAATTCCATTCCTAAAAAACTGAAAACATACACAAGAAAAATAAAAACACTGAGTCTATCCTAAAGTGTATACACAAATACTCACAGCAGCATTTTTGTTTCAAAGTACAAACAATCTAAATGTTCTTCAGCTGGATAAAGAGACTAACAATTGTGGTATAGCTATCCAATGGAGTATCATTCTGGCATAAAAAGGAATGAAGTACTATTACATGCTACAATATGGATGATCCTGAAAACCTTATGCTAAGTGAAAGAAGTCCAAAATGCCACATATAATTATTTTATATGAATGTCCAAAATAGGTAACATGTCCAGAATAGGCAAATTCACAGAAACAGAAAGTAATGTAGTGGTTGCCAGGAACTTGAGATGGTGGAAATGGTGAGAGACTGTTAATGGATAGGTTTCTTTTTGGGAGGGATGAAATGAAAATGTCCTGAAATTTGGTAGTGATGATTGCACAACTTTGCAATTATAATAAAACTACTGAATTATACACTTTTAAAAGACAACATTGGCCGGGCGTGGTGGCTCATGCCTGTAATCCCAGCACTTTGGGAGGCTGAGGTGGGCCGATCACGAGGTCAGGAGATCAAGACCAACCTCGCTAACACTGTGAAACCCCATCTCTACTAAAAACACAAAAAATTAGCCGGGCGTGGTGGCGGGCACCTGTAGTCCCAGCTACTCGGGAGGCTGAGGCAGGAGAATGGCGTGAACCCGGGAGGCGGAGTTTGCAGTGAGCCGAGATTGCGCCACTGCACTCCAGCCTGGGCGACAGAGCAAGACTGCGTCTCCAAAAAAAAAAAAAAAAAAGACAACATTTATGGTATGTAAATTTTTTCTCAATAAAAAACATTTTTTTGATCTAAGAGAAAAAGGAATCAACAGGCTCTAATCAAACACAGGGTATGTCCAATACAGTCAAAAGTCACCTTTCACAAAGCAAAGCCAGTGATATTGTCCAGAAAGAACTCAAGTCTCCTGTTTTTTCTTTTTTTTTTTTTTTTTTTTTTTTTTAAGTTCCAGGATACAAGTGCAGAACGTGCAGGTTTGTTACATAGGTATAAGTGTGCCATGGTGGTTTACTGCACCTAACAATCCGTCACCTAGGTTTTAAGCCCTGCATATATTAGCTATTTGTCCTGATGTTTTTCCTCTCCTTGCTGCCCCCGCAACCCAATAGGCCCCGGTGTGTGTTGTCCCCCTCCCTGTGTCCATGTGTCCTCATTGTTCAACTCCCACTATGAGTGAGAACATGTGGTGTTTGGTTTTCTGTTCCTCTGTTAGTTTGCTGAGGATGGTGGCTTCCGGCTTCATCCATGTCCCTGCAAAGGATGTGATCTCATTCCATTTTACGGCTGCATAGTATTCCATGGTGTATATGTACCATATTCTCTTTATAACTGATGGGCATTTGGGTTGATTCCATGTCTTTGCTACTGTGAACAGTGCTGCAATAAACATACATGTGCATGTATCTTTAAAATAGAATGATTATAAAGATATGCTGAGTAAAAGAAATAGACGTAAATGAGTATATATTTCTTTGGGTATAAGGCTCCTGATTTCTAGCTGATTCCTGGCTCTCCTCTGGACCATGTTAGTCTGTGATACAAGTTACCTAAAGTAGTCATTAAGAGAAAAATCAAGGAATTCACCTACATGAAGGTTAAGAACTCAAAGGATTCTCCCAAATTTAAAGTAGATGTGAATCAATGTCAAGAAGTGAAATAAGTTTTCTGGCCCCAACCTACTGATCAAAAATCAAAGTCTGAGTAAAATGAGGCAAAGTGACGATTTCTAGAACATTCAAAGACCAATCTTAAAATGGCAAAAAATTAACGTACAATTTGAAAAGTTTCTTTTGAGAATAGAACAGCGACTTCTTAGTTAACTAGGAAAAGACAAACATCACTTTTGAGATAAACATTTATTAGGCATCTACTGTGTATCAGACACTGCTGGGTATGATGGAGGTATGAAAATGTCAAAGACCTAATCCTTGTAAACGAAAAACTCACAATTGAATGGAACAGATCAATACATAGACAGCTACATCATTCGGGAGCTATAATAGTGAAATTCTCCAAGAACCATGGGAGCAAAAAGAAGAGAGCAATTAATTTTGAAAAGTTAGAGTAGGTTAAAAAAGGAAAATAACTTCCTTTCCGAGTTATTATACTGAAATGTGAGCTGGGCTTTAAAGGATAAAGAAAATGAAATACTATTTTAGATACCGTGTATCATAAATGCAAGAAAAATAGTACAGTATAGCTTGAATATAAAATTTAGAAGCATGAAGCTGGAGCCTGGACTTGAAAATAGGACCACGGAAGTAGACTTGGGTTTTTACTCATGTGCCATAACTTAAGGCAGCAATGTAGAAGGCACAGAAAAAGTAAACAGAGACTAGAGGAGACTAGTGGAAAGTGACATAGTATTTTAGGTTATTTATTGTTAAAATCATTTTACTTTTTAAAAAATCTCAACTCTTCTAATTATTTTGTTTTCGTATAAAAACCAGGATCTGAAAAGATCAGTGATGACGGAAGGAATCACATGAGACTGAATTAGGTTCACAGGATTGCTAAACACTATACAGATAAGGATAATACGTCATACCCTCTTAAAATAACACCCCAAAGGGAAGCAGAGTCTCCTATGCATGTTTCATGTCCAGGAACTATTAAATAACTGGTCAGGGACATCACATAAGTCCTAATTCTCTAGCATCAAAACAACTGCTTGAATCCATTTCACCAATTACCTATGCATATACACAAGAAGGACCAAAGGGAAGCTCTATAATTAAAAAGTCCAGTAGGCCGGGCACGTGGGAGGCTGAGGTGGGCAGATCACCTGAGGTCGGCAGTTTGAGACCAGCCTGGCCAACATGGAGAAACCCCGTCTCTACTAAAAATACAAAATTAGCTGGGCGTGGTGGCACATGCCTGTAATCTCAGCTACTCAGGAGGCTATCTGGGAGGCAGAGGTTGCAGTGAGCAGAGAAATCACGCCATTGCACTCCAGCCTGAGCAACAAGGACAAAACTCCATCTCAAAAAAAAAAAAAAAAAAAAAAGTCCAGTAATTGAAATAAAAATTCACCAAAATATTAGACAGAATCAGAGTCAGAGATCCTGAAAATAGATAAGTAGAAACTAACAAACCTGAAGAACAAAAAGATGAGAAAAATTAACACTCTCAAGGACTTGTGAAAAAATTTCATGTCTTATTATAACTGACCCTAAAAGAAAAAGAGAAAAGATGGGGCCAAAAGAATTTTTAATAAATAATAACTGAAAATATCCCAAATTTGGATGAAAGCCTCTTCTTATTGATCCTAGATGAGCAGGCCTGGAATAAATATAAAAACACTACATCAAAGCATATCACAGTCAAATTGCTGACATCCAAAGAAAAGAGAAAAATTACTGAAAGCTACCAAAAGTGACAGGGGTTTGGGGGTGCAACACTCATTACATATAGAAGAATAAAAATAAGAATGACAGCTGACTTTTCATAGAAAATAATGGAGGCCAATGGAACATCTTCAAAACTGAATATATTGAAAACTCGGACAAGTGGGAATACCCTGCAAACCCAGGAATCCATACCCAGAAAAAAGTATACTGAGGATGAAATAAAGATATTTTCAGAGGAACAAAGGCCTATAGAATTTGTTGCCTGCAAACCTACACTACAAGAACTGTCAGATGATACCGTTAGGCTGAAGAGAAAGGATACCAGATGGAGAGTTTTTAGCATGAAGAGTTGTTGAATTTTGTCAAAGGCCTTTTCTGCATCTATTGAGATAATCATGTGGTTTTTGTCTTTGGTTCTGTTTATATGCTGGATTACATTTATTGATTTGAATATATTGAACCAGCCTTGCATCCCAGGGATGAAGCCCACTTGATCATGGTGGATAAGCTTTTTGATGTGCTGCTGGATTCGGTTTGCCAGTATTTTTTTTTTTTTTTTTTTTTTTTTTTTTTGAGACGGAGTTTTGCTCTGTTGCCCAGGCTGGAGTGCAGTGGCGCGATCTCGACTCACTGCAAGCTCCGCCTCCCGGGTTCATGCCATTCTCCTGCCTCAGCCTCCCCTGTAGCTGGGACTACAGGCGCGCGCCACCATGCCCGGCTAATTTTTGTATTTTTAGTAGAGACGGGGTTTCACCGTGTTAGCCAGGATGGTCTCGATCTCCTGACCTCGTGATCCGCCCATCTCGGCCTCCCAAAGTGCTGGGATTACAGGCGTGAGCCACCGCGCCCGGCCGGTTTGCCAGTATTTTATTGAGGATTTTTGCATCAATGTTCATCAAGGATATTGGTCTAAAAATTCTCTTTTTTGGTTGTGTCTCTGCCCGGCTTTGGTATCAGGATGATGCTGGCCTCATAAAATGAGTTAGGGAGGATTCCCTCTTTTCCTATTGATTGGAATAGTTTCAGAAGGAATGGTACCAGTTCCTCCTTGTATCTCTGGTAGAATTTGGCTGTGAATCCATCTGGTCCTGGACTCTTTTTGGTTGGTAAATTACTGATTATTGCCACAATTTCAGATCCTGTTATTGGTCTATTCAGAGATTCAATTTCTTCCTGGTTTAGTCTTGGGAGAGTGTACGTGTTGAGGAATTTATCCATTTCTTCTAGATTTTCTAGTTTATTTGCGTAGAGGTGTTTGTAGTATTCTCTGATGGTAGTTTGTATTTCTGTGGGATCAGTGGTGATATCCCTTTATCATTTTTTATTGCGTCTATTTGATTCTTCTCTCTTTTTTTCTTTATTTGTCTTGCTAGCAGTCTATCAATTTTGTTGATCCTTTCAAAAAACCAGCTCCTGGATTCATTAATTTTTTGAAGGGTTTTTTTTTTTTGTCTCTATTTCCTTCAGTTCTGCTCTGATTTTAGTTATTTCTTGCCTTCTGCTAGCTTTTGAATGTGTTTGCTCTTGCTTTTCTAGTTCTTTTAATTGTGATGTTAGGGTGTCAATTTTGGATCTTTCCTGCTTTCTCTTGTGGGCATTTAGTGCTATAAATTTCCCTCTACACATTTAGGTATTGATGGGACATATCTCAAAATAATAAGAGCTGTCTATGACAAACCCACAGCCAGTATCATACTGAATGGGCAAAAACTGGAAGCATTCCCTTTGAAAACTGGCACAAGACAGGGATGCCCTCTCTCACCACTCCTATTCAACATAGTGTTGGAAGTTCTGGCCAGGGCAATGAGGCAGGAGAAGGAAATAAAGGGTATTCAATTAGGAAAAGAGGAAGTCAAATTGTCCCTGTTTGCAGATGACATGATTATATATCTAGAAAATCCCATCATCTCAGCCCAAAATCTCCTTAAGCTGATAAGCAACTTCAGCAAAGTCTCAGGATACAAAATCAATGTACAAAAATCACAAGCATTCTTATACACCAATAACAGACAAACAGAGAGCCAAATCATGAGTGAACTCCCATTCACAATTGCTTCAAAGAGAATAAAATACCTAGGAATCCAACTTACAAGGGATGTGAAGGACCTCTTCAAGGAGAACTACAAACCACTGCTCAAGGAAATAAAAGAGGATACAAACAAATGGAAGAACATTCCATGCTCATGGGTAGGAAGAATCAATATCGTGAAAATGGCCATACTGCCCAAGGTAATTTATAGATTCAATGCCATCCCCATCGAGCTACCAATGACTTTCCTCACAGAATTGGAAAAAACTACTTTAAAGTTCATATGGAACCAAAAAAGAGCCCGTGTTGCCAAATCAATCCTAAGCCAGAAGAACAAAGCTGGAGGCATCGTGCTACCTGACTTCAAACTATACTACAAGGCTACAGTAACCAAAACAGCATGGTACTGGTACCAAAACAGAGATATAGATCAATGGGACAGAACAGAGCCCTCAGAAATAATGCCGCATATCTACAACCATCTGATTTTGACAAACCTGAGAAAAACAAGCAATGGGGAAAGGATTCCCTATTTAATAAATGGTGCTGGGAAAACTGGCTAGCCATATGTAGAAAGCTGAAACTGGATCCCTTCCTTACACCTTATACAAAAATTAATTCCAGATGGATTAAAGACTTATATGTTAGACCTAAAACCATAAAAACCCTAGAAGAAAACCTAGGCATTACCATTCAGGACATAGGCATGGGCAAGGACTTCATGTCTAAAACACCAAAAGCAATGGCAACAAAAGCCAAAATTGACAAATGGGATCTAATTAAACTAAAGAGCTTCTGCACAGCAAAAGAAACTACCATCAGAGTGAACAGGCAACCTACAAAATGGGAGAAAATTTTCACAACCTACTCATCTGACAAAGGGCTAATATCCAGAATCTACAAAGAACTCAAACAAATTTACAAGAAAAAAAACAAACAACCCCATCAAAAAGTGGGCGAAGGATATGAACAGACACTCCTCAAAAGAAGACATTTACGCAGCCAAAAGACACGTGAAAAAATGCTCATCATCACTGGCCATCAGAGAAATGCAAATCAAAACCACAATGAGATACCATCTCACACCAGTTAGAATGGCAATCATTAAAAAGTCAGGAAACAACAGGTGCTGGAGAGGATGTGGAGAAATAGGAACACTTTTACACTATTGGTGGGACTGTAAACTAGTTCAACCATTGTGGAAGTCAGTGTGGCGATTCCTCAGGGATCTAGAACTAGAAATACCATTTGACCCAGCCATCCCATTACTGGGTATATACCCAAAGGACTATAAATCATGCTGCTATAAAGACACATGCACACGTATGTTTATTGCAGCACTATTCACAATAGCAAAGACTTGGAACCAACCCAAATGTCCAACAATGATAGACTGGATTAAGAAAATGTGGCACATATACACCATGGAATACTATGCAGCCATAAAAATGATGAGTTCACGTCCTTTGTAGGGACATGGATGAAATTGGAAATCATCATTCTCAGTAAACTATCGCAAGGACAAAAAACCAAACACCGCATGTTCTCACTCATAGATGGGAATTGAGCAATGAGAGCACATGGACACAGGAAGGGGAACATCACACTCTGGGGACTGTTGTGGGGTGGGGGGAGGGGGGAGGGATAGCATTAGGAGATATACCTAATGCTAAATGACGAGTTAATGGGTGCAGCACACCAGCATGGCACATGTACACATATGTAACTAACCTGCACATTGTGCACATGTACCCTAAAACTTAAAGTATAATAATAATTTTAAAAAAAGAAAAGAAAAAAAAAAGGATACCAGATGGAAACTTAGATTTCTAGGAAAGAACATCAGAAAAGGTAAATAACTAAGAAAATATTTCCTCCAATGTAATTTCCTTAAAAGGCAACTAACTATTTAAAGCAAGTAACACAAATCCTAAGACGGGATTTACGGTATAAGTAGAAGCACAAGATATGACAATAGCACAAAGAAAGGAATGTAGATAAACGAAATTATACTGTTGTAACGTTAATACATTTTTAAATGGATGGCAAGAGGTAGAGTAGGCGGTATAAAGTGTAAGGTATGAAGTGGAGGGTAGTATAATATTACCTCCAAATAGACTCTGATAAGTTGGTGATACATATTGTTAAGCTCTAGAATGACTACTAAAAAACTAAAAGAGGACACTAAGAAGTCAACAGACGAAATAAAATAGAATCCTATAAACTATCTGATTAACCCCAAAGGTTGCAGAAATAAAGCAACGTTAAGAACAAAAGAAAAACAAACAGCAACAATACCAATAATCATATTAAATACAAAGACTAAGTGGTCTAAATAGAAGGTGGAGATCATCAGACAATTTTAAAAGCAAGAGCCAATGGCCACATGTTGTTTACCAGAGAAACGCTTTAAACACAAAGATGTTTACAATCTAAAAGCAAAATACTGGAAAAAGATACACCATGATGTTGCATAAGAAAGCTGGAATGGCTAAATTAGTATCAGACAAAGTAGGCTTCAGGACAAAGAGCATTTTAAGAAATTAAGTGCCGGATGTGGTGGCTCATGCCTGTAATCCCAGCACTTTGGGAGGCCGAGGCAGGCAGATCACAAGGTCAGGAGTTCAAGACCAGCCTGGCCAATATAGTGAAACCCCGTCTCTACTAAAAAATGCAAAAATTAGCCAGGCATGGTGGCACATGCCTGTAGTCCCAGCTACTCGGGAGGCTGAGGCAGAAGAATCGCTTGAACCTGGGAGGTGGAGGCCGCAGTGAGCCGAGATCGCATCACTGCATTCCAGCCTGAGCAACAGAGCGAGACTTCGTCTCAAAAAAAAGAAATTAAGAAGAACATTTCATAAAGATAAAAGAACAATTTACCCTGAAGAATAAACACACTATACATAAATAGCAATTTGCAATGGGCCTAAATGCAACATCTAAAATTATAAAACTTAAAAAGAAAATCTTCATGACCGTACTTGATTTCCTGATGGCATACACAAGTCACTTACCATTAAATTAAAAATTGATAAATTAGACCTCACCAAAATTCAAATTTTCTACTTTTTAAAACACTACTGTGAAAGCAAAAAGGCAAACCATAGTCTAAAAAAACATTTAAACAACAGAAATCTAAGGAAAGACTTGTATCCAGAATATATTTTTTAAAACGCTTACAACTCAGTAATAATGACAACCAATTTTTTCTAAGTCAAAAGAATTTTAAAAGAACTTTCAGAGGAGAAGATACACAAATGCCCAGGAAGCACATGAAAAGATGCTCAATATCAACAGCCATCAGGAAAATTCAAATCAAAACCATGATGAAATACCACTTCACACCTTCACACCCAGTAGAATGGCTACAGTTAAAAAGACAGGTAATAACCAACTGTTGGCCATGGGAAGCAAAACTGCAACTCTCAGGTATTGCTGTTGGGAATGTAAAATAGCACAACCACTTTGGGAAAGGGTTTGGCAGTTTCTTATAAAGTTAACCTTCCATCTGCCCTCTGACCCAGTAATTCTATCCTTCAGGAAAAATGAAAGCATGTCCACAGAAAACTTGTTTAAGAATTTACTAGTAATTCTTTATTAATAGCGTAAAACTGAAAACACCTGAAGTGTTTGTCAACAAATAAATGTATAAACAAATTGTCATAGATTCATATGATGGAATACCACTTAACAATAAGAAACAAACAAGTGATATATGTAGCAGCATTATAGACATTATGCTGAGTGAAAGACACAAATGAGTATATATTGAATGATTCCATTTACATGTAGTTCTATTATGTGAACTTACGGAAAAAAATCTACTATGCACTCAAGGATCACTATCTAAAACCGGGGCTTGACCACAGGCTTATTTTGAGGATCAAGATAATGCATGTAAAATGGCTCTAAATTCTTTAAAGCAATATACAGATGCAGATATTAATTTATATCAACAATTCTAGTACAACACAGTAATGTCCTTTCTGACGGAAAAGACTGCAGTGGCTTACCCTGTAAAATCCCAAAGAAAGATCACAAGAATTCTACAACTTTGACCACATTTTCCAAAAATCAATCAAGATACCCTAAAACAGAAGTTAATTCCAGAAGGAAGGAAAGTGGAACCCAACTGAAAACCAGGTGTCACTGTTAAGTAGAAGAGAGCAAACAAATACCAGCAATTCATAAACTTCAGAAAAAAATCAAGGTAATCAAGATATAGAAAATCCATCAGAAATGGCTGTGCACAGCGGCTCACACCTGTAATCTCAGCACTTTGGGAGGCCAACGCGGGTGGATAATTTGAGGTCAGGAGTTCGAGACCAGCCTGGCCAACATGGTGAAATCCCATCTCTACTGAAAAAGAAAAAAATACAAAATACAAAATACAAAAATTAGCCAGGCGTGGTGGCACACGCTTGTAATCCCGCCTACAGGGGAGGGTGAGGCAGGAGAATCATTTGAGCCTGGGAGGCAGAGGTGCAGTGAAACAAGATCATGCCACTGCACTCCAGCCTGGGTGATGGAGTGAGACTCTGTCTCAAAAAAAAAAAAAGAAAGAAAAGAAAATGCATCAGAAATGAAGATGTGTCAAAGATCAACAATAAACTTAAATGTTGTTATTCCCATCATTAAAAAGTATTTATTACTTCAAATAAAGTGCATTTTAACTATTCCAAAACTTTATTTCTAGCTAAAATTTTATGTCAACACAAAGTACCCTGCATATTTATCTTAGGTTGAAAATAGCCTAACAAAAAAGCCATTACCTGATTAAGTACAAATAAACCAAAAATGCTAATATTAATTTCAGACTCCTGGGGAGAGCAGTCCCTGTCATAAATAGCTAAACATTCCAAATGGTGAAATCTATTACTATTGCCAAGTATATGCCCGTTGGTAAAGGGAATCATCATAGACAATTCTCTGCTCTTCCTTAGCTTTCAATGCATATTCATCTCAGGAGCTGGATTCCTCTTGTCCCTGACTTCTTTGGCTTTATACCATGCCTTCATCTTTTATTTTTTTAACCTCTCCCAGTTTATTTTGGCAATCCAACTTCAAAAGATTTGTTTGCCTTGTTTTCTCCCAACTTCTTAGGATGCTGTTCCTGGTAACTGCTCAGGCACAGCATTTGCATGCACCACAGATCTAGAGCAACCATACTTGGAGTTTCAATCCTGCTTTATAACTGTTCCCCAAACATAGTTAAGAATAGCACCACTTTCATTCTCAGAAGTTTCTAGCTTGGACAATAGGTTAAATAGCTACTGAGACCACAACACACAGTAAGTACTCAAAGGCAGTCTGCTTGTCTGGCTAGTTGACCGAATGAACATGTGGATAACAACTATTCCAATGCCTGCTTAGGTCCTTGAAATACCCTTTTTGAACAAATACAAGTTTTTATTACTTTTAAATACATTGATCATCAAATTAAGCCTAGAGTGTTAAGAAATTTACTCTTAATGGATTAAAATATGTAATTGGCATATTGACTGTGGTATAGTAAACAATTCCCCTAAATGTTAAAGATACTTAAAAAGTACATCCTATTAAGGGATTAACAGACATATCTTGCTTTTAAATCATAGTGCCAATCAATCCTTTTAGAAACTTTAAGTTAGAGATAAAGTTTTACTATATCATAACGAATTCCCAAGAAACAGATGGCTCACCTACATAATCCACTCACAAGGCAGCTTAACTTGACTATTATGTTACTACTTGAGTGTTATAGCTCAATATCTGTCAAGTCTAAGCCGAAAAGAAAGTAACTTGATGGTCAAATGATCATACAACTAACAAAAACATGTCTTTCAAATAGTGATTAAACTCTGATAAATCCGTGTGATGGAATATATGCAATGAAATGAAACAAAACTGCTGATATGCACAACGACATGGATAGCTCTCAAATACATTATACTAAAGCAAAAAAGCCAGACTCAGAAGGCCATGTACTATATGAGTCCCATTTATATGGCATTTTGGAAAAGGCAAAATTATAGGGACACAAACAGATCAGTAGTTGCAAAGGCCTGGGGATGAGGGAAAGGGCTGACTACCAAGTGACAATCTGGAATACTGTTCTCTATTTTGATTACAGTGATGGTTACGCTGTGTTTGTTGAAACTAATAGAATTACACACCAAAGAGTAAATTTCACCATATATAATTTTTTTTAAATTTCTAGGTATAATGTTATTTTTTTAAAGTAGTTTAGATCTGGAAAAGAAAAAAGAGGCCAACAACAACAAAATGTTCTCTTCCAACTTTAAAAAGAGAACAGAGAACACTGTATGTCTCAACAAAAGGCAGCTGCAACCACACTGCTCAAACAGTATTAACGTCAGGGCTCTAGGCCAAAACTTCTTTCAGCTTCTGCAGTGTTATCTCCCTGAATCAGACTCTCACTTCTATCTAACTCAATCTTTCTAATCTTCTGAATACCTTAGCTTTCTAACCTTGGTTTGTCTAATGGAATGCCTCACATTCATAATTCACCTCTGTCTCGACAATCACTCAATGGCACTAATCCATTTCTTCACTCTTGGATCTCACGTTAGTACTTATATTAATTCCCTTAATTCCTGATTCTACCCAGCTTTGCTCTGACTCGTCCCTCAGCTAAACTTGATCATATCCTCTTCCAGCCTTCAACTCGAGTTCTTATCTACCATGAGTTAAAATGACAAATGCTAGCAACCTCATCTATTCAAGTGCTTCAGAAGTGACAAACTCTAAAGTCTCCCTTGGGAAGCTGTATCAGTGTTTTTTCACTTCAATAAATATGACATTCTTATTTCGGTCCAACCAAACTCTTGCTTATCCTTCAGTCCTACTTCCTGTTTAGTTTGTACAGAAACACAGATAAACAGTCATCATCTTCTTTACAAAAATCATGCATTTACTTAAGACTAGCATTAAAATTATACTCTTATCTTCCTTCTTTAAGGTAATACCTACGACTCCTACAACACTGTTCATCATTTAATGTTATATTTTATGTTCCCTCAAACCTCTCCAGTTTTTCTACATATTTTTTAAAGAAAATGACCAAAATGGGATACCAGAGATTAACAAGCAATTTACAAATAAATATAACATAATACTAATATAGCCCCCCCAAAAAGAATACCCTTTGAAAAGAAAGATCAGTCAACTATGTTATGGTCCCTTATACTAAGCTACAGAATAGGAATAGAAAAAAATTCATAATTTGTGAGACGTGGTGGCTCACACCTCTAATCTCAACACTTTGGGAAGCCAAGGCAGGATGATCACTTGAGGCCAGGAGTTCAAGACCAGTCCAGGCAACATAGTGAGAACTCCATCTCCACAAAAAATTTCAAAAACTTAGCCAGGCATGGTGGCATGTGCTGTCATCCTGGCTACTCTGGAGAATCACCTGAGCCCAGTAGGCTATGAGAGCACCACTGCACTGGGCAAAAGGGCAAGATCCTGTCTCAAAAGAAATTTTTAAAGAAAAAAAAATCACAATCCTGTAAGTTTCAAAAGTTAGTCTCTTAGCAGTGAATTTGTTATTTCCTCACAAACCAGGAGAACCCAATCTCTATGGTCACTGAGGCTTTACAACTTCCCATTCCCAGGCAAGACAAAGATTCCCCAACCCCTACACCCCTAAAAACTCTTCTATGAATTAACTGTAGTTATTTCCCCAGGATAGTCAGGTGGCCTTCATGTGGTTTTAAACTTCTTAGCTATTTTCTCAGTTCTATTAGAGCCCACTGCTACTAAGTTTAGATAACTGTTGAAACTAAGCCCTATAATCCTTTAGTTCCTTTCAAGTCAAAGATCATTTCTCTGAACTGAAGAAAGGGAAACAAAATTGAGAAAAGGTTAAGCTGAAAAGCAGAGAAAGAAAATTATATTTTTTAAACTATATTTAGCCAGTAATCTGCTTTTCCCTGATGTAAATATTTACCTTTAAGATAATTAAGACACATGTATGAATTACACAATAAGACTTATAACCCAAAGAATTTAAAAAAAAAAAGACAAATATAGAGAAAACAGAACTAATGAAAAGAGAAGAGACAAAAGACGGGATTTAAAAAATGGAGATAGACTGCAGAATGTATAGACAGGGTAAAAAGGGTATAATCAAGAGAAAAGAAAAACAAATCTGTCCCCAAAAAAGCAGCAAAGTGGATGCAAAACTGAATTTCATTTTGTGTGTGTGTGTGTTTTTTTTAATAAAGTGGTAACATAGCTGCTTGAAATTAGTTGTAAAGAGGTGAGAAAAATGAATCTCAGACCACCAATGTACATAAAGGGTACCAAATTTTAAGGGCTTTTACGACACAATCTTCTTGAAAATGAAGGATTAAGTAAGGAATAGATAGCCACATAAAAACATCTATGATTCAACAATACACTTCAAGATTAGGTTGTTCTTCACACCTCTCTGGTAATACAATGAACAGAAAGCTGTATCGTGAAAATACAGAGAAGATGCTATACGAGCTACTTCTACCTCTTGACCTAAGTCATGGCAGCAGCTAGCAAAATCCTAAGGGGTTATAAAGTCCGTCCCATACCCAAGACCAAAATCTACTCCCACCCCAACTTCGCTCAATGGTTTTCTCCCACTGTGGTGAGGGTGGTTTTGGAAAAGCTCCTCAAATGTCAGGAAACACTGTAATACAAAAAGAAACAACAATTCATAAGTACCAAAACTTAACTAACATTTTGGTCTCCCTCTCAAGGAAGACTGATATCATGGAAAAAGTACTAATCTAAGAACTAAGAAACCAACTGTGCTTTGCTTGTTCAACATTCATTCTAAGACTTTTTCTGTAATTCCAGGTGATTTGGGGGGTGACGGGGTGAACACCAGGCCTACTCTCTCTGTTAAGTGTTACTCAGCTGGTGGAATATAAACCAGAAGCTGCTGAAAGACATACTTGCCACTAATTGGACTGAAAATGAAGCTATCAGAGAAGTTAGCACAACTAATGGATGAAGAGACATTCCTGGTGATATAATTTAAGAACCTGGCTCCAGTTCTTCCTTAAGTACTTTTCCCTTTAAGTTAGTTTGTATTGAGTTTCTGTGACTGACAAGTATGTCTGGCGAATATGCCTGGGTTCTAATTCCACAATGAACCTGAGCAAGCTGTTCCTCATCTACTGGCCTTAGTTTCTTCTTTTATGAAATGGGCTTGAGCTGAAGTCTTCAAAGCTTTTTTAAAGCAGTGGAATTTTGTGTTTTCTTAAAAAACAAAATCTCATTTTGAAATCAAAAATAAAAATGACTTTATTCACATAAATGTATTTTATAAGACCAAATTTACATCTATGTCTGACCAAAATCAAAGAGAAAAATGTATTTAAACCTCGCTTTGTGGCCAGGTGCGGCAGCTCACGCCTGTAATCCCAGCACTTTGGGAGGCCGAGGTGGTCCTATCACTTGAGGTCAGGAGTTTGACACCAGCTTGGCCAAGATGGTGAAACCCCATCTCTACTAAAAATACAAAAGTTAGCCAGGCATGATGATGTACACCGGTAGTCCCAGCTACTCAGGAGGCTGAGGCAGGAGAATTGCTTAAACCCGGGAGACGGAGGCTGCAGTGAGCTGAGACTGCACCACTGCACTCCAGCCTGGGCAACAGAGTGAGACTCCGTCTCAAAATTAACAAACAAATAAACAAACAAATAAAATAAACCTCACTTTGAGACTGAAAAGAAAAATTACTACTACAAATGTACTTTATAAAATCAAATGTATGATATTTACTTATTATGACCAAAATCAATAAGAATGAGGTGTTTTAATACATACAAAACCTTAAAACTGAAAACTACTGGTAAAAGATGAAAGCTCTCATTAGCCTCTCAGGACTCAATTTATTTCTGTATTTTGTTTTAGTTGCACATTGAGAATCCTGATTCAAAAAGAAGAGTTGCAAAGAGTAACATGTTTTCCATATCTGTCTTACCCCATATATTAAAGATGAACAAAAGCTTAAACTTCTACACAAAAGAAAAATACCTGACATGACACATTTTTAAGAGTCTCCAATTGGTTAAAATCAAGTACATGATAGAATTAAGCATTCATGTGTACTGATTTTTAATTTTTTTTAATTATTTCAAATTCATTTAAAAATCCAATCAGAACCAAAATGTTTACAGAACCCAAATAGTAACTTCACAGGACTCTAGTAAATAATCTCTGAAGTCTCTTAAAAATATTTTTCAGTCTGATTCATATATACTCATTGCCTATAGGAAATGTGATAAAGAATTTATTTTTAAAATCTAATTATCTTTTTGTAATAAGCCTCCTTTCCTTTAAAGGAAAAGGTGCACCAATTCCTATTCAGAATCTCAAAGTTAAAAACATAGAGAAACAATTTCTTACAAGACTATTATAATAATCTGTTCAATCTTACTGAGAACCAACTTGACGGAGCAGACAGATGATAAAAAGTGCTATAAAATGTTCATTACTTCAGAAAAACTGCCTAAAGATAGAAACGAATAACTCTTCATCTCTAACTTCAAGAAGTTAACAGTCTAACAGAGGATACAGTATATTCATTCATTCAACAAGGGTGTCTCCTCAGTGCCATCAGCCACTGTGCAAGCAACTGGGTCTAAACAGTGAACAAGATACACATGAACCCTACTTGCATAAATTTAGATTTTAAGGGCAGTAGATAACTAACAAAGAGCTTGAAAAAAAGAGACCATATGAGTAGGTTAACTTTTTTTTTTTTTTTTTTTTTTTTTTTTGAAGATTGCTGCCTACTATGTGAAAGTTAATATAAACTGGAGGGATCGAGCCCAGCCATTGAGAGTCCAATTAGGAGCTACTACAATGATGACGGTCGCTACAAAATAAAAAGAACTCAAAAGAGGGAGCAACAAATTCAGCTGAAGTATGGGGAAACAAAAAAGCCTCAGAGAAGTCATGTTGCAGCTCAATACTGAAAGATAAGAAGCAGTCTAGACAAGTAAAGCAAGGAAATTTGTACAGAAGACCATATGAATAGCATGTTTGGAAAACTTCAAGTAGTTCTTCATGATGAGTCTTGAATGAGGTGAATTATAGCTAGAAAGGCAGATTGAGAAAAAAACAGTAAAGAATATTTTACAAGAAGAGAAAGTAAACACCTCCTGGACACTAAGGAATACTTTTAAGCAAGGTGCTTACATGACCAGGGTTACATTTTAGAAAGATTCTTCCAAAATCAGTTAGCCTAAAAACAAATATAAGAAGTCTAGCCACCTAAACAAGCATCGTGCTTCCCAATAAATACACTGTCTCAAAGTCCTAATCTAGTAACTTACCTTGACAACCAAATACAGTACAACCAAGTACTCTTAAGTTTCAGAGACCAAGCAACTAGGACCAAGTTCAGGTCACACTATAGTTGACTAGCTATTAAAACAACAAAAAAAGGGAGGAGTCACCATAGAAAAAACGCTAAAAACGTGAAAAATGCAGTGGTGTCAGGAGATAAGAAGAGTCAAGTACAGAATACTCTTCTTGATTACACTCAGAAATGGGCTAATAACAGAGAAACTGTTTTATTCCAGTGTAAGAATACTTCCACTTTTTGCCAGTTACACAGAGATGCACCCCTTATATGTAATAATGAATTATGGTTCCTGACAAGCAGCTCAATCACCAAATTTAATTTAATACACAATACTTCAACCAAAGATTAGATTAGAAACAGCAAAGTACAACAGCACTGTGGTGTGCAACAGCTATACACTAGTTAGGTTCCCACAGCTTAAAACTCTCTAACAAGCTTTAGAGCAGGGTGGGGGAGGACTTACTATTTTGCAGAGGTTCCTATTCAATGAACTGGAAAAGTTCTTAATTCAAACATGACAAGTGACATACTGAAGAATTCAACTGTTTTAAGAAGATGAATCCTACCTTTCCAGGGTCATCCTTAGATCGAGGCACTTTAAGGAAACATTTGTTCAATGACAGATTATGTCGTATGGAATTCTGGAATTAAAGAAGAAAAGCCATAAGGTCAATAAAATCCAAAAAACATAACCCAAATTTAAAAACAGAATTAGAAATCTAAACATCTTTATGCTTTGCAAAACAATTACAAATGGAATAAACTTTTTAATCAGCTTAAAATTTAAATCTTTCTGACTTTCAAATTATGAATGCTATGAGGGGAAGCTGTTACTGGAAAATAATTTCTAGAGGATTTCATAAAATGTAATATATGTAGCATTTTAAGTGCTTATGACTTTTATTGATACAGGAAGATGCCTGTAATGTAATGTTAAATATTAAATTCCAAATATAAAATTGGCATATTATGATACATATTATGACTTTAATTGTGGTACTTATTTTATTTATTTATTCTTGGAAATAAGCCAGAATGCAAAATGTAAGAAGTTACTCTACATGAAATTAAAGATGATGACTATTTTCTTCTCTTTACTTTTCTGCAAAGTCCAAATGGTCTGCAAGACACATGTATTACCACTTATTAATTAGTTTAAAAAATGCTTTAAAAAAACATTCACTGCTCTATTACAAAAAAACATATAGAACCCTATTAGGTTCTCACCACAATCTGTAAAAAAGAAAACCACATGGAAAGATACTGGCTACAGGGAGCTGGGAAGAACATCTAAATTCTTCATTGTAGCAGGGAAGAACACCCAAGGTGGGTAGCAGGAAAATGCCCTTGGAAACCTGCAGAGTCTGTGAAAAAGAAATTTGTTCATGAATAGGTAGGACTGTACCCCAATTCTTACAGAATATGCCCCAAAGTCCATTTCTTCTCAATTAAATGCTCCAAAACCCATTCTCAAATTATCTTGGTTTGTTCCCAAATGGCTAGTATTTGGGAGAGAAGAGGTCCAACTGCATTTAGCCATTACTTAGAATGGTACCTTCTGGGATCATATTTTGACATAATATCTGCTTTATTGTTTAATATAAAATTCAGTAGTCTAACAAGAATGCCTATAATAAAACTTATCTCCCTCAGGCACAATATTGGAATTTTAAACGTTTTTAAAAGATGACTACAGAATATAAATTCAAGACCATCTATTACCAAAGCAGAAATTTAAAACTTATGCTTGGGATGTAAACAGCTACAAAGAATGATGCTCTCTCCCAAAGAGAAAACCCTAGGTAAGCTTTAAAAAAAATAAACAAAAAAAACCTATTTTTAAGCCACATCAGAGAGCTCAGGTTGCAAGGCAACCAAACCACATTCCTAAGAGGAGCAAGGCTATTCAATGAGAAACTGGACACACAACTAAATCACCTTTGGCAGAGCACAGGAAAAAGAGATGGCCACCATCCAAGCAGTTAAAAAGAAATTAGCTAAAATTTTAAAGGCCAAGCGTGGGGCTGTCACTTTAGAGCAACAAGAACCCCAGACACGAGAAGTTCCCACACACTCTTAAGCTCTTCTCCATAGGTCTTTACCATGTGTTCCTAAGAAAAAATAGGGGTAGGAAAGGAGACCCAAGAAAGTCTCCCCTAGTGGCATAAACAGGAAGAAAGTGATTGACAGTGACAGGCAGTGAGGAGACAAAGCCCACCAACCTTCCATAGATTTTACAAAGCAAAAAAACAAGTTTGCAGTAAAGGCAGCAAAACCTGTCACCCATAGGACTCTGGCAAAGATTCACTGCTTCTGGGGGAAGAATGGAAACAAAACCCTGGTGCCTCTAGGAAGGGATAGGAAACCCTTACCCAGTACATAGGCAAAGATGTTCTGCTGCTGGAGGAAAAGTAGAAGCAAATCCCTTGAACTCTGGGAGAGGTATAGGAAACTACCTTGGGCCCAGGATCCTATACAGATACCATGTAGAGGTCTGCTACACCTGGAGAAGAGGCGCGAAACTCTCACCCAAAAGTAACTACAGATACACAAGACTAGTCTGGCTGAGGGAAGAAACACTGAAACAGCCCACCCTAAGTTCGAGGGTCTGCATAAGACTAAGGCTGGACCAACACAACAGAGAAAACTCCTTGCCTCTACCAAAAGCATACCACTGAATAACAAGCAAACACAGTCTACTGACAGAGAAGGGACGAGAAATCCCCATGTGTAAAAAGGTGGGCAGAGACAACTAAAATCTAAAGAGATGAAAAAACAAAAAAATCCTACCGCACCCTCTCCAAGCACAAATTAACAGGAGCCCACTGCTGGAGGAATGTAAAGTTTGTGGTATACTGAAGATAAAGACATAAATTTTAAAAAAATCCACATTACTGACAGACAGACTCAATCCCCACAAGAACGGCCTGAGAAAAAAGATGCTTGTCCATTCACAAGTACAAGTACTATTTAACTCAACGTCTACCATTCTTCTACACAGATATCTGGTCTCAGGCAACAATTATAAGACATAGAAAAGAAAGGAAAACTTACTGCCAAGAGATAAAATAATCAACAAAACCCAAGAGAAGACTCAGGTGTTAGAACTATCAGAAAAAAAAAATTAAAATAACCATGCTTAATATGTTAAAGGGTCTAGCAGAAAAAAAGTGGACAACTTGCTTGCATAAAGAGATGGAGAATTTCAACAGAAATGTGAAAACTAAAGAAAGAGACAAATATAAACGATAGAAATAAAAAACATTAAACATGATTAAAGATTTTTAAAATTCCTCAGATGGGCTCATCATTAAACTAGACACAACTAGGGAAAGGCTCAGAGAATTTTGAGGGTAGAGTAACAGAAATTTCCAAACAGAGACTGGCACATTCACAAAGAGCAAAACAAAAACAAAACAGATCATCCAAGAACTGTGTGATGATAAATGCAATTAAAGTCCCAGAAGGAGAAAAAAAAGGAATGGGGCAGAGGGAAAATCTGAAGTAACAGTCAAGAATCTTCAAAAAAATAATGCAAGACATCAACCCAAATATGCAAGAATTTCAGAGAACACCAAGCAGAATAAAGTAAAAATCCACATCCCCATATTAATTACAGTGAAAGGGCTAAAAATCAAAAAAAAGAACATCTTGAAGGCAGCCAGAGAAAGCAGATTATATATAAAGGAATAAAGGTAAGAATTACAGTGGACTTTTCAAAAACTATGCAAGCCAGAAGGCAATGGAGTGACATCTTAAAATACTGAAAGAAAAAAAAACCTGTGCAGTGAAAATATCTCTCAAAAATAAAGGCAAAATAAAGACTTCCAAACAAAAGCTGAAAAAATTCATTTCGGCTCACTGACACTGTTATAAGGAAGTTCTTTTGGCAGAAGTATGAAATCAAACAAAAATGCAGATCACAAAAATAAATGAACAGTGCCGGAAATGGTAAAAAATGAAGGTAGATTTAATGCTTTAAAAAAAACTGTATGAAGATATTCAGACTGTAAAATATAAAAAATAAATTGTATAAAGCAAATATAATTTATTACGGAGTTTGGAACCATGTAAAAGTAAAATGTATGACAACAATAGCAAAAAGGATGGGTCAAAGGAACTGGAAAGACGTGGTTTATAAAATTCTTACATTATACATGAAATGGTTTAATACTATTTGAAGGTAAAGTGCAGTAACTTAAAGATGTTACAATCAACTGAATATCTGCGTCCCCTCAAAATTCTTATGTTGAAACCTAATTCCCAATGTGATGATATTTGGAGGTGGAGCCTTTAAGGTGATTAGGTTATGAAGGGTGTCCTCATGAATGAGACTAGTGTTTATAAAAGAGGCCTCAGAGAATTTATTTCCCTATTCTACCATGTAAGGTTATAATGAGAATGGGATCATCTATGAGCCAGGAAACAGGCCATCACCAGAATCTGCTGGCATCTTGATTTTGGAATTCCCAGCCTCCAGAATTATGAGAAATAAACATTTGTTGTTTGTAAGCCCCCCACTCTAGGTTTTTGGTTTTCTTTTTGTTGTTATAGCAGCCTGAATGAACTAAGATGTATATAGTAAACCCTAGAGTAATCACTAAAAACAATTTAGAAAGGGGATAACTAATAACAGAATTGTGGCGATAAAATGGAATCATAAAAAATACACAATTCAAATCTAAAATAAGACATGAAAAAAGAAAGAGGCATCAGACAAACTAGTTCACCTACCCAGCTTAAAAGTTCAAGATGAGGGGAAAATACAAATCAAGATGGTCAGAAGAAACAAGTATCATTAGTAAATGGCTCAGTGTGAACTCATCACTTCAAAGGAAGTACACACCTCTACAGTCTTCCTCCTCTACAAAAAGCTTAAATGTTGGAAATCTTCAGGGTTCTGCCCTATGTCTTTTTCATTTCTACATCTGCTGCCTAGCCAATCTCAGTTACAGCCAATTGCCACCTGTGATAAATCACTTAAATCTGTCTAGATCCAGCACAGACCTTTCTCCTGAGTTCCTAACGTGTATTTCCAACTATCAACTGCACATCTCCAGAAACTCCTCAAACTCAACATATTTAAAATTAAACTCAATCTTTATGCCCAATGTGATCTTATTTCAGTTTTCCCTTCTCAGTTTAAAGACATTATTATTCACATAACTGCTCCAATGAGAAACCTAAAAAACATCCTTAACTCCTGTCTCTTCCTTACCATCTAAAACAAATCTATCACTAAATCTTACTAAGCCTACCTTAGATCTGCCTATCTTACCCCATCTTTTCTGTGACTATCTCAATCCAGGGAACCAGTCTCAGCAAAACTAGTACAACAGCTTCCTAACTGGTGTCTCCCTTCCTCTCAGCCCTGCTTCCATCATTCTCCACCCTGCAGAGAGTTATGTCTTCACAATGCAATTTTGGTGTTACCCCTTAACTTAAAAACTTCCAGTGCACTTAGGACAAAATCCAATATTCTTAAGCCCCCAAAGACTCTTCATGATCTGACCCTATCTTGCTTTCAACATTCATCCCCTCCAATGTTCTCTCTCAGGTTCTAAGCTTTCCACAAATTGCTACATCTGCAAAGATTACTGCCCCCAGCCTTACTCCATCTTCTTTACCTAAATCAATCTACTCAGTTTTCAATTCATTCTTGGATTAAACTTCAGTTCTTTAGGGAAGCCCTTTCTGGTGTTCACAGATATAAGTTCCACTGTAATAAACTTCGTCATCCTGAATTTCTCATCACCTTTGCAATTGTTTGTTTAATGGTCTTCCCCCTCCATGCTGTATTCTCTACCAAAATGTAAATAGGTTCCATGAGGGTAGGAACCTTGTCTTTTAACCCAAAAGCTAGGATACAATGTTTTTCAAAGGGTAATCACATATCTGTTGGAAAAAAAATACCTAACACCTATTTAGAATGTAAAAACACTGAGATACGAAAGCCAAGACTTGTACATACACATAAAACCCACAAAGAAAAGAGGTTACTTCAGACCTTACAGCTTGGGTAGTCCCCATCTCCCATAACCCCAAGAAAAGAAGTTGGTGAAGTGGAGAGGCAGAAATAATTAGGTGATTTTTTTCAATCACCTAATCAATCAATATGATGAAGCCATGCTGATTGGCCTTAAAAACACCGTCCCCAAAAGCAGTTTCTCAAAACTACAGTTTATCTGCACTAGAATTACTTGAAATGTTATTTTAATGCAGATTCCTAGGCTCTATCCAAGGCACCTAATTTAAAATCTCTGGAGTAGTGACCTGACAATTCTAATTTTAAAAGCATTCTATGTAATTTTTATTTAAAGCTGAGTTTAAACTGCCACCTCCAATCCAACCAACTGCTACATTCTTATCCATTCTTTCTTCTGTGAGTCCTGGTTTCTGTCCCCACAGGTCCCCCCAAAAATCAATATAAGTACTCATTTGTTCTACCCTACCTAAAATGGTTTCAGAACTGCTCTCAACTTTCTAACTTCTTCCCTCCCAGCTTCTTTCCTAGGGGTTTTTTGGAGATAGAGACTGCCTCTACTGAAGTTCCACTACCGGACACAAATCTACTAAGTTGATGATTTCTTTGTAACTATTTTTGGCCTTGGAATGTATGCCATGAAGGTATATAAGGTATATACCAAAAGTTTCTTCAATTTGCTTTTTTCTGTGTGATCACATTATTAATTCAAAACAATGTTAGGCTTGTTTCTGCTTGCATTCTCTTTGAGGGTTTCCTTTTTTCATCCCTTTTCATTTTTTTTTTAAATATGTAAAACATGTACATGGGTTCAAAAGTTAAAACCATATAAAAAGGTATATTCAAAATCTTATTTCCTTCTACATCCTTTCCACCTTGGCTCCCAACTATCCCCTAGGGGTAGTTATATTAAATACACTTCTAGTTTAAATTCCTAAATTTCTTTTCACAACAATGACCAAACACATAATGTATAATATTATTCCTTTTTTACCCACACAAAAAGTAGCACAATACACCCACACACCACCTTTGTATTTTTCTTTTTTAAAATTATCCTAAACTTCAACAACTTAATAAGTTAACTTTCCTCAAAGTGAATACCATGAAATTTTATTTTTTATTTTATTCTTTTGGAGACAGGGTCTCGCTCTGTCACCAGGCTGCAGTGTAGTGGCATGATCATAACTCACTGCAACCTCAACCTCCTGGGCTCTAGTAATCCTTCCACCTCAGCCTCTCAAGTAGCTGGGACCACAGGGACACGCTACCATGCCCGGCTAATTTCTTTTTTTATTTTTTACTTTGTGGAGACAGGGTCTCGCTATGCTGGCCAGACTGGTCTCAAGTGATTCTCCTGCCTTGGCCTCCCAAAGTGCTGGGATTATAGGCATGAGCCATGAGCCCCCACTGCACAGAGCCTGAAAATTTAATTCCTTTTCCTCTAGTTCAGAATACAAAATCATTCAATTATGGAATATCCAAAGAGGTATTTTTAATATGTAATCTCCCTTCAAGGCCCTGACACAAAATGAAAGGGAGTTTACTAAAATTCTATTTGAGTCCTTTTAAGCAACAGGGGCAACATAATGTCCTCTGTGTTGCATCAGTTCACTCTGCATTTCTGGAAAGGTGGTGACAGTCACTTTAAGGTCTTTCTCCAAACCTCTCTTCAACCAATACAAGCTAACTTCACAAGCTCTAAGTGACCTCCCATTTTCCCACATCCTATCGCCTCCATACCTGAAGAAGAGTTAGCAGCAGACTGCTGAAGTGTTCTAAACAAAACTAAGGAGAGTGAATGGGAAGTAAAATAGAACAAGGCCTGCGCAAAGGAGAAGATAAACTAGGTTCCATCTGTCTCCACTCGAAGTGTTCAAAATATTTCTATGTTTATAAAAATAAAATTAAAAGTGATCATGCCATGTGCTAGGCACCAAATACTTAAAAATTGGGTAAAGGAAATTTTAATAGTAATCTCTGGAAATATTAAAAGTCTGCCTAAAGCAGTAGATTGGACCAGATCATCTCTCTCAGGATCTTCTAGTTCTAAGAGCAACATCATCCTTCTCTACCCATTAGTTCTCTATTTCTTTTTCTTCCCATTGAAACTTTATCACTACATCTAAAACAGTTTCAGACCCATGACTTGGGCTGGCTATCGGCAAGGAGTATCAGCAGAATGGATTTGGCATTTTTAGGTAGACGTCATCAAAAATGAAGCCAGACAAGTTAATGAGGAAAACAATACTCGAACTTTATATGCTATTCCTTAAATTTGGACCAAGCTCTTCAGTTTGGCATTCATATATTCATAGGATCTCCATATTCTGACTCTATCACGTTCTCTACTGCAAGCCACTATAACCAAGTGCTTCCTAACACTTGAACTTTGAAAAACACCTCCACAAATCTTAACTCTTCTTCAAAACACAGCTCAAGTCCCACTTCCCTCAATGGTTATCTAATGATTCCCCACTTCCTTGTACTCTAGTGGCATTTACTCTGTACCACTCAATTTAGATTATCATACTCCCCATAAACTCATTAACTGTACCCTTCATTTAACACTTTTTACTACGTCACATACACAATGGATATTTTTATAGTTTACACACAGTAGGTGTGGCCAATTAGTCAACTATTTATAGCACAGCACTCTGGATTCCTCTATTACAGAGCTTTTTACACAGCATAATTACTTGTTTATATGTATTCTTCTCATCTAATAAAGATTGTAGCTCCCTTAGGCCCTGTGCTATGCTTCCTAGTACTGCCAAAGCCTAGCATACTGCTTCACAAGAGCAGATAATAAATAAATCCTTTTCACATTATCAAATGAAAGACGAAATCAGCTGAGGACCAGGCGTGGTGGCTCACACCTGTAATACCAGCACTTTGGGAGGCCAAGGTAGACAGATCACTTGAAGTCAGGAGTTCGGAACCAGCCTGGCCAACATGGTGAAACCCCATCTCTACTAAAAATACAAAAAAATAGCTAGGCATAGTGGCATGCGCCTATAGTCCCTGCTACTCGGGAGGCTGAGGCATGAGAATCACTTGAACTAGGAAGGTAGAGCTTGCAGTGAGCCGAGATCACACCACTGCACTCCAGCCTGGACAACAGAGCGACACTCCATCTCAAAAAAAAAAAAAAAAAAAAATTGCAGAAAAGAGGAGGATATCATGTAGACCAGATATTCCAAATTAGTACTCCCTAGGCTGAACCCAGACACAAGATTTATGTCTGGCCTGCAGAGATTCATGAAAATCAGAATTAGTTGACAACAGTTAAAAATTTGAAAATTACACACAAAATCCAGATTTCCCTTTTCTTGGGGAGCGGGGTAGACTGGAAGATCTGCCATGTGCCCTAAAAAGCAGTAACTGACTAGAACATAGTTGCTCCTTTTACATTAAACACACTCTTTAGTCTGGCACCTTTTTTGCTTTCCCCATTTACGTCACCTACCTGGCATCTGCAGGCACTTAGGTTTACAATCAATGATACAGACCCATGAATTCTTATTGGGCTTTCTAAGCCACATACTCAAATTTTAGCCATTTCTACTCCCTAGCCACCATGTGTGTTCATTGCCACACAGGTTTATCAAAATTTTCTAGCCTTTTCTCAGGCTAAATATTGACAAAGAAAGTCTACAGTACCCAGGGGTAAAGCCAGAAAGCACAGCTTAAATAGAGCCACTACTACTTGCTTAGAATGATGCATTGATTCATGTTTCATTCAAGTTTTATTCGGTATATCCTCCACTGAAACATTCTGTTAGGATAGACTCCTATTCAAAATATACTGTTAACAATCACTTCTCATACTGAGTCAGCCAGTTGAGGGGAGTTTATCCTGGAAAATTAAATTTATTAAGTATTTAATATAGTTTTTGCAGAATTATGCATCTTGTGTAATGGTTAAGAACATGAGCATTGAAAAAAATCTCTACATCTACCAAGTCTGGTACCAAATCCTGACTCTATCATTCTCTAGCTGAGAAACTCTACAAAGTTACTTAACTTCTCTAATTCTCAGTTTTTTCACCTTTAAAATTTGGAAAATAATAGTACCTACTTCATAAGGCTATTGTGTGGCCTAAAGAGACAATGATGGCACTTAGTATAGTGCCTGGCAGACAGAAAATAATAAAAGCAGCTATTATTTGAGTATCTAAGTACAGAAACAAAAACTAATGAAACAAGATTTCTGAACAAAAAAACTCTAAGTTTATAATACTGTTATTAATAAAGCATATGGTAACACAAGAGACTGATTCTATAGGGAGATGAGAAATAATACATGAGCTGAAATAATAGGGCAATATCAACTAAAAAAAAAAGGCGGCGGGGGGGCAAAAGAGACAAGGTCCAAGGAGAAATAAGAAAAAAACAAAAGCAAGAAGGAAATAGATGTGCTTACTTACAGGGACAGCTAGTAGGCTGGAATGGCGAGAAGTATATGAAAGGAAGGTACAAAAAATAAAGCTGAAAAGGTAGATTGGGACCAAGATTCATGCTTTCATTCAAACTGCACTTATTGAAGCTTACTAAATGGAAGCACTCTGTGCTAAGGTATGGAAGAGAAAGAGATACAAAAACTTCAATGAGGCACAATCCCTTCCCTTACAAGGGAATCACGCACAGCACATCCTTGGTGCACGGTAAATCAGCAAATGTCTCTAATAAATCCAGTCAAATGAAAAAGGCAAAAGTGTTGAAGTAGGAAGGCCTAAGAGAAACTAAAGAGTAACTACCATCTGATGATAGACCTAAAGCCCTATAACTCCCTTCCTCTACATGTATACACACACCCCACATAGCACACGACTTGTTAATTCCTATGTAAGAATATGAATATAACATGTGCAGGGACGAAAGAAAGCAGTGGCCCACATCTATAATCCCGGCACTTTGGGAAGCAGAGGCAGGCAGATCACTTGAGGCCAAGACCAGTCCAGGCAACATAGCAAGACCCTAAAAATTAGCCAGGTGGGCATAGCAGCACCCACCCGTAGTCGTAGCTACTCAGGAGGACCACTTGAGCCCAGGAGTTTGAGGCTGCAGTGAGCTAGGATCATACCACTGAACTCCAGCCAGGCTGACAGAGAAAACAAGACTTTGTCTAAAAACAAAATAAAACTTAAAATAAAAATTTAAAAAAAGAAAGTTGAATGATTTGTTGTATAACATAAATTAGCTAGTACCTCAAAAGTCTCCTTAAAGAAATGGTTGATTCCAGGGGCAAGGAAGATACAATATAGCCCTGGAACATCTCAAGGTGCCAAAAAAAAGGGCTAAGCAAACAGAAGTATGGGGCCAGCCTGTAAGAGCTCCCAGTGGCCAAAGTTGCACAATTTGAATGACAACAACAGCACAAAGAATAAATATCTATGAGTGCATACTATTAGAAATAAATTATTGAATGAATAAAAGGGACTAAAGGAACAACTCATCTTTTCAGAAGAATATCAATTAATAAATGTCAAAGGAATTAAGGAAAAGGGACAATCACCATTTAAAAACAGTAATAATTGGCCAGGCACAGTGGCTCACACCTGTAATCCCAACACTTTGGGAGGCTGAGGCAGGTGGATCACCTGATGTCAGGAGTTCGAGATCAGCCTGGCCAACATGGTGAAACCCTGTCTCTACTAAAAATATAAAAATTAGCCAGGCACAGTGGTGGGCGCCTGTAATCCCAGCTACTCGAGAGGCTGAGGCGGGAGAATTGCTTGAACCCAGGAGACGGAGGTTACAGTGAGCCGACATGGTGCCCCTGCACTCCAGCCTGGACAACAAAGCAAGACTCTGTCTTAAAAAAAAGGGGGCGGGGGAAAGGGGAAGAGAGGGGAGAGAGTAATAATTGCTACCGTTATAACCTACCAATGAATGCTAAAATTAATGGATAAAAGTTTAAGAAATAAAGTACAGTAAGTCTTCATTTAGCACTACTAATGGGGTTCTTGGAAACCGCAACACTAAGTCAAACAAAAGTATAGCACGTCTTCAAATAACATCATTTCGTTATAATGTTGATGAGGAAAAAAAATTGGTCTCATTTTATGTTGTTTTGCTTAAAGTCAGTTTCCAAGAACCTATCAAAGTTGAGGACTTACTGTATTTGCATATGCTCAAAGCATCCCCCCAAAACATATTATTATTTACAAAGTGATAAATAGTAAACTTTACAATGAAGAAACCTGGCAGACATCCCCTTAACCGAAGAATCACAGTTAACATTCCCATTAAGACATACTTATATTATCTATCCTCTGATATGTTATGCACAAAAGGCCATATCGGTATTATTCTTCCCAAAAATGTATTACCTCATTCTAATTACAAGAAAACATCTAATCATGAGCAACATATATTGCCCAGGCTGGTCTCAAACTCTTGTCCTAAAGCAATCCTCTTGCCTTCACCTCTCAACGCGCTGAGATTACAGGCGTGAGCCACCATGCTCAGTCAATTTCTTAGTTTTGATAATTGTACTATGGTTATGTAAGATGTTAACATTAGAAGAAGCTGATGAAATATACATGGGAACCTTCTGTATTGCTTTTGCAACTCTTGCAATAATCTAAAATTCTTTCAAGATAAATATTTTTTAAAAGTCTTGGCCAGGCACAGTGTCTCACACCTGTAACCCCAAAACTTTGGCAGGCCGAAGCAGGAGGATCACTTGAAGCCAGGAGTTCGAGACCAGCATGGGCAACAGAGCAAGGCCCCATCTCTACAGGAAATTTAAAAATTAGCTGGCCATGGTGGCGTGCTCAGGCACTCGACCTTGGGTAACAGAGCAAGACCTTGTCTCTAATTAAAAAAAAAAAAAATCTTGGCCAGGCACGGTGGCTCACGCCTGTAATCCCAGCACTTTGGGAGGCCGAGGCGGGCGGATCACAAGGTCAGGAGATCGAGACCACCCTGGCTAACACGGTGAAATCCCATCTCTACTAAAAATACAAAAAATCTGGCCGGGCGCGGTGGCTCACGCCTGTAATCCCAGCACTTTGGGAGGCCGAGGCGGGCGGATCACGAGGTCAGGAGATCGAGACCATCCCGGCTAAAACGGTGAAACCCCGTCTCTACTAAAAATACAAAAAATTAGCCGGGCGTAGTGGCGGGCGCCTGTAGTCCCAGCTACTTGGGAGGCTGAGGCGGGAGAATGGCGTGAACCCGGGAGGCGGAGCTTGCAGTGAGCCGAGATCCCGCCACTGCACTCCAGCCTGGGCGACAGAGCGAGACTCCGTCTCAAAAAAAAAAAAAAAAAAAAAAAAAAAAAAATCTGCTGGGCATGGTGGCAGGCGTCTATAGTCCCAGCTACTCAGGAGGCTGAGGCAGGAGAATGGCGTGAACCCAGAAGGCGAAGCTTGCAGTGAGCCAAGATCGCGCCACTGCACTCCAGCCTAGGCGTCAGAGCGAGACTCCATCTCAAAAAAAAAAAAAAAAAAAAAAATCTTGACTGATAAAGACAGTTAGTACTAGTTGCAATACTACGTTGTTTTTCACTTTAGGCTCACTGTCAACTCACCTGAACTGCAGGTATGGTTTCCAGTGAACGCTACATTATCCCCGCTCTTACTTTATGCTACATCAGTCCTATAACATAATCAAGCTTCAACACACTAATAATCTACCAAAAATAAAGTTATTCACCTAAGCTAAAAACTTTTTGACATCCTAAAAATCACTAGAGATCAAAATTTCATATTCAATTACATGAGCATTCACAAAGCTTTATTTTCAGTAGAAATCAACATCATTGCTTACTTCATAAAAGTAATAATTTAAATAAAATCCTTACCTTCCAACCACTGCCAGCCTCTCTATAATATGGGAAGTTATCACAAATCCACTGATAAATTTCACTTAAAGTCATTTTCTTTTTGGGTGAGCTATTAATTGCAAATGTAATGAGGCTGGCATAACTGTATGGAGGTTTCCCATCTTTGTGCTGTTGGACTTCTTCCTGGTCCAGAGTTGTATTTGGGTCAAGGAGTGCATTCTTCTTAGAAATTCCTGTTCCATGTGCATTTTGTGTAGCATCAGATTTTTGGATGGCTGCTCTCATGGTGAGCTGTGGTAACCAGTCCATAGACGTTAGGCTGCTCTCCAGTTCAGATGTCATCCTGAAGGTAAATAGACTCCTTAGTCAATATCAAGGAAAGAACCCCTGCTTCTCAAAATATCCAATATTCACAAATCTAGGAGTTCCAAAGTGAGGGAAAGCCTGAGTTACATCTGGAGGAAAAAGATTGAGTATGTTAATGAGCAAACCAAATATTTAAGGGATCAACATTCCAATCTTTTTTCTTAATTTTTTCCTCACCAAAACATAACAAACTTGGTTTTAAAATTGTTTAAAATACAGAATATAGACAAACAAAGTGGTTCCGATGCCAATCTTTCTAAAAATCACTGCCTGTTTCTTTAAGAGGGCAACAGGATCTTGGTAAGAAAAACCCAGCTGCAGCCCAACTCTTTTACTCACCACCACCACAAGCCGTTAAAAGCTTAAAATGTACCTCTGGCATTTCTTTTACACAAATTTTAGGAGAGTCATAAAAACAAATTACCAAAAAGTAAGGTGGAGGCAAGAGGTCAGAGAAGTAACTGAGAAACTGGCATAGGAATCTGCATGAAGGAAAGAAGGTAGAGTTTATGCAGGTAGGCGGTAGGAAGAGTAAAGCAGGGTATACAAGAATAGCAAGGAGACAAGCTAGCTGGGGGAGTTGACCGAAAAAAGGAATGCAAAGTCAAGGACACTGATGAGTGAGAGAAAAATTAAATTAGGCAGTACCAGGGAGTTACTTTTTTTAAAAAACAAGTCAAGGAACAGGTTTACAAAAACTAACTGAAATTGTGGGAGTACAGAATCTAAGGCATTAAATCACATAAATGGTCAGCAAGAAAAGAAGCATTAAAAACTAAAAGACAGGTTTGGGCAAACGTCCAGTGATTTGAATTCTGTAGTGTATTTCTCTCCAAAGCTGAAAAATTCAGACCATTACCACACAAAGAAAGAAAACTAAATCTGCCAGGTTAACACATATCCTCGAAAAGGGAGAAAGCTGCTCTAAGAATTGAAGATAAGAATATAGAAACAAGGCTTGACACTTCACATTGGAATTGTTAACTTTCAGCAGAGGACATAAGCCCTTCTATTCTGGGATCAAAGAAGCAGGAATAATGACTGACAATAAAGTAGAGAAGAATGAAAAGACTTCTAAGTGATATCAAAATAAAGGAAAAAAGGACAACAAAATAAAAAAAAACTTAAAGGTTTCTTTTGACTTAAAAGTCAAAAGAAAACATTTGTAGCTATGAAAATCCCATATAGCCCCTTCATTCCAAATGGCTCCTGACAAAAAGCAACCTTGAATATTATGTATAGGATCTGAACAACTTGGCGGCAACAGAGAATAATAAAGAACAGGGAGTTTGGGGTAAGGAAGACCCAGAGTCTAAGTACTGATTCTAACAGTTATAAGCTGTAGAACTGTGAAGATGTTAATTACCTCTACCTCCCAGTTTCCTCATCTGTAAAATGCAACAATAGTACTTATGGTCAAAATATTACTTTGAAAATTAAATGTATTAAAACATGCACAAAAAAATATTCAGTAAGTGCTAGTTAATAATATTAGTCTAGGAGTATCTTGGGAGGGCACCAATGCACTATAAAGTAAACCACATTAAGCAAAAGCAATTATAAATCAGAAGACAACCACGAGGATTCTACCTGCACTGCCAGTAAATTGAGTCCTCTTGATTTTCAGGTATGTTGATCCATAATTTTACCTTACTCATTTTCTCAAATTCCCTCCATCTCTATTGTACACATTCCTCTGAACCTGAACTTTAAATTCATCCATATAGCATCTTCAGAGATCTTAAAAAAAAAAAAAAAAAAAAAAAAAAAACTTACTATCCTACTCTACAATCTCAACCAGAAATGCCTGTTCCCAGCAAGAAGTTATAGGGACTTGTAGAATAAGAAGATAGGATAATTTAGAGATCACACAATGTCAAAACAGTAGAGAAAGTACCCTAGAGATCAGAGATGAATCCCTTCAGTAATGAAAAACTGCAGTTAAAGCTCATCCAATTTCACACAGGTAGTTAGCAGTAGTACAAAAACCAGAGCCCAGATCTCCTGATACCCAATCTGGTAGTTTTGCTAAACATACCTCATCTGTAAGATGAAAAAATTTAAATAGTTCCCACCTCACTGATGTAAAGTATTCAGAACAGTGCCAGGCAAGTAATAAGTATTCAACAAATGTTAACTACTCGTATTGGTAATAAGAGTAGTTGCTTATATTATTATTCACATTTCATTCAATAAAGATTGGCTATTTTATACCATGCTGTCATCCAATTTACCTCAATCAAGTCTCCATGGAGTAGAGCTTTATTTTGTTCAAATTCCCAAAGCAGCCAGTTACATGCATTTTCATACAAAAGCATATTACAAATTGGAATATAATTGTTATTGCAGGTGCTCCCTACTGAGAACCATCTTTGCCTTCTGCTCCCTTCCACCAGTGCCAGTAATGAGACT